>NC_000015.10:32064752-32367783 GCF_000001405.40 Homo sapiens | reverse complement strand
TAAGGAGAAATGTTTGTCTTTATGTTTTGCACCAGTGCTTCAGTCCAACATTTGGTCCTGGGAGGCTGAGGATAAAGTGTTAATGAATTAATTTTCTAGCTCATTCTGAAAATAAATTACCCATTTCTTTGAGTTCCTTGTGTACCGAGGTCTGATGAGCCTTCTTGGTCAGTCCACGCACACCTCCACTTTGGAGCAAGGTTGTCATTCTGCACACATAGAAGCAGAGTCTGTTCTTGACTGGCCCTGGGGAAGCTAACAACTCCCAGGTTCCTGAGAGTTGGAACGTCCTTCTAGTGTCTAACTTCAATCTCTCCTGCTGCGGCAACACTCATTTTCCTTCTCTTGCATCTATGCTGAGATCAGCAATCCCAGGCCACCTGATGGGCACCTCAGAATCCAATGGCTGAGGATTGAGCCCTTCCTGCATCAATCTTGGGCTGGCCTGTTAGCCTCCCTGCGCTTGTGCAGCTGTGTGTGAGGGTTAAGCATCCCTGCCCTCCCTGCCTTAAGGACTGCTTCCATGATCAAAGGTGAAGTTTCCTGAGTAAGGCTCTGCAAATCTGCAGCACCTCACGCCTGCCTCGGATTATTTCTCTCTGAACCTAGACCCCAGGCATGGATACCCTTAAATCACAGACAAATATTAATAAAACCCAGCCTGTGAGGGCTGAAGGACTCTTACAGACAATGCAGTCCACAGCCTCTTTTCGAAAACAAAGAAATCGAGGCCCCAAAGGGAGGTGGCTTACCTCCATCACACAAACAACACCACTAAATGGTGGCAGAACTGCCTGAGTTGTCAATTCCTGGATTCCAGGCCTTTGTAGCTCCTCAGGCCACCCCACCAAGCCCTGGCTCCATTTGATCCTTGGCTAACTCTTGTAGGGTGTAGGGGTAGCGGTGGTGAGGGGGCAGAGGGATGCCCTGGCCAGGCAGGCCCCTCAGCACACCCTCCGCTCTGCCACCCCAGCCAGGATCAACTTGAAACAGCACAGAGGAGCCCGCCATCCCCGTGGGAGAGAAGCTGGAGTCCAGGCTCCCTGGAGAGGGAGTTAATACTGCAGCACGGCGCACTCTAGCCAAGGCGGAGAAGCTGCTGAGTCACAGTCCAGCTGCCTGGCCAGCCCTGAGCTGCCTGCTGGGGCCCCCAGCTGCTCTCAGCCCAGGGGGCTGCCTCTGGCCCCCAGACAGGCTGCCTTCCCACCTCCTTCTCCAGAGACTCAGCATCTTGGGCCTCCAGGGTTCCCCACTCCCCAGCACCCCACAACATCTCCCAAACCCACAGGCAGCTGTCCTGGGGCGGAGGAGAGGGTCTTCCATTGGTTGAGTGTCAAGATGCTTGGGAGCACGCCAGGAAGGGTGGGGGACCCCGAATGAGTGATTGAGTGGGGACAGATGGAGGCTTGGGGACCAGTGGGCCCTGGGCTGCCTGGTGTAGGATACGGAAAGTGTGTGTGTGTGGGGGTGCACCCGTGGGCCCCAGGAGGTCTGTTGTGCGCATGCTCTGAGTGTGAGGGAGGACGGGTAGGACCGTGGGGGTCTGCCCTGGTCGTGCTCCCAAGAGAGGCACTGCTTTCTGCAGAGCGCGTGGGCAACTGTCAGCTGGGGAAGCGCTCACCAGGGGAAAGGGGAGCTCTCTGTGGCTTAGCAGTGATTAACCCACACAATCAATGGATCCTCCAGCCACAGTGTGAGCAGCTCTGCCTCATGTGAGGCACACAGCACCTTCCAGCACAGTCCCGATATCTTTCATGCCAGATGCACATCTTCAATTTCAGCTACAAACCATTACAAATTGATGCATTTTCTTTCTGACTAAATGTTACAAGGTTTGAACATACTATCTCTGCCGATCACCGCCCCTCTAAGGGATGGGTTTAGAGGTTTGGCACGAAAGCAAAAGCCTTTTAATAGGAGTGCGTGAGTGTGGTGGTGTGTGTGTGATGTGAGTGTGCATATGTGGTGTGTGTACGTGTGTGGTGGGTAGGGGTATACGTGGTGGTGTGTGTGTGTAGGATGTGTGTGCTGTATGTGTAGTGTGTAATGTGGGCTCTAGGGTGTGGGGGACAGTGGGGTGTGTGTATATGGTGTGTGTGTGTGATGTAGGGGGTGGTGTGGGTTAGGGGTGGAGGCTCTAGTGGGGTGTCAGGGGGTATGTGGGTAGTGGTGGGTAGTGGCATATGTGTGGTGTGTACATATGTGTGGTATGGGGGTATAGTGAGTTTGTGTGGGATGTGTGTGTCAGTGCATCTGTGGTGTGTGTAATAAGTGTATGTGTTGTGTGTTGTGTGTAGTGAGGTATGTGTGCAGTGTGTAGTAGGGTGTGTGTGGTGTGTGTGTGGTGTGTGTTGTGTGGTGCATGTAGTGTGTAGTAGGGTGTGTATGTGTGTGGTATGTGTGTGGTGTGTGTCTGTGTGGTGTGTGTGGTGTGTAGTAGGGTGTGTGTGTGGCGTGGACTGGGGGTGTAAGGGGAGGGGGTGTTGCCAGTGTGCGGGGAGGGGGAAGGGAGCAGGGGCAGGAGCCCGGGCTGGGTGGCAGGTGCCCCCGCTCAAGCTGCGGGAGAGTAGCTGGAGAGACCGCAGCCTCCTCCCCAGCCTGGAGGCCCGGCTCCTCCCTTCCTGTGGCCCGGCCAGGAGACCTAGTGGTGCCCCCTGCTGTCCGTCCAGGAGCCTGCCGCCTGCCTCCAGCCCCATCTCCACCCAAGCCAGGCCCATGCCCTCCGCACACAGCCGCACCCCCGCCAGGCTCACTGCCTCCCAGGCCCCCAGTCAACGCTCACACCCTGGAAAGGAGGAGGTGGGCAACCGGTGGGAGGCCGGAGGCAGAAGGAGGCTCCATCAACCCAGTAATGGAGCAGAACATCAGCACTGTGGCATCTGCTAGCCGGCAGCACCGGGGTGGGGGTCCTGTCTCCATCTCTCAGGCCCAGCTGAAATGGGTGACAGCAGCCAGTGCAGGGACGTGGCAGAGAATGCCAGAAAGGCTGTGTATGTGTATGTGGGTGCACGTGAGCGCCATGTGTATGAACACCATGTATGAATGTATAAACATGCATGAACCGGCACTGTGAACATGCATACAAACATTGCGTGCAGGTGCATTACACTGCCACATGTAGAAATGTGAGAAGCCCCAGGGAAGGGAGGGCTGGGGGTCTGGGGCCACAGGACTTGTCCCGGAAGCTGGGGTGATAGCTACAGGCCCTGTACTTGGGTAATGGGAGGGGGTGGACTACGGTGCAGGTCACCTTACAGCCTCGGGGTTGGAAGAGACCACAGGGTCACCAGCCCCCACCCTCCCTCTGCAGCGGCAACTCTTGCCAGACCCTCTGTCTCCAAAGGTGGCAAGAGGTCTGGGACCTGAAAGAGGCATCAGGAGACCTGGTTTCTCTCCACTTCTTTCCATCCTTTGGAAAGTGGCTTTGCATCTCCCAAGATAGCCTCTCAGCTTTCATTTTTTTTTTTTTTTTTTTGAGACAGGGTCTCACTCTGTCACCCAGGCTGGAGAGCAGTGGCGCAATCACAGCTCACTGCAGCCTCGACCCCCACGAGTAGCTGGGACTACAGGCGCACCACCATGCCCGGCTCTTTTTTGTAGAGAAGGTGTCTCGCTATGTTGCCCAGGATGGTCTCAAACTCCTGGGCTCAAGCAATTCACCTGCCTCAGCCTCCCAAAGGGCTGAGATTACAGGCCTGAGCCACCGCATGCGGCCTAGATAGCCTCTCAGCTTTTAGAACCGAGCCTTCCGAGATGCTTGGAGAGTTCTACCTCTGAAGGCGAGCGGGCACAAAGAGTAGTGGGGTCATGAGAGAACTTGGGCTTTAGAACAGCCAGGGCTGCTTTCCAACCTGACACTTAGCAGCTCTGCAGCCCTGGGAGATGAGTTCATTTCCCTGGGATCATTTCTTAGCTACAAACCGAGGATCAGGTGCCTGTCTCACAGGGATGTTATGAGGATTGAAGAGGCCACATGTGCTGGCACAAAGTGGTCCCTAAATAAATACTCATTTCCTTTCCTCAGTTCTCCTCTCAGCGGGGCTAGGCCGAGTCCATGCTGACCATGGACTCAAGGACGGACCTTGTGTTACCCACAACGAGGGGTGCAGTGCTCGCCAAGTCAGGGACTCTGAGCCAGCCCAGGCTCTGTCCAGGAGGGCAAGGGTTGCTGCAGAGGTTGTGCGGCTGGGGAGCCTGAGGCCCAGAATTCTCTTCCCTGGCTCTGTGTGTTCCTCTTGCAGAGACTGCGTCACTTCTTCCTGGTGTCAAAGGTACTTGTATAAGCAGCTCAGCTCCTGGAGGATCACTAAGGCTGTGAGGTGGGAACGTGTCTTGTTCACGACTGCATTTCCTGCCAGCTCCCAGAGGAGCAGCCTGATTGCTGAGCCTGGTAGCAGGCAATGGAGGAGGTGGGGGATCTCAGCAGGCACTGCCCCCCCAACTCTGGCAACCTCTGTCCCATCAAGCTCCCTGCTAAAGGAGAGAAGAGAAACCCCAAAGCCGAAAGAGGCACCCTGTCTAGTTCAGACCCTGACACCCAGGGCCTGAGTGGTCATGGGTGGGGTGTGGACGGGCAGGCGCACTGCCTTGCGGTGCTCCACTATAGGTAGGCAGGCCTGTGGCTCCCCATGGGGAAAGAAGGTCCAGTGCAGCTCAGGTTCTCTGGAGAGTCATGCGCGAAGGAAGGGCATGAAGACCACTTCCCCAGTTAATGAGGGTTTGGCCAGGAGTTGTCTGCCTTACCCAACCTTGAAAATAACCCCTTAGCATGTTTAATTGCTTAAAAATCCACTCTTTCCTCTGATCTTCACTTTCGTTTTCTCCAAATCCTATGTCAGGCTCCGTGCTAAGTGCTGGGAATACAAGAAGAATAAAACCCAACCCCATCCTGAAGCAGCTCACGGGGAGACAACAGAGCTCAGGCCTTTGGGAGGTGCAGCAGATGTGGTTCTGCCCCTTGACAGAGGAGACAGCTAAGGCTCAGAGATCAGCTTGCCCAAGGCCTCCCGGTGCACTTGAACCCTGACTTCCTAGCACTCAGCCCAGGGCTCTTTCCTTCCCAACAAACAACCCCAGGGAGCTCCTGAAGCACACTGGGAAGGTGGGTCTAACGGGAAGACCACAAAGGCACCGGGCTCAGAGGTGGGTGCCGGGGGCAGGGAGGGAGACCTCCACTGTGCCCACTCCGTTCCAGCGGTGTATTTCATTTCATCCGGGCCCTGTGAGGTGGGGACTGTGATTCCCATTTTGTAATTGAGGAAACTGGGCCTCAGGCGGAGAGAAACAGGTCGCTCGCTCACAGCACCCTTTCCCAGAGGACGGAAACAGCTGTACTCCCAGGCAGCAGAGTAGCTCGCTTTGGGCCACACCGGGACCTGGGAGAGGTCATGAGACGTCTGGAGAGCCCAGCCTGCTCTCAGTGGGAGCTGGGAGCCAGCCAAGGAAGGTGCAGTCTGGTCCTCCCGTTTCCAAGAGCGCCTCCGTCCTTCCAGATGCTGGCCAGGCGCCAGGGACAGAGATGTACCCATCACTCTTCAGACAGAGATGCCCATTATCACCAACACCTATGACAGCTCGTGGTCTCCAGAAACTAAAGTGGAGCATGAAAGTCCCGGGGGCACAATTAGGTGCTCCAAAGAAGCCAGCTCTCTCCTGCCTGACCGGGAGCCGGGACAGACATGGGAGGTAGGGGCCAGGAGGGATGAACCATGGCCTCAAAACACCCATGGGCTGGAGGAGGGGAGCAATGAGGGGGAGAATTCCAAATTGGAAAGCCTCAACTTGGAATTCTATGTGGATCCAAACCTAGAAGACAGCTCTGCTGAGGAAGAGGAGCCAAGTGAAACACCAGGTGCAGCCAAGTGGGGTGAATTAGCACCTGGGCTCTGGACAGACTGACCTGGACTGGAGTCTCAGCTCTGTCACTTTTAGCCATGGGAACTTGAGCAGGTTGCTTAACCTCTCTTGGCCTCAGCACTCCATCTGCATAACGGGAATGATAATGGAAGCTGCTGCGCAGTGCTGCGAGGCTTAGGAGCACTGTATGTAAAGCATGGCATTATGTCCATGGCTGGTTCCTGAGCCAGGCTGGGCACAGGCCTGTCAGAAGCACACGGGGATGGCTCCAGTGGAGAGGTGGGGCAGCCTCTCTGCTAACCCCCTATTAAGGGCCAGATTAAGCCACCCCTTTTTAAAATTTCCTGGGATAATTCAGGCCTCTCTTAATCAATGGTCCTCCTTCTACCCATGCCTTTAGCTCCAGCCCAGACGGCCTTCTTGATGCCCACCTCTGGGCCAAGTCCTCTCTTCTGAGCCACTGCACTATCCCTGGCTTCTTTCCTGCCCCTGTGTCCAGATCCTGCCAAGCCTTTCCCCGTCCTCCAGCCCACCTTCCCCAATACTCAGGCCTCTCAGCAGCCATGGCTTCTCCAACCGTGGCTGCTGAGTCTCTATTTTGGTTGCTCTAATTTTCAAGTTCTCATTTGTGGGTATCTGACCACATCCTCCTCTCAGAAGTCAGCAGAGTCTAGCTGTTCTTCCTCTAGCTGCCACTCCCATCCTATAGATGACAACACTGGGATGTGAAGAGGTGAGGTTGCCCAGACTCCCCAAGGATGTCCCAGGCAAAACCTATCCCTAGTGTGGTGGCTCATGCCTGTAATCCCAGCACTTTGGGAGGTTGAGGCCAGCCTGGACAGCACAGTGAAACCCCATCTCTACAAAAAATTTTAAAATTAGCCAGGCATGGTAGTGCATGCCTGTCGTCCCAGCTACTCAGGAGGCTAAGGTGGGAGAATCACTGGAGCCCAGGAGTTTGACATTAGGTGAGACCTAGCCATGCCAGCAGACCAGCCAAGCGGCCATACCCAGCAGGCAGCTTGGAGGGGAGGGGCAGGTGTGTTGCTCAGAAGTGACTCTGGAAGTCACTAGCACAAAAGAATAATCCGCTGGGGAGAGTGTGGGCATAAGAAGAAATCCAGAGATGGGCTTCTAGAAATATCAGCATTTGGAGGATTTGTAGAGAAAGAGGAAAGCCAGGGAGATTGAGGAATGACCAGGAATCGGAGGAAAGCTCTGAAGAACAGAAAATGACTCCATGGCAATAGAGCGGTTACACCGGAGGGGCAGGCAGGGGCTGGGAGGGGACAGGGATCCTTCTGGGGAATTTCTTTGGTGATTATACTGGTGCATATATCCATAAGTTGTGCACTTTGCTGAATCTAAGTTATAACTTCATCAAAAAGAAAAACGAATGTGCAGAGCAGAAAGAGCTAGGGGTGGACCCCTGGCTCCCACACACTCTGGCTTGACCAGGTGCTGGAGGACACCATGGGTAGAGAGAGCATAGACCCTAATAGAGCGCCGTGCATCCCATCGCCAACCGGCTTTCCCATGATGCACAGGCGCTTCTGCTGAGAACCACAGGGCAAAGGCACCTAGAACCAGGGAGCCACTGAGGAAAGGCTTCCTGGAAAAGCAGCAGGGAGCCAAGGTTTAGGAGGAGATGGGGTGGGCTTGGAAGAGGCTGGCCAGTTTCCAGGCAAGAGACGTCCACCTGGGTGGGTGTCTGGCAACCACAGACCATGATGGGACCCCTCACAGCCACCACCCTGGAAAGCGCAGCGATGACAGCTGACTTGGGAAGGTGATGACACGGCAGAACACACCCCGGCTCCAGAGACGCCATCATCTGGGACCCTCTCCACAGAGCCTGACTTAGGGCAGGAGAGCCTCCCTGGTCCAGGACACCAGAGGCCTCAAGGTTTTCCCTCACAGGAGCCTCTTTCCACACCCCCGGCCCCAGCAAACATTTGAGAATGGGCCGTTGCCCTGCCTAGCAGTACACAGGGCTCTGGCCTCCCTGCTCTGGGCCAGAGGAGAGGGGAAATGGAAGTGGGCAGAGGACTGTCCCTTCATATGACCACTGGTGACAAACACTGTGTCCTGCAGAGCACGGCCCAGGATGAAGCACCTCCACCCACACACATGGCATTCGGCAGCTGCAGGGCCCAGCCCTGCACCATTTCTGAAGGTCCACACATAGCACATATCACAGCTGAGGAAACTGACAGCCAGAGAGAGGAAGGGACTTGTCCGAAGTGACAGAGTAAGAAGCCTGCCTTACTGTGCTCTTCCAAGCTGGCTTGGAATCCAGTGCTCTTCCAAGTGCTCTTCCAAGCTTGGAATCCAGTGCTCTTCCAAATCATCCAGTGCTCTTCCAAACTGGCAAAATCCTGAGCCTCGGAGAGGCTTACTGAGCTCCCTGCCTACCAAAGCCAGCATGGGTGAGCATCTGTGGCTCTCTGGAACCGCAGGGAGTTCCAGTCACCCTGCTGATGACCCCTGCTTGGAGCTATAACTATAAGTGGAATACCTGGGGTGGCTCCTATTAGACCCTGACTCCCTGGAGCTGGCAACAGAGAACCAGCATGTAACGGTCCCCACAGACGGAGCTAGCCTGCATCAGGGTTTCTAATGTTCTGCTGCAGGTTCACTTCGCACTTGAGAAGGAGGAACGACTTCAGTTTTTTTCTAGCAGCTTCTTGGCTCTTCCCAGTGGCCCCTCCCCCAAGCAAAGTCCCCTGAGAGGAAAAAATCACACCACATCTTTGTGGATCAGTGGTGCCTCTGCCCCCACCCAAGACACCGGGCATGTTTCCTCATGAAGAGTGACTTGCGGCTCCTTCGCAGCACTGAGGGCTGGAGCCAGAAGAAGGATGAACCCACTGCGGGGGTCTTCTCTCTTCATGTTGGAAAACAGATTTAGGCTCAAAATGAAGGAGGGTTTTTGCACAGTCAGCACCACCCATTGATGAGTTCGTGGTCCCAGGAGGTAATGAGTGCTCCATCATCGGGAGCATTCAAGCTGAGGTTAGCCCACTATTGGGAGGGATATTATAGACAGGACTCAGGTAAGGGGACACAGCATTGACCTAGATGAAATTTGAGGTCCCCCTTCCAACCCTGAGAGCCTCTAAATCTCTGACATCTCCATCCCAGCCCTTGCTGCCAATTGGCCTCATTTGCCTGGCCCTGCTGGTTTGCCAGGCAGTTTGTCCTCAGAGAGAAGTAGCTGCCAATTATGTGGGGACCACAAGAGTTTCCTTTATGACATCACCACTCTGCAGGAAGGGGCTGAGGTGGGGTAAGAGAGGAGAAACAAGACAGAAGGTGGTACCAGAGAAGGAGTCAGCTCCCCAGGGCCTGGAATCTGCAGTGTTGCCACCACTAGGTAATTTGTGGGGCACACTGCTGTGGGGGTCTCAGGAAGCCAAGTCTGGGCCCCGAAGGGAAATAGCCCAGTTCTGGCCTCCTGACTGGGGTGGGGGACTGTCAAGGGAAAAATAAGCCCAGGCTAGCTCTCTGAGGCTCATTAGAGAAAAAGGTAAATGTCGAAGACGTGTCATGGCAGGCAGCTCATTAAGCCCACGGAGCTTAAAAATAGTGAGACACACAGATATTGGGGGATGGGGAGCTGGGGATGAGACGCCGGCTCATCACACTGCAGGGAAGAACAGCAAACCTGGGAGAAAGTGACTCTATAACCAGTGGAAGAAAGGCTGTGTAGCCATCACCGGATCTCTGGGTAAGCTTGGCGCACAGGGCTGCTGGAAATGTCAGACCCTGTTCTGTCGATGAGAAGACTAAGCCCAGAGGAGGGTGTTCCCAGGCATTACCCAACAGGCTCGACTGTTCTCCATGCAGGGGAAGAGAGAAGACACAGAGACACAGACCTGCCCCGGAGGAATCCAGAGCCCACCTGCCCAGAGAGGCTCCACCTGATTTCCCTGGCTCTGGGCACCCCCTTAAAAGCCCTTTATGCCATCTTTCCTTTCAGTCGAGTGATGCAGGATTTGGGACCAGACAGCCTTTGCTCAAATCCTTCCACAGTTATCTACCAGCTTGGTGGCCTTGGAGAAGTTATTTCCCTGTTCTGGATGTGCTTCCTCTTCTATAAACTAGAGACACTACAAATTCCCACCACAGAGGGGTAAATGCAGCATCCTGTACGTTATGTGTTTGGCACAGGACCTGGGATGCAGGAGGCACTCTGACCGGTGGCATCCAGAAAGTAAGGAATATGGACTAAAGGGAGGGCCAAGGAAAAGTTTACAGGCTGTGGCTGTGCAGTTGGAAGATGCAGAAGCGCCTCGCTTGGTGCTGCCAGGTTAGGTTTGCAGAATGCAGTGAATGCTCTTGCTGACAAAGGATGGGGATAAGTGAACTGGGGAATCATGACCTAGGGGAAGCCACTAGCTCAAATACTGATCCCTATTTAAGTCACCAAAATATGCTGGGCACCCAGTGGGTGCCCAGCGCTTTCCCATAAGTGATCCCAAACCAGGAGCTAGTCCAAGCCTCCAAAAGTGGCTGGGTAGTTCATTGGAATGAGGGCTGCAGTGACTCCAGAGGGAGCAGGACTCCAGAGGAGCAGGACTCAAGAGAAGGGGAGCCAGGGAAGACTGAGGGGATGTGTAGGTGAGGTGGCTCTTTTCTGGCTGAGAGAAGAGAAGGTCCCCAGCCCACACCAAGGGCTCCATAATGGAAGGGAGGCCTAGGGTGGGTCCTCCCCCTCCCCATCTTCATCCCACTCAGCCCCTACCTGGCCTTTAACACACTGGGTGGGAGAAGTGTTGCTGAGCACAGCAGTGACCTGAGGCCCTGGGCACCCATCCCAGTTTAGCTCCACAGGGGACTCCAGTTGCTGAGGAAGAATATAGAACTTATATAGGATGGGGGAGCTGGAAGGAAACTTAGGATCAATTGTTCCAGCCTCTAATTGAATGGTGGGGAAACCCAGAGACAGAGAAAGGAAATTACTACCCCTTCCAAGCCAGTGAGAGAGCCAGATCTAGAATCCAGGGCTCTTTCCATGATATTGCACCTCCCATCTCAGTCCTGTCTTTATGAAATGCCATATTGAAGCTTTATGTATTGGGGAAATTTAACTGAGGCTCAAACGGACACAAATTCCCTAAAGCCACATGGTGAGTCAGACAGCGAAATGCAAGGTGTCTGGTCCTTTCCCAGCATCCAACGAACGTTTCTTGGGCACCTACTACAGTCAGGCTGGGAGCACTTTCAGACGTTCTCTCACTTAAATCTCACATGTAGGAGCAAGTTGCTGGAAGAGCGAAGGGCCAGAGGCCAGGGTCCAAATCCTGGCTCTCTTAGCTGAGTCTCCTTGGACAAATCCCTTGATGTCCCTCAAATGATGCCTCCATTTCTTCACTTTATAAGAAGTGGATTCATAATAGTACCTACCTTGTAGAGTATTATGATAATTAAAGGAGACTATCCATATGAAATACTTAGAACAGAGCCTAGTAATATAAATATACCATTTAAAAATAAGTATACTGGCTGAGTGTGGTGGGTCACACCTGTAATTCCAGCACTTTGGGAGGCCCAGGCGGATGGATCACCTGATGTCAGGAGTTCGAGACCAGACTGACCAACACGGAGAAACCCCGTCTCTACTAAAAATACAAAATTAGCTGGGTGTGGTGGTGCATGCCTGTAACCCCAGCTACTTGGGAGGCTGAGGCAGGAGAATCACTTGAACCCAGGAGGCAGAGGTTGCAGTGAGCCGAGATTGTGCCATTGCACTCCAGCCTGGGCAACAAGAGTGAAACTCCATCTCAAAAAAAAAAAAAAAAAAAGTATACCATTTGACAATCCTAGGCATATACCCAAGAGAAATGAAAACACGTATCCTTACGAAAACCCTTCCACAAATGTTGATAGCGGCATTATTCAGAGTAGCTGAAAAGTGGAATCAACCAAATGTCCATCAACTGATGAATGGAGAAATAAAACGCAGTATATCCACACAATGGAATGTTATTTGGCAATAAAAAGAAATAAAGTACCGATACATGCTTCAATGTGGCTAAACCTTGAAAGCATTATGTGAGTGAAGGAAGCCAGGCACCAAAGACCATGTGTTATATAATTCCATCTAAATAAAATATCCAGAAGGTGCAATTTCATAGAGACAGAAAGTAGATGATTAGTTGGCTAAGGCTGGGAGGAATGGAAGAATCGAGGGTGACTGTTAATATGTATGGAGTTCCTTTTTAGGGGTGAAAAAACGTTCTGAAATTAGATCGTGGTGATGGTTGTGCAATTCTGTGAATATATTAAAAGCTATTGAATCGTGCCCTTAAATGGGTGAATTGTATAGTATGTGAATTATAGCTCAATAAAGCTGTTTTCAAAAAGTAAATATATATTTATAAACTTCTATAAGATAGTAAATCATATCCATTCCAATTTAATGATAAGGCTCAGAGCCAGTCAGCAACTTGCCCAAAGTCCCATGCCTAGGAGGCCGCAGGACCTGATTTTGGACTTTGTGTTGTCGAACTCCTGAAGCTCCTAAGACCTGATCCAGTTCAGACTCATGGAGAGCAGGCCTGCCCTTATGTATCTTGGGGAAAGCCTCCATTCCCTGTCCCAATGAGGCCACTCAGGAAGTTCTCCCCGCTCTCTAATCCAAACCCATACAACTTACAAGGGATGATATTCAGGGGGATATGAGGTCAGGAGCAGGGTCACAGGAGACAGGCACCAGAAGGGAAAGCTACATTTCTAGGCAATGCTGGATATCTTCTTTAGGGAAGCCTGGGGAATGGGGCAGATGAAGTATAGTGGACTTCAAGACATGAGCTCACGGTTGATTTTGGGGGTGACCTTGGCCAAGAAACCTCATCTCTGGGGCTCTTGGTAAAATGATATTCAGGAAGAAGCTCTGAGGACAGCTCCAGAAGCAGACATTTCTAAGGCTATTTATAAAGTGGCCTTCCCTCTCCTTACACACAACTCACCCCAGATGATCAGGTGGGAAGTCTGTAGGGCAGTGGGCATCACTTGGTTGCTTGCTTGGGTATATACAACCTGGTCACCCCCATGGTTCTTGGCAGAAGATATTGGGGCCAAACCAAGAGGCCCTAACCTAACCATCACTCCAATACTGTGAGCAGGTCAGGTTGGCTCTCCCTCCCAGCCAGGAAGGAGGAAAGAGAAGGAAGCGACAAGGGCACTAACAACCAGGGTCCTTGTCTTACCTGGCAGGAAAGATGCTGAATGTGATATTGACTCAATGTGCTGCTTCTGATCAGCCCCCTGCCTGCCTCCCTGCACAGTGGATAGTCTGGCTGCAAGTGGTAGGGGGAAGGAGCTCCCACTTTTGACAACCCAGGAAAGGCATCACCTCAGTTTGTCTGGAGCTCATGGCCAGGGTGTCCCAGCTTGAAGGAGAGGTTCTCCTGCCCCCTTCTCTGCTTGTACAACTATACACTGCATTCAGAAACACTCCTTCTCCCTTGCTAAGGAGCATTAGGAGATACAAAACCACCATCCTTTTTCCAGGTGAAATAAGGAAGAACAGAAAATGAGGAGGGCCAGATTCAGCCCAGAGCCACCCAGAGTCCAAGTGGCCTCACTGGGAGAGCAGTACACTGGGTTTGGTGCCCTTGGTAGAAAGCCCAACATGCCAGGACCTCAGCCAGCAAGCCAGCATGTGCTCCAGAGCAGGGACAGGGAGAGGCCAACCTGTGCATCCGCTAGGCTCACTGGCTATTTCAGACCATCATCTGCCTCATTCGATCCCAGGACATCTTGGGAGAAGTGAGGAAGGCAGGCATCCCTCTCCACATTTTTTAATGGGGACCACTGAGGTCCAAGAGATAGGGAAAAACCGCTTGCCTGGGGCCATGTGCAGTAACTTAATAGTGGGTTCACTGGATTCTAGATTCTTCTCATCAAAGCCAATCATACCCCTGCCTCGCCCCACTCCCAGCTCTGCTGCTATGTTTCTTTACCTACAAAACGTCAGTCAGTTTTCAGAAACACCATAATAACACTCTTTATAGCACTTTATGGCAAAATCTTTATAGCACCGTGTGTCAGGCACTGCCTATTCTTAGAGCTATATGTAAATAGTCATACATCAAATCCTCATGCCAACCTGATGGCAAGCTATTTCATTTCCATTTTACAGATGAGGAAACTGAGGTAACAAGTGTTTAAGTAACTTAGCCAAAGTCCCACAGATAAAAAACTGGAGGAGCTGGCATTTGAATACAGGCAACCTAGCCCTAGCATCTGAGGTTTAACCACTGCACCACAGTGCCAAGCACATACAAGTACAAGGCTTCGCATATTCCAAGTCTCACTAAAACATGGACTAGGGGCTGGGCATGGTGGTTCACGCCTGTAATCCCAGCACTTTTTGAAGGCTGAGGTAGGAGGATTGCTTGAGCCCAGGAGTTCGAGCCCAGCCTGGGCAACATGGTGAAACCCTGTCTCTACCAAAACAACAACAACAACAAAACAAAAACAAAAACAAAGAAAAACCTTGCAAAACAAAAATTATCCAGGCACGGTGGTGCATACCTGTAGTCCCCGCTATGTGGGATGCTGAGGTGGGAGGATCACCTGAGCCTCGGGAGGTTGAGGCTGCAGTGAGCCGTGATCACACCACTGCACTTCAGCCTGGGTGACAGAGTGAGACCCTGTCTTAAAAAACCTGAAAACCAAAACCAAAACCATGGACTAGGGGCACACGACTAGGCTCAGGACGAAGTGTGTGTGCAGGAAGTCCACATAAGTCCAGAAGCTGGGCTGTGCTCTCACCCAGGTGCCATGTGCTGGGGGCGGGGATGGGGGACAGGCTGCAATTTGTCTCTGAGCAGCCAGCTGCCCTCAAGTCCCAGCCCAGCCGAGCAGTGGGGAGCAGGTTGAAGGCAGGCTTGGAGCTGGCAGGCTCCGTCTGCCCCACTGTGAGCAGCAGCTTTGAGACACTCTCCTGCCGGCTGCTGGTAGGTGCTGCAGTATCTCTCCTGGCTGCAGGGCTGGCTGGGCTGAGGCCAGGCCAAGGGCCTTCCTTCCCCCTTTCACCCTCTGCCCCTCCCTCAGTGCCCGGGGCCAAACGAAGGGCTTAGGAAGCTACTCTGGCTTTCTGGTCTCCAAGGACTGCCGGCCCTGATGATTAATTTGGTGGCTGTGGGACTAGGTTTAGTCTTGGGTGGCAGCACTGACCTCCAGGAATGTCACTGTGGCCCCTTCAGGGGCAGGTAACAAACCTGGCTCATTCCCAAGAGAGTAAGTGAGTCCGGTGGATCAACTCCCACGGTTTTCCACCTAGCATATTTGCCAACAGCGGGCAATTCCCAGGTAGGAAGTCCTTCCTTGTACCTCACATGAGCCCTTCCTGCTGCAGTATAGCCACATTACCTTCTACTAGAAACCCTTCTGCTTCCAAATGCACCCTTTGTTAAATTGCTAAGATGTGATTCCATGAGCAACACAGCAATCACAAAAGCCATTGAAGCAGACGGCAGCTGCTACAGGGTTCAAGCATTCCATTCCAGCTGGGGAAAGGCTGTGGGCTTTGCCCCTCCTTCCCCCCCAGCCCCTCCCCAATCTCAGGACACAGAGAAAAGAGGAGCAACATGCGGAGAAGAAAAATGGAAAGGTAACAAAGCAAAGGCAGAAAAAAAATTCACAGCCTCCCTTGACCTGCCAAGGACTTCTTCCACATCTTTCCCTAGGCTTGGGGGCCCAGATAAGGAACTGAGACTTTCTTTTTTTTTTTTTAAATTTTATTATTATACTTTAAGTTTTAGGGTACATGTGCACAATGTGCAGGTTTGTTACATATGTATACATGTGCCATGTTGGTGTGCTGCACCCATTAACTCATCATTTAGCATTAGGTATATCTCCTAATGCTATCCCTCCCCCTCCCCCCACCCCACAACAGTCCCCGGTGTGTGATGTTCCCCTTCCTGTGTCCATGTGTTCTCATTGTTCAATTCCCACCTATGAGTGAGAACATGCAGTGTTTGTTTTTTTGTCCTTGAGATAGTTTGCTGAGAATGATGGTTTCCAATTTCATCCATGTCCCTACAAAGGACATGAACTAATCACTTTTTATGGCTGCATAGTATTCCATGGTGTATATGTGCCACATTTTCTTCATCCAGTCTATCGTTGTTGGACATTTGGGTTGGTTCCAAGTCTTTGCTATTGTGAATATTGCCGCTATAAACATACGTGTGCATGTGTCTTTATAGCAGCATGATTTATAATCCTTTGGGTATATACACAGCCTTTCTTGCAGCTTCTGCAGCCTCTGCCTGAGAGATCCGCTCAATGGGCCATCTGCTCGGAGGCCTTTCTGCAAAAGCTTTAAGAGTTCCATTTCTCCAGGGAGCTGGAAGCTGGGGAGGTGTCAGCTCCAAACAATAAGGGAAGTTTATTAGGGATCAGGGTTTCCAGGAGGATGGTGCCTGCTAATGGGGCTGGATGCACTCTGAGGTACAAAGGGTTATTTAATGCGGAAAATCCAAAAGCTCCTTTAGAAGTCAAGTGCTCACACCCGAGGCCCTACACACTGCAGCCTTCCTTTTCACTCAAAAAACCTGAAAACCAAAACCAAAAACCATGGACTAGGGGCACACGAGTCAGCTCAGGACTGCCAACAGCGGGCAATTCCCTGGTAGGAAGTCCTTCCTTGCACCTCACATGAGCCCTTCCTGCTGCAGTATAGCCACATTACCATCTACTAGAAACCCTTCTGCTTCCAAATGCACCCTTTGTTAAATTGCTAAGTTGTGATTCCATGAGCAACACGGCAATGACAAAAGCCCCATCACCCTACCCTGTTTGCCCCTACCCCGCCCCATCCCAAGTCACACTTATTCCCTGTCCTTTGCTACTGGGCAAATATTGACTTTCTTTCACTCAGCCTTGTCAATGGAAGTGAGACCAATGGGGCTGGCTATTGTCTCCCTCCTCTCTCCTGTCAGAGGGCAAAGCAAGCTGTCAGCCTCAACAGCGGGAGCAGGGCCAACTGAGACAAGCTGAGAAAGAAAAGTGTGGTCTTGGAAGTAATATTTCTGTCTTTTGGTCTTTTGTCTTTCTGTCCTCCCTCCCTTCCCCAAGCCCATCTGGGTTTATTTTTTTCACATTTGGCTATCCTGCTGCCCTGTCTGGCTCAAGAGCAGCAGCGTGGCATAGCTGGCATAACTGAGAGAGCTCAGGCCTGGGAATTCAAGTGTCTGATACTGGGTCACCTTATGCTAGTTCTTTAATTTTCTTGGGCTTCCATGTTCTAGTCTGCAAAATGGGAAGGTTGGACCCCATGATCTCAGTATCTAGATCAGGAAGTTCCTTCCTATCAGGACCCATGTCCTTTCTGCTGCAGTCAAGGCATTTTACCTTGTGCTCTGATTTCAGAAAAAATGGAAAATAACTGCTTGGTGCTTAACAGGGAGGAAGGAAAGAGCGTTGCATTGAGGTTCTACAAGGGCTGGCAAGCTCCATCGCTGGTACTAACATGCTGTGTGATCCTGGGCAAGGAGCTCCCCCTCTCTAAGCCTCAGTTTCCCCATAATCAAAACAGAGGGCTGGATGAGATGATCCCACAGCCCCTTTCAGTGCCTCGTCCTGCCGTGGCACTCATCTAACACATCCCTGCGGAAGGCGATGTCCCCCGCTCCTTCAGCTTTTCTCCAAGGCAGCATCTCACAGCCTTTCCTCATGACTAACCTTGAATGGAGGGATGCCATGCCGCTGGCTCGTGTTCCTTCATCATCAGGAGCCTTTTGTCAGCCACACTCCTCTCAGACTCATGCTTGCTTGGCCTTTGGCCTTTGTGGCTGAGCTCTTCCTTTCTCCAGGTCCCATGATGAAGACCAGAGCATGCAAACTCCTGGAGCCTGCGGCCAGTGCACAGCAGGAGGACGACACAGGACATTGGGGCATTTTGGGGGATTGTGTGCATGGTGACAACTGCAGGACTGTGAACTGTATCCCTGCTCTTCCTCTAACTTGAGCCCTCTCTGTGATAACACAGAACCTCAAAAACCCATTCCTTGTGCATTAGTCAGTATCACACTATGGACTTCCTATTCCAGGTTGGCAATATTCCCTTTTCACAGATGAGACAATTGAGGCTCAGAGAGGTTGGTAATTTGCCTGAATTCACACAGATATTAAGGAGCGAGCCAAGATGGGAACCTAGATGTATCTATCTGCAAAGACTTTGCTCTTAACCATCAGCGCTCTTACTGAGAAGGGGAGGTCATCGCCTCTCCCCAAGCTGACTTACAGGACTGGAATCACAGGGCAGTGAACACCCAAAGCCTGAATGACTCCAACAAACCTCCCACCCCCTCCACCCCCACCCAGCCTCGGCAAAAGCAGAGCCAGCAGGGTCGTGGATCAACAAAGCCAGAAGGACTTTGGGTCATCTAAACCAAGCTTTCACTTCACATACAAGAAAACTGAGGTCCACAGTGGCGTGCGACTTGCCTAAGGTCACACAGCAAGTCTAGGGTAAACCTCGGTCCCGGCCATGGGGTCCTGGGAGTCCCCCTCCAGGTTGAGCCAGTCCCTTTGCCACTCCTTCCACCTGGGTGTAGACATGCCTTCAGCCACTCACTCCAGGGACATCTGGCCTTACCCCTCTCTGCTTCTCAGTTGGTCCCTTCCTAGAAGGTTCGGGGAATGGAGTAAAAGGCCCATTTTATCATAACCAGAGGTGTGGCAGAGAGTGGGGAAGGGAGAACCAAAGGAAAACAGGTGTGAGATTATTGGAAAGTCAAGCAGTCTCTCTGTTTCCCATGAAGTTTCTAATGCAGAATGGTCCTAATGATCAGAGAGAGAGAGAGAGAGAGACAGAGAGATAGTGCTGATGTTCCCATTTTGTAGGGAAGCTTTGAAGATGGTAGGGGAAGATCACACTGCAAATCTACAATCTTTCCCTGCTCCCCATGGCCACTGCTCACAGCTGCCCTGCCACCTGCTTGCTACACAGCTTGTATTATTATTGACAATAGCTACCACTCACTAAGGACTTAGCTCAGTACTGGACCAAGTATTTACATATGCTTCTTGTTTAATCCTCATAAAAACCCTAAAATACCACCACTATTCTCATTTTGTTTTGACTACTTAGTAACTGAAGCTCTAAGATATAAAGTAATTTGCTCAAGGTCACACAGCTAATAACCAGTAGAGCCAAGGTCTCCTGGGGACTCCCTCCAGGGGTGTGCTGGGCTTTGAAATTCATATACTGTATTTGTCTCAAGTTGTCTTGACTCTGGTGACAGAAGTGGGAGGGCAATGCATTGGGAATTCCTGGAGACCACCTGCTCCCATCACCCAGCCAAGCCCACTTCCTGCTACTCAGACACCAGCCCAGAACTGCAGCCACAGAATTGTGGGGTTGCAAGGGCCTGAGAAGTTAACTAGTTCTACCTTCTCAATGTACAGGGGAGGAAAGCAAGAAAGGGCCTTGCCCAAGGTCACACAAGGTCACAAAATTGGAGGCAGAGCCTGTAAATTAAACTCAGCTCTCTTGTCTCAAACTCGGACTCGTCCGCAACACCCTAATGCCCAGTATGAAGTTACTGTCTCATCTCAACTGAAGACAGAACCAGAGTTCATCCCAAAAAGGAGTTAGATTAGACTTTCCTATGGCAAGGACTGTCACATTGCACAGTGGGGTGCTCTAGGCTATTGTAGTGGAGATCTTTCTAAAACGAGACAATTCCTTCAGATCTTCCTTATCTGAGATGAATGCAGCCCTGTCTGGAGGTAGAGAGCAGACAGCATGACCTTGTGAGGTCCTTGACATCACCCTTTAACCTATGGTCATCTGTCTGTCACAGCGAACCTTTCCCTAGGAAAGAATCTGCCCTCTGCAAAGAGGATGTGTAATGCTGGAAAGCCCGCCTTTCTCCCCATCAGCTGGATTCTGAGAGTTGGGAGAGATGACCAATGAACAGGCTGAGGGTGTCACAGCCCTGCTACTTTGGGATGGGGGGTGCAGTAGGGGAGCTACAGTCTTCCCAGAGGCCAGGTCATTCTACCCAGCTGCACCCCATCCCCAACCTTTCAGTGGGCGACACCTGCAGGGTGTTGGGACTGGGAGAAACCTCAGATACCTTAAATTCCAAACCCCATTTTCCAGATGAAGATACTGAGGCCCAGAGTGGGTCAGTGAGTTGCCCAAGGTCATAGGACAGGTCAGAATGGAAGCTTTCCGACTCTCCCCGGGGCGCTGGGTTCACAGCTCCACCTTGCCACCCCCTGCCCCGGAAGTGAGCACTGAAGTCACTTAAGAGAGGCCAGTGACCAAAGGCAGCGATTCCCAGGTGCAGAGGCTGGGGCAGACGTGCCCATGAGCTTGTTCCCCCGCGCACCCTCCCCCACCTCGTCCCCATTCCTGTCTTGGTTACCATGTGCCTCCATCATCCTGAGATTCAGAGAGGTGCAGCGGCTTGTCGAAGGTCACACAGCACACTGAGTAGGGCCCTCGTTTCCACTGCCCAGCTGCCCCCTCCCATTGCCCACCCGGGCCTCTGCAAGCTTGCCAGGATCCACGGGAGCCTGCTTCCTCCAATGCACAGAGCCGTGGCGCGTGTCAAAGTGTGGGAAAGTTCCTGGGAGAGGGAAGGGGTAGAAAATACAGCCGCTCATCTCAACCTTGGACGGCTGCGGCAAGGCAGGGGCGCTCAGAAAGGCAGCCAGTCCTGCGCACCGCCGGTGCCTCCGGCACACCCCACTCTGCGCCAGGGGCTCCCCAGGGTCGCGCGAGCATGTTCTTCCAGCTCCTCCTCAGCGAAGCAGGCGCGGCGGGGTCCCACGCGCCCAGCACCCACTTCTCTCCGCACGCCCACTTCATGCACCTCCCCGCGCCCTTCCCACGGCTTCTCTGCGGCGAGTCGCCTTTGCTTCCCCGCAGGTCCCCGGTCCCAGCGCTAAGGCACCGCGGCTTCTCTCGCCTTCTCTCCGCGTTGAACCCGGGCTCTCCGCGGGGAGAAATAGGTTGGGGGCGAGGGGTTCCCGAGATAATTCAGGACACCTCCCCGGGGTCTAGCCAGGTAATTCCGACGCCCATGGATTTCCGGATTACAGTTCCCACCGCGGGCTCAGTCCTACTCTTTAGTTTATCCCGCGGTGAGCGCCAAGCCCCAAAAGTCGGAGTGTCACCGTTTGGTGACCCCGCGTCCGCCCGCGCCTCAGGCCCTGGAGGTGGCCACTGTCGGTCCAGGCACGGCTTCGCTCGGGACTACTGGCTGCCCTCGTGGGGTGCCCCGCCTGGGGTTCCCTCTTACCCTGGGACGTTCCAGGCGCGTTCAGCCTGAGCTGGTGGAGAGGGCGGGGGCGGGGGCGGCTGGGGTCCCGAAGTCCAGGTCCCTCTTCCCACTTCCCCGCCGGCCCTGCCGCTGCGGCCCTCGCTCCGGCGCTCGCTCGCTCTCGAGTCTCTCCCTCTCTCTCTTCTCTTCCTCTCTCTCTCTCTGCAGTAGTAACAACCTGATCCCGCTTCCCCCACCCGCCTCTTGAGATGCTCCTCACATCCGCCTGCACACAGCGCGTGCGGCCCCTCCGAAGGCGATCCCCGCAAACCGCGACGCAGGTCCTCCGCCCCAGGCAATCCCCGCTGCGGGAGAGGCCGCCTCCTGGCGCCCACGCCCCCCTTCTGCAGTCCGTACTGCCGGCCGAGGGGGAAATGGGCGACAGGGGAAGGGGAGGTGTGTGCGGGACGGACTAGGCTGGGGCAGAGGGGTTTAAACTGGCGCGGTCCTACAGAAGTTTGAGGAGGGCGGGGCCGGCTCCGAGCCCCCGGAGCCCTACGGGACTCCCCCGATTCTACTGAGGAGTCCCCGCCAGCTCCATGCACTCCTGCAACACTCCCCACCCCACCCGCCAGCTCCGAGTTTACAGCCTCTCGGGTCCGGGGATTGGCTGGGGGAGGGGACGGGGGGGAGGGGACCCCCTGGCTGTAGGGAACGGCGTGCGGGCGGGGGTGGGAGGGAAACGATTTGCTTCAGGAGATAGGGATGAAGGTTTTCCTGAGTCAAGGGAGGGAGAAGAGAGGTGGAACAAAAGGCAGATGCTGGAGGGGAAGGGGAGCTGGGGAGCTCGCCCCGAGGGCTCCGGCAGCCCGCGGTCCCCTGCCTCAGTCTGTCCCAGAGGGTGAGGTCAAGGCTGGTGCCAGGGCTCTTCACCGGCCACCTGGAGAGGGGAGAAAGAGGGATGCAGGGGTACGGGGTTGGGGCAGAGGAGGAAGAGCGTCTGCTGGCACAGGACCCTCTGCCTGCTCTCAGATAGGAACCCAGCAGAAGGGCTCTGCCATGGACCCAACACCTCCCACCTCCGCAGATCTGCTTTCTCCCACTTGGGAAAAGCGAGGCTGACACCCACTATGAGCACCAGGAGGGGCAGGAAGAACCGAGAGCCTGGGCAGCACTCCTGTGCCTCAGTCTCATCCTTGGGCCTCACCCTCAACCCCCAACCTCACCCGATAAGACCTCGGGGCCCCAGCTCGCCAGGTGGAATTTCTGCTGCTGTCTGGCCATTAACTGCCCCTGACCTTCCCAGCTCCACCTCACCCTCGCCCTCTCCCCTCAGCCTCTCCTTCACCCTCCATGCAGCTGCTTTCTGTTTGCCTTCTGCTCTGCACACTCAGGACCAGGACTCGAGTTTGGTGTTTGACCCAGGAAGTGACATTCCTCACCCCCCAACCCACACACACAAAAATCCTGTGTGCATGTGTGTTGGGGGGGAGGGGCAGTCATTCAGGGCTTTCCAGGGCTTCTCATCCCCACAGAGTCTGGGGAACTGGGAAATTCCCAATACCCGCAGTGAATCCCCCTTCCTCCCCTCCTCCAGGCATCCCCCGCCCCAAGACAGAGACCTTACTCCAGAAGCCGGGGACTGCAGTGCTGCAGCAGCCGCGGCTCCTGGCCGGCATGGAGCCTCTCTTCAGAAGGGCAGCAGCTCGCTTGTCACAGACCCTGGACGGCAGAAAAGCTGATTCAGGGATTTCCGGGCGGCTCCTCCTGTGGGGGAGTGTGCATCTGCATACCTGGGTGTTGGGAAGGGTGTGTGCGTGTGTTCATGTGTGGGCTGGGGGAGAGGACCCATGCCTGAGACCCTCTAGTCAGGTCTGCTGATCCCTCACTGTTCTTCAGATGGAAAGGGGGAGCTGGGGTAAAGGGCTCAAGGTCAGATGCTCAGCAGGAGGGCACCAGGGGTTTCCCCCCACTCTGCTACACTCCGGTAACCTACCCCCACCACGTCGCCCCACACTGAGGAGGGGACCTGTCACCTGAGATGGGTGTGTGGGCTGAAGAGCAGTACCTGCTGCTCCTCTTCGGTTTCTCCCTGGGGAGAGAAGTGCTTCTGTTTTGAAATCTCCCCCAAACCTTCTTTTGCTAGAAGGAGGGAGGATGGGACTGAAATTTCATTCAGCAGGCTGGATTCAGGTTTGACTTTGGGGTTTCCTGATGCTAAGGGTCTGGGGCAGCATCCTGCTTGACAGGGAAAGCTTATGCCTTCACGATTGGAATGTAGTGCTGCTTAGATGAAAAGGGATGGATGAAATGACCCCCATGGTTCCTTCTGATAAAATGGACCAAGAGACGCCTGAACCTTATACAAAGCTGCCTCCAGTAAAACAAAATCTAGTTACAGAAAATAAAGCACTTCTGTAAGGTTATGTCTGCTCCTTCTGAAAATACCGTGTTTAATGTCTGTGCTGCCTCCAATGTGTCCTTTCCCCTCTTGGGTGGAAGTGGAATTCTGATGGCCTGTGGAAGGATTGGGTGACACTTGCACAGGCAGTGGCTGGGCCAAAATGGGGGAGGATGGGAACACGGTGGGTCCCTAGAGAAAACACAGCTGTGCTTCACCCAAAGCCCCTTCAGGCCCCAGAGGACCCTTCCCCTGATAGGGATGACAATGACAGCCTGACAGTCTTAATTTCACTTGATTCTTATCAACTTTCCCAGGAGGCAGCAAGGCGAGGAAGGGATAATTCTTCACTCCACTGAGGCACAGGGAGCCCCCAAAGGGTGGATGACTCACCCAAGGTTCTCAGGTAGGTTCCTACCTTACCCTGGGGTTTTATGTTTCTATTCTCAACACTAACGTTTCTCATTCCTCCACAAGTTAAATTGCTCACTCCAGCCAACTGAAGCATGCTTTTCTTGACACAGTTAGCTCGAGGCACACGGTTGGTGTTTAAAAAAAAAAAAAAAAGAGCGTTATGTCAATTTCATTGATCAACAAAAGTGATGGCTCCACTGCAAATTCAAGTTGATAGTGCCTGGGCCTCTTGAGTTCAAGAGCCTTCTAGACAAAGGGCTCTGAGCTGAAACATGAGCATGCACACATATGCCTGTCGCTGGGTCTGATGAGATAATTTGCATACTTGGTTGTTATCCCTGAGCATTTTCCTGCCTCAATGCACGTGTAGCCAACACAATAATAATCATAGCTGATAAAGGCTAAAGCTGAGGACTTTCCTGAGCCAGGCAGTGGCTTTAAAACCTTTAAAGTGGCTTTTAAAACTTTAACAGCTAAAGCTGAGGACTTTCCTGAGCCAGGCAGTGGCTTTAAAAACTTTAAAGTTTTCACATAGACTCTCACTAAATAATTTCTGTTTTTCAGATCAACAAACTGAGACTATCACATTTGGGATTAAGTTAAAAAAAGAAAGAAAGAAAGAAACTGAGGCTTAAATACTTGCTTAAAGCAAGTATTTCACAGCCAGCAAGTGGCTAAGTTGGAACTTGAGCCCAGGCAGTCTAGCCCCGGGATCCTGTGCCCGGCAGAAAGGTGCTGGGTCAAGGGAGGAGGGGGCAGTCGGGAGCGCGCGCACGCTCTGGACTTGTGCACCCGCGGAAAAGGGTGCGCCGAGGGGGTAGGGGCGACGGGGACGGAGGCGGGGTAGGGGCAGCCTTTTCCCAGGCGGTAGCGGGGGCGGTGGTTCTGTTGTCCTGTTGCCCTTTTAAGCTGCGGCTTGACAGGGGCCGCGCCTCCTGTCGGTGGAGTCGGCTACAAAGGGAGCAGCCCCCCAGGCCGCCACACAGCTCCCGCCAAGACCTGGTGCCCCTTGCCATTTTCCAGCCGCGCTCCCAGGAGAGTGGAGGCTGCAGGAAGAGGCGGGTCTTTAGGCTCACAAGAGCTCGGCCAGGCGGCCCCGCGGGGTGGTCGTGGCCATGACAGCGGCTCCAGACGGCTCCCCTTCCACGCCCTTCCCGCCGGAGATGAGGGGAAGATGTCTGTGTCAAGATTCAAGGCCAAACTGAAGTTGCTGGCGTCTATCTTCCACGAGAACCAGGAGGCTCAGCTGCGGCTCACGCTCCACTGCAACATGAGGTGAGGCGCCCGGCGGCGGCCTCGCGGGGCAGGAGGAGGGCGGAGAGGGGGTGCCCGGAGTCCCGGGACAAAGGGGAACCTGCCCCGGCGAGGCTCCCCCCCCCTTTCTCCCGCAACTGGCCCGGCCCGCCCCGGGACTGCGCGAGGCTTGGGTGGGAGGAGGCGGCGGGCGCGTCTGTCTCTCCGGCTCCTCGCATGGGGCTGTCTTGGGGGCCACTGGCCCCTCTCAGCCCCCGTCGCCGCCCCCCGAGGTGGGAGCCCGTGGTGGCGGGAGCCCTCTCGGGACCCATGGTCGCCCTCAGTCAGCCGGCCTGCTCCGGGGACCGCGACAGGGCGGGGAATGGCGGCTTTTGAGCCCAGGCGGGGAAAGGCAAAGGCCTTTAAGATTTTCGGTGTTCGAAACCAGCCTGGCTAACATGGTGAAACCCTATCTCTACTAAAAAATACAAAAATTAGCCCGGCGTGGTGGCAGGCTACTTAATCCCAGCTACTTGGGAGGCAGAGGCAGGAGAATCGTTTGAACCCGGGAGGCGGAGGTTGCAGTGAGCCGAGATCGAGCCATTGCACTCAAACCTGGGGGATAAGAGCGAGACTTCTCTCAAAAAACAAAAACAAAAACAAAACAAAACAAAAAAAAACAACTTTTTTTTTTTTTTTTTTTAGACAAAGCCTCACTCTGTCGCCCAGGCTGGAATGCAGTGGCGCAATCTCGGCTCACTGCAGCCTACGTCTCTTGACAGTCCACGGGTTAAAGCTATTCTCCTGCCTCAGCCTCCGGAGTAGCTGGGATTACAGGCGCCCGCCACCACGCCTGGCTAACTTCTGTGTCTTTAGTAAAGACGGGGTTTCACCATGTTGGCCAGGCTGGTCTCAAACTCCTGACCTCAAATGACCCACCTCTGCCTCCCGAAGTGCTGGGAAGTGCTGGGATTCCTTCAATCCAATCAAGTTGACTCTGAGTATTAACCATCACAAGTGTCTTCAGAATTGTCATTCTTTTCTGCTGTGGCCTCCCTCTCCTGGTTTGCAGACCCATGCTCCGCCTGTGACACTAGGATGGGGAGGTGCTGGCAGGAGAGCTTTCTAGCTCCTGAGTTAAAAGGCAGAGATGGAGTCTGTTTTAAGATTTTGCTGCTGTGTTGAGTTATATTAAAAAACATTTTGTCTTTTCCCTCTGGTTTTCACACTCATAGTAAGAGGCCATCAAGATAGGCTTCTTATATGGGAGGGTGATTCTTACCAACTGTAGTTGGGACAAGTACGGTAAAGAATGTTAGATTCTTCTGGAAAAAAGTGGTCCCTCCATTATTTGGATTGGGTTTGTGGCCTTCTCAAGCCCAGCAGTCTAATTCCATCTGCTTTGTGTCTTCCGGCATGTCCCTGTAGTTTTGGTTCACTAAGGGTATTCTCCTTGTATCTGTTATTTTTCTGCTGCTGTGTCAGACTTATTCTGTTTAGTAAAATACTGTCATTTTGGTGGGATTTTGGAAAGAGGACCAGGCCACATCTTGAAATGAAATTCATCTTAGGATTTTACAACCCTAACTCACTTTTTGTTTTGATTAAATTACCCTTTTTGAGGGGTGGGGGCTCAGCTTTATCATTTGCAAAATGAAGGATAGTAACTGGGCTGATGGTTACAGATGTGGATGCGTGTCAGAATCACCTCAGAGAGCTTTTTAAAAACACATTCTCCCCAGCACTTTGGGAGGCCGAGGTGGGCGGATCATGAGGTCAAGAGATCGAGACCATCCTGGTCAACATGGTGAAACCCCGTCTCTACTAAAACTACAAAAATTAGCTGGGCATCGTGGCACGCGCCTGTAGTCCCAGCTACTTGGGAGGCTGAGGCAGGAGAATCGCTTGCACCCAGGAGGCGGAGGTGGCAGTGAGCCGAGATGGTGCCACTGCACTCCAGCCTGGCAACAGAGCAAGACTCCGTCTCAAAAAAAAACAAAACCAAAAACAGATTCTCTGGGTATGCTTTGAAATGAGCATTTCAAAAATGCTCTTTCAATCACTGATGCAACCAAAGTCTTTGGGACTTTTAGGCTAAGAATATATTCTTTAGATACCCAGAATAGTTTAATTTGGAGTATAACAATTTAGGGAAATGAAGAAGGGGTGAATTACATTTTGGAAGCTGCTGCTTGCTTCCTTTTTCCATTTAGTTTTTAGAAGACAAAGAATGTCTAAAGAGATACAGATTTAAAGCAAATATAAGTTAATTCTTCATGGGTATGTTTATCTACATGGCTTTCTCCAGCTGACTGATCCAGAAGAGTTCTAATACCCTCTGTGATCATGGGTTTGTTTTTCTTAAGAATTACTCCATCAGAGTATCTAAGAACAGATGCTTAGATACTGCTGAGACCTTTGTTGGTCTTACTTGATCTCTGAATCCTAGTTTTTTGATCTTCTACATATTCTGGGTTTTAACCTGTACTGGCCTTCATGGTTAAAGAAGCATTTATATACTGTGCCCAGGCCAGGAAGCTTATCTTTTGAACTTTGCCCAAACTGTGTATGAAGGCCCTTCTTAAAACCCCATTAAATTCATTTCTAAACTTGATCATTGTAAATTGTGTCAGTTGGTAAATTCTGTCTTGTAGGGAGGTACTTTGTAGTAAATAACATGTTTTTAAAACTAAAATTTGCCTTTTAGTAAGGTGGTAATCATTTCATAATTCTTAGTTTTGTCAAGTGTCTATAAATAACACATCTGATCTTTTAAAATGTAAGGCAATTGAATATATGTAATGATTCAGGCTTTTCAAAGTTAAAAAGGTAGTTATTTTAAGGAATGGATAGTTTGTGATATTTATTTTAAACAAAATAAGCCATTGATCTTATACACATAGCCATGTAAGTAAAATGTTTTCTTATTTTAAATTAGATTACATTTTAACATTTTTTTCGGTTTTGCTTTGTATTTGACTGATTGCTTTTCTTTATTCCTAATTCTTTTATTCTTTGTTCCGTTTTTAAAAGCTGATAACTGTTGTTTGTCAAATCAAAGTTGGATTTAAAAATAAACATTTAATTTTAATAAGCTCTCTGCTAGTGGCACTGCAGTGACAGATGGCTGAGAGTTTGTCCCTAAAGCTATGGCACCGGTCTTCTAATTGACTCACCCTGTATTCAGCCTGTGTAGCCCTGGCAGATTCTTTCTCTGTTTCAGAATGGGACAACAGAAGAAGTGACTTCAGAGGAAGAGGAAGAAGAGGAGATGGCTGAAGTAGGTATTTTATATAAGAATGACATTTCATAAATGTCGTCATTTTTGATTTGAGGAATTCTCTAAATCTCCTTTGTAAACTACTATTAATGTGGAATAATTGAAAGCACATTGTATTTGGAATGGAATATAATTTCTCACCTCTGGCTTTACCTCTAACTGATGATACATCTTTGAGAAAATTGCTTTATCTGAATTCTTTGGATTTGATTTTCTGGAAAACAAAAGCTCTTAACTTTTAGCACCAAAGTTGTACTTATATTTAATACTAATCAGTCCTTAACCTGTATTTGGTTATTTTTAGGAAAAGGAACTACTAAGTTTAAAAAATGTTATGTTTGCATAAAAGGAGAATTTGAGAACATGTTAGGGACTACTCACCAGAAGTAGTGACACTGTCTCTTGTTGAAAAATCATCAAGGAATTTTCTCTTAGTCTGTTTTATGCTGCTATAACAGAATACCAGAGACTGGGTAATTTATAAAGAACAGACATTTATTTTCTGACAGTTCTGGAGACTGGGAAGTCCAAGATGAAAATACCAACATTTGGTGTCTGAGGGCCTTCTTGTTGCCACCTCACATGGTAGAAGGCAGAAGGCAGAAGGGCAGGAGAGCAAGCTAGTCCAATGTGTGAAGCCTCATTCATCAGGGCCTTAATCCCATTAAGGAGGAAGGAGCCCTCTTGGCCTAATCACCTCCTAAAGGTCCTACCTCTTAATATCATCACATTGGCAACACCTGAATTTTGGAGGGAACACATTCAAATGGTAGCAAATTTAGTAGAGCACATTCCAAAGACATTGAGCCTAGGCCAGTTGTCAGTCATGGGTCTAATTTTAGACATTTTCAGGCTCTGAAGCTTTGCATTTAAATTCAAACTCCGGAACAAAGATCTGTGTCTCTGCATTGACCAAATAGAAGGTATGTGAATTTTATGGTCTTGATCGTTTTACAAGATTTTTTCTGTTTGGGGTCTTATAATTAATATAGGCTTTCATTTTCTTGGTTTGGAAATTATTAATCTAAAATATACTTTACAGTGCTTCAGAACTAAAGAAGTAGTGTTGTGGGCTTGTTTTTGTTTGTTTTTTTTAAGATAGGGTCTCCTGTCACCCAGGCTGGAGTGGAGTAGCATGGTCACGGCTCACTGCAACCTTGAACTCCCAGGTTCAAGCAATCCTCCTGAGTAGCTGGAACTACAGGCAGGTGCCCCACGTCCAGCTAATTTTTTAAATTTTCTGTAGAGTTTGAGTCTCGCTCTGTTGCCCAGGCTGGTCTTGAGCTCCTGGCCTCAAGTGATCCACCACCTCGGCCTCCCAAAGTGCTGGGATTACATGCGTGCACCACTGTGCCTGGCTGTAGGCTTGTTTTATAAGTCTGGGAGTAAAATACTTCTTAAAATTGTCCAATTAGAATGAGAGTTTAGGCTGGGCATGGTGGCTCATGCCTGTAATCCCAGCACTTTGGGAGGCCGAGGCAGGTGGATCATGAGGTCAGGAGATCGAGACCATCCTGGCTAACAAGGTGAAACCCTGTCTCTACTGAAAATACAAAAAATTAGTCAGGTGTGGTGGTGGGCGCCTGTAGTCCCAGCTACTTGGGAGGCTGAGGCAGGAGAATGGCCTGAACCCAGGAGGCAGAGCTTGCAGTGAGCTGAGATCACGCCACTGCACTACAGCCTGGATGACAGAGCAAGACTCTGTCTCAAAAAAAAAAAAAAAAAAAAAAAAGAATGAGAGTTTAATGTTTTTATGCAGTTTAGCTCAGGTAGAATAAAGTGCAAGAAAACATTGAACCTTTTCTGTGGGTCAGGAAGCCATTGTACTAAAGATCATGAACCCTTTCATCTTCCCCTCACAAAATAATAAACAAGGGACTGCAACTTTGAGGGAAATCTAGAAAGGTAGGAGACTGGACTTTGGAGATGTCAGATTAGGACTGGTGAAAAGCAGATATTCTAGGCTCCTAAAATAACGTGGGAACAAGCCCAGAACAACCTTGGACATGGTGTGTTTGTGCATGGGATGCTTTTCTTTTGAGACGGAAGGTTGATGTGTTGAAGTCATGGAAAGTGTTCAAAATATTGTGAGAATTACCGAAATGTGACACAGAAACATGAAGTGAGCACATGCTGTTGGAAAAAAATGGTGCTGATCTACTTGCTTAATGCAGAGGTGCCAAAAACCTTCAGTTGTAAAACAAAAAACAAAACAAAAAAAACAAAAAACAATAATAAAAAAAAGGAAAACTGCAATATCTACAGAGTACAATAAAGTGAAGCAGAATAAAATGCAGTATGCCCGTATGAAAGATTATGATGTCAGTGAACAAACAGTTGTATGCCTTCCTTTCCAATGTGTATGCCTTTTATTGATCCTTGTTGCTTAATCACTTTGGCTAGGACTTCTAGTACTATGTGGGAAAAAAGGGACGAGTATGAGCATCCTTGCCTTGTTCTTCATATGAGGGGGAAAGCTTTTTACCATTAAATATGTTGGTGTCGGGTTGTCATAAATGGCCATTGTTAAGTTGAAATATGTTCTTATTTGTTTGTTTATTTTAACTAGAGATAGGGTTTCACTATGTTGCCCAGGCTGGTCTTGAACTCCTGGGCTCAAGCGATCTTCCTGCCTCAGCCTCTCAAAGTGCTGGGATTACAGGCGTGAGCCTTTCTGAGCGTTTTTTCATCATGGAAAGGATGTCAAATTTTGTCAAATGCTTTTTGTGCATTTATTGAGATGATGATATGTTGTTTATCTTTTATGCTGTTAATGTGACATATCACAATTACTGATTTTTGTATGTTGAATCATTCTTGCATCCCAGGGATAAATCTCCTTAATCATGGTGGTATGATATGGATTTGGTTTATTTGGCCCCACTAAATTTTATGTTGAAATTTGATTCCCAATTTGGTAGTATTGGGAAGTAGGGCCTCATGGCAGGTGTTTGGGGTCTCATGAATGGCTTGGTGCCATCTTGCAATAGTGAGTTCTCATCTTGCAAGACTGGATTGGTTTTTGGGGTAATAAATTAGTTCCCCTTGGAGTAGGTTGTTACAAATCCAGGATACCCCTTGGGTTTGTTCTCATTTCACATATGCCCGCCTCACCTTTTACCTTCTTCACCATGTTTTGACACAGCACAAAAGCCCTCAGGAGAAGCAGATGCTGGCATCATGCTTCTTGTACAGCCTGCAGAACTGTGGCCATTTTAATGCGGTATTGAATTTGGTTTTCTAGTCTTTTATGGAAGATATTTGGATCTGTTTTCATCAGGGTTACTGGTCTGTGATTTTCTCTTTTTTGTAGTGTTCTGGTTTGGCTTTGATATCAGGGTAATGCTGGCATAGTAAAATGAGTTTGGAAGTGGTCCATCATCTTCAGTTTTTTTGAAGCAATTGGGATATAGTGACATTAATTCTTCTTTAAATGCTTGATAGAATTCAGTAGTGAAGCCATATGATTCTTGTGCCTCAGCCTCCTGAGTAGCTGGGATTACAGGTGTGCACCACCGCACCTGGCTAATTTTTGTATTTTTAGTAGAGTCGGGGTTTCACCATGTTGGCCAGGCTGGTCTTGAACTCCTGACCTCAAGTGATCCACTCTCTTCGGCCTCCCAAAGTGCTGGGATTACAGGCATGAACCACTGTTCCTGGCCCATAGACTTCTTTTTGATGGAGATTTTAAACAACCAAATTGATATCCTTAATCATTACTGGTATGTTTAGTTTCTCCATTTCTTCATGCTTTGGACTTGGTAAGATATGGTTTCTAGGAATTTACCTACTTTTTTAGGTTATCTTTTTTATGGCATATAATTGTTCATCATAGACCCTTATGGTCCTTCTTATTTCTGTGGTATTAGTTTTCAAGTCTCCACTTTGATTTATGATTTTGTTTATTTGAGTCCTGTCACATTTTATCTTAGTCCAGCAAAAGGTGAATTTTGTATGTCTTTTAAGAAACAACTCAGTTTACTTTTCTGTTGTTTTTCTAGTCCCTACTTCATGTTTTTCAGCTCTGATCTTTAAGATTTCCTTCTTCTTTCTAACATTGGAGTTTGTTCTTCTTTTTCTAGTGTTTGAGGTATAAGGTTATCTTACTTATTTAATATCTTTCTTTTTTCTTCACGTAAGATTTTATCACTAAAAGTTTCTCTCTTAGAATTGCTTTTGCTGTAGCCCATAATTTATTATTTATTTATTTATTTATTTATTTATTTTTGGGATGGTGTCTCACTCTGTTGCTCAGGCTGGAGTGCAGTGGCATGATCTCTGCTCACTGCAACCTTCGCCTCCTGGGTTCAAGTGATTCTCCTGTCTCAGCCTCCCAAGTAAATGGGATTACAGGCACATGCCACCATGCCCAGCTAATTTTTGTATTTTTAGTAGAGACAAGATTTCACCATGTTGGCCAGGCTGGTCTCGAACTCTTGACCTCAGGTGATTTGCCCACCTTGGCCTCCCACAGTACTGGGATTAAAGGCATGAGTCACTACACCCGGCCTAGCCCATAAGTTTTTGTATGCTGTGTTTCCATTTTGATTTGTATCAAGATCTTTTTAAATTTCCCTCTTGGAAAATTTACCACTTACCCTTTGGTTGCTCAGAAGAATGTTGTTTAATTTGCATATATTTGTGAGTTTTCCAGTTTTTCTTTTTATTGATTTCTAGTTTCATACCATTGTAATCAGAAGATATTCTTGATGCAGTTTCAATCGTCTTAAATTTGTTAAAACGTGTTTTGTGGCCTAATACTTAAAGTAATTTGGAAATAATTTTATATGTACAAGAAAAAAAGTCTTCTGTTGCCTTTTGACAGAATGCATTGTATATGTCTGTTAGGCCCTCTTTTTGTCTAAAATGCAGTTCAATTACAATATTTTCTCATTGACTTTCTATCTGAACAATTTGTCCATTGTTGAAAGTGAGGTATTAAAGTTTTCTACTATTATTGTATCCAGTCTGTCTCTTCCTTCAGATTTATTAATATTTGCTTTATATAATTTAAGTGCTGTAATGTTAGGTGCATATATATTTGAAATTGTTATATCCCCTGATGAATTGACCTGTTTATCATTATATGATGATCTTCTTTGTATCTTACGAGAGTTTTTGACTTAAAGTTTATTTTGTATAAATTTAGCTATTCCTACTCTCTTTTGGTTTCCATTTGCATAGAATATAACCTTCCTTATTTACATTGACTCTAAGTGTGTTCTTAAAGCTTAAGTGAATCCGTTGTAGGTACCATATTGTGTGTGTGTGTGTGTGTGTGTGTGTGTTCAATCCATTGAGCAGTCTATCTTTAGAGTATTTAAGCAATTTATATTTAAAGTAATTATTGATAGGTAAGCAATTACTATTGCCATTTTGTTAATTGGTTTCTAGTTGCCTTGTAGATTCTTTGTTTGTTTCATCCTCTCTTGCTATCTTCCTTTGTGAACTGATGATTTTTTTGTAATGAGTGGTATGCTTTGATTCCTTTCTCTTTTTCTTCTATATATCAACTAGAGGTTTTTGGTTTATGGTTACCGTGAGGCTTACAGGAAATACCTTTTAGTTATAAAAGTCTATTTTAAGCTTATAACAAATTTTCTTTGATCACATACAAAATCTCTATACTTTTACACCCCTTATTTTTTGTTTATGATGTCAAAATTTATATCTTTTTAATATTATGTATCCACAGACTATTGTATTTACAGTTTTGTTAATACTTTTGTTTTTAAACTTTAAGTGATTTACACACCATTACAGTATTAGAATATTCTGAATTTATTAGAGTATTAGAATATTATTAGAGTATTCTGATAAACTTCCATTTGTCAGTTTTATACTTTCATATGTTTTCATGTCATTAATTAGCCTTGTTTCATTTTATCTTGAAGAACTCTCTAGCATTTCTTATAAAGCAGGTCTAAAGTGGTGAACTCCTCAGCTTTTGTTTGTTTAGAAGGCTTTAGATCTCCATTTTTGAAGAACAACTTTTTTAGGTAAAATATTCTTGGTTAGCAGTATCTTTCTTTCTTTTACCAGTTTGAATATATCTATATAATTCTACTATCTTCTGGCTGTAAGGCTTCTGCTGAGAAATCTGCTAATAGTCTTATCAGAGTTTGCTTGTATGTGCCAAGCCTCTTTTCTTGTTGCTTTCAAATTTCTGTGTCTTCAATTTTTGACAATTCGTTATGCAGGTGAAGGATCCCTTATCTGTAGTGCATAGAATCGAAGTGTTTCAGATTTCAGATTGTTTTAGATTTTGAAATATTTGCATTATACTTACCAGTTGAGCATCCCTAATTTGAAAATCTGAAATCTGAAATGTTCCAATGAGCATTTCCTTTAAGCGTCATTTTAGTTCTCAAAAAGTTTCAGATTTTGAAGCATTTCAGATTTCAGGTTTTTAGATTAGAGATGCTCAACCTGTAATGTGACTTGTGAGGCCTTCTTTGGATTGAACCTTATTACAGATTGCAAGCTTTGTATACCTGAATGTCCAGGTTTCTCCCCAGACTTTGGAAGTTTTCAGCCATAATTTTTTTAAATAAGCTTTCTCCCCTTTCTGTCTTTGTTCTTCTTCTAGAACATCCATAATGCAAATGTTAGCTGTCTTGATGGTGTTCCACTAATCTCATCGGTTTTCTTCATTCCTTTTCATTCTTTTTTAAAAAAATTTTCCTTTTCTAACTGGATATTTTCAAATGACTTTTCTTCAAGTTCACAGATTCTTTTTTCTGCTTGATCAAGTCTGTTGGTGTTTTTATTGCATTTTTTGAATTCCATTCACTGTGTTCTTCAGCTCTAGGATTTCTGTTCAGTTTCCTTTTCATGATTTCTATCTATTCATTGGAATTCTTTTGTTGATTCCTATTTTCTGTTTTATTTAGTTGTCTACCTATGTTTTCTTGTAGCTCACTGAGCTTCATTAAAATAGTTATTTTGAATTCTTTGTCAGGCAATTTGTAGATCTCAATTTCTTTGGGAAAAATCAAGTTTTCTTGATTTTTCATGTTTCTTGAAGTCTTCTGCTGCTGTCTTTCCATTTGAAGAAGGAGTAACTTCCTTCAGTTTTTACTTACTATAAATACCTTCACCAACCAGATTGGTTAGTGATTATGAGGCTCTCTCAGACTTTTTCTGTGGATTCACCCACTCCACACTTCTTATCCATTTTGGGGGAGGGAAATGCTTAAGATTATACACTTTCTTTCAATCTTGCAAAGCTAGGCCAGGGCTGAGAGCTTCCTGTTTTGATTTTCTAGAGTGGTGCACTGAAATGCTCAAGTTTGTGTGTCTTCCTCCAACCCTGCATAGTTGATACAGATACCTGCATGAAATGCTTGCATTTGCTGTTCACGCAGGTGCATTTAGGGAACCAATCTTGGGAGCGAGTTGTGCCGAACATTTTGAGTGCCCATGCACCAGTTCAGGGGGTCCAAACACAATGTGTTCCAAGTGCCTTATAGATGCACTTCCTGATGGAATCACAGAGCAGTAAATTAGATCCCCACCTCTCTTCCCTGTCACTGTTCTCTTCCAACCACTAAACCATACCAATCACCATTGTAGTTTGGATAAGATGAGAAAGTGGGTGTCTTGTTCAGTATCCTACAAAGCTGGGGGAGCTGGGCACTCATGAACCATGCTTGCACTCTCCCCACCCACCAGGAGAAATCATGGACTGCAATGATCTCTCTTGGCATTGAGCTATGATGCCTTGGAGGAAAGGTAATGCAGGTAAAGTGAAACTGTTTTTCTTATCTTTTTCAGTGCATCTATTCTCAGATTTTTGTTCTGATGGCGTGCTAAAACTTTATCTGCTGGATTCTTGGACCCCACAAAAGTGCTCTTATAGATAATTGTCAAGTTTGATGCTTCTGCTAGGGGATAATGGTAGAACGCTCTTATTCCACCACCGCGTGAACATCACTCTGCTTTCTCTCTTAATTCTGCCTTATTCTGCACATTAGCCTCATTTTCCTCCTTGGAGCTTGTGAAGGAATTGAAGATGCCAGAGGCATCAGTCTTATTTTATGTAAGGATGCTCCTAAACCACTAATGATAGGACCTAAAATCTATTGTTGAAGATTCTGAGATATACTCTCCGTCTTTTAGCTGATGACCTCATTCAGGGCCATCACAGCTTACAGGCCAAACTGTCTACTAAAAACATTAGGAAGTGTTAATCACATAGACCTCTTCTAGAGCTGTGCAGTGTGTGACCGGCACAGCCATATGCATTAGCCATGATACCCCCTACTTCATCAAGATACAGCAGTAATGATATTTAGTGTCTCTTATCTTTTCTACAATACCCTTGAATACCTGCCATCCTACATATATTTTATGAAATGGGAGACTGAAAGAATGTATTTTCAAAGTAATACACTTTATGTAATATGTGGTTTTTACATAAACTTATTTATGGAAAATTAATGAATTCAGTAGTAGGTTTTGACATTTTATTATTTTATCTGGTAGGAAAAAGTCCTTCTTTCTTAAATAAGGACTTAATTAGTCCTTATTTCTTAAGGCCTGGATTTGCAAGATTGCTTTCAAAATTGCTTCATGCATATTTTTATATTTTCAATTCCATATGAATTTTAAAATCAGCTTTCAATTTTATTGTGCTTGTATGAAAGTTTTGGGTTAACTTCAAGACAGCTGACTTTTAACAGTTAAAACTTTCCAACTAAAAATGTGGCTTTTCTCTCAAATGACAAGCTTTGTATAATTTCTTATAGCTTCCCTTCTTGTTTTCTCTTCAAAAGATTTTTAGAATATTTTTGTTATGATATTATCTTTAGATGAAGGTCAATTTGTATCTTCTTCTTTTATATTTTTAGCTTGGTGGGCCTTTTCTTGAAGACACTTGTCTTTCTTTAACATTGAAATACATTTATCCATTGTTTTAGGCAATTTGTACCTCTCCATTTTCTTTGTTCTCTCTTTTGGGAACTCGTTTTAGTCAAACTTTGGGCTTCCTGCTTTGATCTTCATTAATCCTTTAGTCTTTGTTCTAGTGTTTTTAGTGTCTGAAGTACTTTTTAAGGTTATCCATCTGGGTATGCTAGAGAATGCTGGTCTGGGTATATGTTTTACATGGGCATATGACAGAATCAGCATTACCTCAAATGGTCAAGCTGCCTTTCCTGTGATGAGGACACAGAGTTTTTACCTGGAAAAAGTATGGAGACAGAGGAGCAAGAGGAGCCTGTGCTGAGCACTTTCTGTTTGCCCCTCCAGACTTACAGTTGACCTTTCTCAATTCACATCTGCCCTTTGGGAGGCTGACCATATCTGTGGGCTCCTTCATCTTTGGGCTTTCTGTGGTGCCCTGGAAGAAGGTAAGAGTGTGGGGCCGTAACATTGGTTCCTCCCACTCTCTCTCCACGTGGACAGCCCAACTGCCTCCTCTCAGGCCTCCCTCTCTGCCAGACCTCTGGCGCTGGCTTTCTGCAGTTGCTCCTTCCCTTGCCCTTTTGGACCCAGAGGTTGTAATTATAACCCCAGCGTCACCTCTCAGGATACTGTATTATCCATCCCTGTGATTTTCCCACCCTGGCCCATACTTGCGTAAAAGTCCTTTTATTATTCTCAAATAATTTAAATTGCATGTTCCATGTATTTCCTACAGGTACTCTGAAAAATATAAATGCCCGTAATCCCAGCACTTTGGGAGGCCAAGGCGGGCGGATCACAAGGTCAAGAGATTGAGACCATCCTGGCCTACATGGTGAAACCCTGTCTCTACTAAAAATACAAAAATTAGCTGGGCACTGGGCTGGGTGTGGTGGCTCGCGCCTGTAGTCCCAGCACTTTGGGAAGCCGAGGCGGGTGGATCATGAGGTCAGGAGTTCCAAGACCAGCCTGGCCAAGATGGTGAAACCCCATTTCTACTAAAAATACAAAAAATTAGCCGGGTGTGGTGGTAGGCACCTGTAATCCCAGCAACTCAGGAGGCTGAGGCAGAGAATTGCTTGAACCTGGGAGGCAGAGGTTGCAGTGAGCTGAGATGGCGCCACTACACTCCAGCCTGGGTGACAGAGTGAGACTCCATCTCAGAAAAAAAAAAAAAAAAAAAAGGGTGGCATCTGCTTGTAGTCCCAACTACTCGGGAGGCTGAGGCAGGAGAATCACTTGAACCCAGGAGGCAGAGGTTGCATTGAGCTGAGATCGCCCACCACACTCCAGCCTGGCAACAGAGCGAGACTGTGTCTCAAAAATTAATTAATTAATTAATTAATTAATTAATTAACATAAACAACATGTAATAGAGAGGTTCAATAAGGCCAAAAGTGGTTCCTTTCAAAATTTGAATGTAACATACCAACACTGACCTAAGACATATTAGACATTAATAATCCAATGGCTAATAAGAAAATACATTTTTTTTTTTTAGATGGAGTCTCGCTTTGTGGCCCAGGCTGGAGTGTGCAGTGGCGCAATCTCGGCTCACTGCAACCTCCACCTTCCAGGTTCAGCCAGTCCTCCCCTCTCAGCCTCCCAAGTAGCTAGGATTACAGGCATGCACCACCATCCCTGACAAATTTGTTTTTGTATTTTTAGTAGAGACGGGGTTTCATCATGTTGGCCAGGCTGGTCTTGAACCCCTGACCTCAGGTGATCCACCCTCCTTGGCCTCCGAAAGTGCTCGGATTACAGGTGTGAGCCACCATGCCAGGCCTAGAAAATACATTTTTAAATTAAAAATATTACTTCTGCAATATCTCCAGACCTAGAGGCTTCACCAGTAAATTTTGCTAAATATATAAGAAAGAATAATACCAATCTTATTACTCATGAAATTGATAAATACCAGTGAGCTTGACTGAGGAAAAAGGGGCAAGGACACAACCAATGACAGAAATAATACATGGAATTCAGTATAGTCTTCTAAAACATTACATAATGGTAAGACGATGTTATATACAATTTTGTATCTTGCATTTGAAAATGTATATGAAAAAGACATGTTCCTAGAAAAATAAAGCTCATTAGAACTCACACTTTATCTTCCTCTTCTCTCTCTGTTTCTTTGTTTTGTTTTCTTTTGTTTTGTCTTCTTTCACTCAGACATATAGGAGGTCCAGGCAGCATGAACAGCTCCCTGGTCAGAGACACATGGATTTGCTCACTGGTTACTCAAAGCTGATTCAAAGCCGATTAAAGCTGCTGCTTCATCTGGGGTCCTAACCTCCAGTGGGAAAAACATTCTTCTTTTCCTGCTGGTGTCACCCACTGTTCCACGGATCCAAAACAACACCCAATGTTTGGTACAAATTTAGTGAAACAGCTCTTTCCATTCTTAACTCATGCCAAGCATCTCAGCTTGGGGTCAGGAAAATGCCAGGGGACATGAGCTCTTCTCCTAGAGTTAGAGAATTCTCTGCCTTAGTTGCAATAAAGGAAAAGATACACATTCTTCCTACAAATGCCAAAGTAGGCTCAAAACTTGGTTCCTAGAGTAGAGTATTGAAGTCGTGGCAAAGATCTTTCCAGTGATCAAAGCAGTGGCTCGTTATGTTCCCTCAGACTGAAGCTACAGTCTCATCTTCACTTTCTGTTAGCTCCCTCCATCCTCTGCGTAGGCCCACACCTGCTTCTTACAGTTGTGTGGATTATAGCACCTCCTCTCCAGCCTCAGGACCTTTGTGAGTGCTGCTCCTTCTTCCTTGACTGCTCTTCACCAGGGATCCTCAGGGCACAGCCCTTACCTCCTGCAAGTCTTGACTTAAATGTCACTTTCTCAGGGAGGCCCACACTCATCACCATTTCACACCCACCTCCCACATGACCTTATTTTACCTGTTCTCTCTTCTCCTCTTTTTTTTAGAGTACTTATGATCTCATGTGGTACATTTTGGGGTTTTTGGTTCTTCTGTATCCGCCACTGCCATGATCAGTTAGAATGTTGGAAATCAAGGAAACTTGGTTTTTTGGCCTGTGATGAAAACTATGGGGTCTAATAGTATCTGATAAAGTGGCAGACCCTCAATTATTATTTGCTGAGTAAATGAATGAAGGTGTGTAGACAACTAGCTCTAGAAGCTTAAATGAGTGATACCATGTTTTATAATATTGGAAGAGGCCGGGAATGGTGGCTCACGCCTGTAATCTCAGCATTTTGGGAGGCCAAGGTGGATGGATCTCTTGAGGTCAGGAGTTTGAGACCAGCCTGGCCAACATGGTGAAACCTTGTCTCTACTAAAAATGCAAAAATTAGCTGGACGTGGTGGCACACGCCTGTAATCCCAGCTACTCTGGAGGCTGAGGCACAGCATCACTTGAACCCAGGAGGCAGAGGTTGCAGTGAGCTGAGATGGTGCCACTGCACTCCAGCCTGGGCAACAGAGTGAGACTCTGTCTCCAAAAACAGAAAAAAGAAAGGGGGGGAAGAAAAGAAGAAGAAGGAAGAGGAAAGGGAGGAGGAGGATTTATCATTCACTTACACTAGAAACAGTGAAAATAGATAATAGCTATAATTTACTCACATCTTATCTAAAACACAAATTCAGGGTAATTTATGAGCAAGTCATTTTCCAGTGGGCTTTCGATAGTGTGTGAATTTGGAATGAATGCTGGTACTTCCAGCTCCCTTCCACCTGCAGCACCAGGAAGCCATTGTTGTGGGGAGGCCACCAACTTGGCTGGCATGTTGCTTCTGCCTCAGTTAGTGATGATGGTGATTTGGAGAGAAAGGACACTCTGCTAGGCTCCAAATCCAAAGGATCAAGTGGATAAATGAAATGAATATCTAAATAAATATCAATTAGGTCAAAAGTTTGTTTTCATCTAAATGAAATCTGAACACTACTTAGGGCTATGAAACATAGCCAGAGGACATGGCCAGCTCTGGAGTGGGGCCTGGACTTGCTCTCCCCTGCTGGAAGTGCTTTTCCTCCCAGAGCTCAGAGCACCATGTGCGTGTGACCCCTGCCTTTTCACAGGCCATTGCCACAGGGCATCTCCCTGGTCCACCCGCCCCAAGATGAGCCAGCCTCCCACTCAGGAATTGGGTGGGGAAGGGAAAGAAAGACAGAGGAGAGAGAGACAGTCACACACAGGCAGTGGAGCTCCCCTGCACCCACCAGGGAGCTTGAGCAGCTCATCTGCAGAGCAGGGAAACATTTTTACTACCATTGGGAAGACGCTGAGCAGAGAGGTGAGGGGACAGCATTTCTTGATTTCTTGTCTCCCTGTGGCTTGTTCCACTCACAGTTCAGTTTCTCCTGTTCTTGGGGAAAAGGAGGGAAACTGTATTAGTCAGGGTTCTACAGAGAAACAGACCCAATAAGATGTGTGCATGTGTGTGTGTGTTTATATATGTTCACAGAATGTATATATGTGTATATATATGTATATGGATAACTGCATATATATATTATTTATAGAGAGAGAGAAGAGCAGGAGACAGAGATAAAGAGAGATTCATATAAAGAATTATATTCATAATTTATATAATAATTTGTTCCTTTAATCATAAAGTCTGGCAAGTCCAAAATCTGCAGGGCAGGCCAGAAGCCTGGGCACCCCGGAAAGAGTTGCATCTAGACTCTGAAGACGGTCTGGAGGCAGAATTCCCTCTTTCCCAGGGAATTCCAGTCTGTTTTCTCTGAAGGCCTTTACTGACTAGATGAGGCCCCCACACACATGGAAAGCAATCTGCCCTACTGAAAGTCTACTGACTTAGAGGTTTAGCTCATCTAAAAAATACCTTCATAGCAATTTCGAGACTGGTATTTGACCAAATAGCTGAGTAGGTTGGCCTAGCCAATCTGACACATAAAATTAACTATCACAGAAACAAAATAATCAATATAGGTAATAACTGTGCCAGAATGCTGTGATGTTTCAGGATGACCTTGTTTACATTTACATTTATTGTCAAAACTTACCTTCTCTTTTTATATGGGCAATTAAATCTGCTACTGAGGGTATCAAGTACTGATTTAATTTACGATCTTAATAGATAAGATAGGTTCCTATTTTCTCCTCTCCATAAAAGTAATAAGTTTGGAGAAACCAGGTCGGAAATACCTCTCCAGATTTTAAAGCATAACCTCTTGTTTGGAATAATAAGTATGTAAATAAGCACCATAAAATATGAAACCAAACATTTCATCATTCTTTTATATACATTATCCCTTGCATTTTTAAAAAATAAGGAACACCTTATTAGCCATATTTTCAAATGGTGAAACCAACACCCCCAGCTCAGACTCTGCCGTGGTAGGCTCCAGGGTCACTGATACCAGATCCCATGGTATTTTCACTATATCCCACTCTTTCTTTGCATGTGGCTCTTTTTTAGCTGCATTGCGGGTAAACAGGTGTGGCTCTTTTCAAACCAATTCCATGCATATGTGAAGAAAATTGATCCTGAAGTTCCTTTTGCCAAAGATGCTTATGGAGAAGTGTCTGTGTCTGGACAGACAAAAGTGTCCATTTTTGCCTCGAAGCTTGGCAAAATTGAAATTGATGATGGGGAAGCTAGAAATACTTCAGTCTACATTTCGAATCCCAGCTGCGGGGAGGCTGGTTGAGGATTGCCCATCCCTCAGTCTGGGCTGGATTCTCCCTCCAGTCTCTGGGGTTCTCTTTTCTATTCACAAGAGGGTGCTAATGAGATGGTTTAATCTCTATACCCTGTGGTCCACAAATACAAGATGCCAGCGTGGCCAATGGGGCTTCCATAAGAGTGGCAATCAGGGGTCTCAAGCTTACCATGACGTTTTGGGCCCTGGAATCAGATCATAGTTCTACAGTTGTCCTGGCACTAGAACTCATGACAAGGTTGTGACTAGACAGAAGGAGAGAAGGCTGGAGGCTGACAGGAAGCAATGTGAACAAATGCCTTCGCAGGATGCATGGGTTTGGGCAACAGATGGTCAGGGGAGGTGCTGGTGCAGACGGGCTCAGTAGCAAAGCAATAACTGTGGATGGCCATTTTATGGCTGCAGATCACAGCACATTTATAAAAGATGTGTGTTTCATGAAAATGTGCATTTCATCGTGGAAATACTGTGGTTGGAGGAGATTTCTCAAAGCTGATAAATAAGTGTAGGTGACTTAACTTGCAAAAGATGATCATATGTGAGAAAGGATGTCTCAAATTAGGAAATAACTTGTTAAGTAAAAAAGCCTCATGTGTTGATTTGAAGAAAAAGATATTTTGGTGCTCATCAAAATAAAAGTATAATAAGCTGAAGGGCTGCTTTTTTCTGTAAACATAATTTTGTATCACCAGTTTTATTTTCAACGAGGACTTGAAATTCAGAAAAAAAATTAAAGCAGAGAAATGGGAAAAGGGCAAAAAAAAAAGGACAGGAAAATAAAGCCAGAAAAAGGCAAATGAGTACAGAAAAAAATAAAGTATCCACTCAGGTTCTGGACACTTTGTTAGAACTGAGAACACACAGATCCAGAACTTCCTAGCAGTTAGTGTAAGTAGGAAATATCACTGTTCATATAATTCAAAGGGTTTTTAAGACCCAAAGAAGCATAGATATCTAACTCTGAGATCTCACAGTTCTCTGATGGTTCTAATAAGGAGGACATGGTATGAACAAATTATGCCTTACTGTTCGCTGAGGTTATATCAATGCCCGAACATTTCATCCAGCAAAGCAGTCACAACTAAAAACAGGTACATGATGGTTGCAGACAGCTTCTCAGTAGCCCAGAGAGTGAGAGCTCACCAGGGCAGAAGGTCCCTGAACCAGAGGCTGGCAGTGCACATGTGCTTTGGTCAGAGGAGAAGGACAACCATGCCCCACGGGGCTGAGGACCCAGTGGCTGGAACAAAGACATGATCCCAATTTTTTTGATACCTACTTTCTCACTTTGCCTGTGGGCCTCCACGGAGCTCCTGTGCAGCTGGCTGGACCATGGCCTATATACAATGGCTGAGTCTACACACAATCAGAGCCTGAAACTCTGTGGACTGTGTCTGCTTTATTCTCAGTAGGATTAATGACCCTCATTGAATTCCCATCGCCTCAAAGCTTGGCAAAATTGAAATTGATTATGGGGAAGCTAGAAATACTTCAGTCTACATTTCAAATCCCAACATAACCTGAGTAAGGGAATTGCATGCTTTTCTCATCGAAAGCTCAAATAACTTAGTAATGGTTCAAAATTGTCTCCTACTGGCTTCTCAATTTAGCACACTAAATGGTCTTAGAGATCATTGCTCATCTTTGGACTAAGGCAGGCACAGTAATACATGTTCATTCTTTTGGCCTGAGCTATTACAGTAGCCTCCTAATAACTTATCTTCATCATCCTCTTTTCACTCATTCTATACTGGGCACCATGTCTGATCATTTTTTTTTCTGATATTTGGATCAGTTCTATTAAACTGATAACCCTGTGATGTCTTTTTTTCCCTTCAATAGATCTTTAAATTCCAATCCTCACCCTAATCTACTCTTTCCCAATATAGCACCGTTATTCACACTGCTCCCAAAATCTATTCCATCCTCTGACTTCTCACAATTTTTTTTTGTCCTAAGACTCCATGATAATAGAGAAAAGAATTTTGGTCTTCACAGAATGTATTGACTTAATGATATTCCAAATTTCTCTTGGGTGTCAAATATATTCCTCACCAAATATGACTGAAAGAAAACTCTATTCACCATGAATTTAAGGATCTCAAAATTATAATATCTTCTCCACTCTCATAATTCCACAGCCCCTGCTGTTACTATAATGACCTATATTGCAAAAGAGTGAATTCAATTAGAGTCCAAGAGGAAAACTGCTGGTATTTTTTTCATCTTTTGCCATCCCATACTTTATAAAGTGCAGTTAGACCCCCTGTTTGCCTCCCAGCATACCAAAGTTATGTAGATTATTTTAAATAAAATCTACTGAAAGCATGCATTTTTAAGTACCCCTTTTGTGTCCCCTAAATTACAGAGGATAAAACCAGCCATAGAGGCAAATTCCTTTAGACCTTCTCCTAGAAACAAACACTATCCATTACATAAAACCTTCAATTGCAAGGACAGTTCTGTAAACCATGATATTTGATCCTGGAAGCTTCCTAGATTGAACACAAAGAAGAGGGTACAGTATTTACATACCTCCAGCTTTAAGCTGTGTGCCTGGTGTTTTTCACTCCAAGGTGGTTGAGCATCTCCCTCTACACTGCCATCTACCCCATTCCTCATCACAAATGTCAACTCTGTCTGAGCTGCCTTCCAAAGTAAGCAGAGAACTCAGGACTGGGAAACCAGATGGGGCTGGCTTGGGAAGTGTGGCCTACCTGTTCCCTCCATGACCAAGCACAACACTGTATGTGGGGAATGAAATGGGACCAGGTCCCAGAGTACTGGGGAAACAGAACCTCATATCCAATGAGGAGTTCGGGCAGGCAGGTCAAAGATGGACCTGAGACCAACTCACTGTGATGGGTGTCAACAGAAAAGAAGACATGGCCTCAGAAGAGATGCTCCCTGAGAAGCTGGGCCACTTTCTCATGTGACTGCAGAGTAATCCATCCCTGCGTGGAGCTGACAAGGCACCAAGCTGCTGGGCATGAGACCCTTCACATATCCTCTCTGATCTTCTCGATTAGCTCTGAAGTCTCTCTGGTTTGAAACCTCATGTCACTTTTTTGGTATGTCTCTGTGGCATTGGACATCTTCTGCCTCATATTAGATGCATTGTGTAGTGTTTACTTATCCCTAATTTGCAGCCACTTATCTGAGCATAGACACTAGACCACTCCATCTTTGCCTCTATAAATATCAGGTGTAGGACCTCGTACTTGACAGGTGCTCATAAGATATCTTTCTCTCCCTTTTTTTTTTTTTTTTACTTGAGTTCAAGTGATGAGGGTCTAGTAATAGGTATTGCTAAGCAGAGCAAATTCAAATAATTGTTTAGAAAAGTATTGATGACTGTATCTGATTAAAAGTATAAAAAATGGGGGAGGAGCTATGCTGAGCCCCCAATTTTAAGTTAGAGACAGGAGAATTCTGATGCCTGCCACAATTGATATCTTATAATGCTGCATTTGCAAGCTTAACATTCAATCGTTTTTCATTTAGAGTCCAAAGCAATCATTGACCATGGTGCCTGGGTGTTGGCTGTGAAGCCTGAATTCTAAAACACAATTGTAAACGTATTTTGCCTTATATTGAGATAAGCACATACAATACTTAAGACATGCAATATTTTAAAGAAATACAAAAAAATTGCTAACTGGCCACATCAGTTCTTAACTTTTTTATTAACCAGAACTGGTTTCCTCTTGCTGTTAGTTCCAGAAGAAAAGATTAAATCAGAATAGTTCTATATGTTTTACCTTGTGTATTAGGTATCAATTGTTGCACAACAAATCATCCCCAAACATACAGGCTTAAAACCACCATTAGTTCACAGTTTCTGTGGGCCAGGAAACTGGATATGGCTTGGATGCATCTTCAGCTCTGAATCTCTCACAAGGTCACCATCCAGCTGTCAGCTCAGACTGTAATCTTGTCTAAAGGTTTAATTGAGCAAGGAGCCACTCAAACTTAACTCTTGTAGAGTTGGCAGGATTCAGCCCCTTTCAGGTTATTGGACAGAGGGCTCAGCTCCTTGCTGGTTATTAGCTGAGGCCACCTCAGTTCTTGACTCTGTGGGTCTCTCCATTAGGAAGCTCACAGCATAGCAGCTGGTTTCCCTCAGACTGAGCAGAGAGCAAGAGAGAGTGCTCAAGGCAAAAGACACTGCCTTTTTGTAACTTAATCTCAGAAGTGACATCTGCTGTGTTCTGTATGTTAGAAGTGAGTCACTAAGTCCAGCTGAAACTCAGGGGAGGGCTTGCCTACCAGGAGGCAGGAATCACCAGGACCCATCAGAGACACCGTCTACCCCAGTCTGTGCTCGGGTCCTTCATGTCTCTCCCTCCTGAAATTTGATAGATTCTGCAAAAGAAAAAGCCTTGATCCACGCTGCTTTCTAGAATGTTGTAGTGAAAAGCAAGTCAGTGTGGTACATTCAGAGTAATTTTATAATTTTATAATTTAAAAATAATTGACATTACTCCCAGCATTACCAAAGTTGCCAAGATCAGCTTTTAAATGCTCACTTAGGTCATTTGTGTTTAATGCATTGAGTGTGTGCTCAATCTTCATCCCAAGACAGAGGGATTCAGATAACTGGCAAATGATATGAAGGAAAACCTTTCTGGAGTAGTCCATCTGGAGGCCACGTCAGGACTAGCCTCACAGGTAGAGTACAGGCATTCTGACTTTGGGAGCATTAAAAAGAGCATCAAACCAAATTATCTGATTCAGCCCTATATAATAGCCTACATAAGCCCCAAAGATCTCTATTTTAAATTAGAAATAAAGTTAATGTTTCACTTGAACATTCTGCAGGAAAGTGGTATGAGATCAAGGTATTATTAACTATTAACAACTGGCTGGGCACAGTGGCTCACGCCTGTAATCCCAGCATTCTGGGAGGCTGAAGCAGGTGAATCACCTGAGGTCAGGAGTTCAAAACCAGCCTGGCCAACATGGCGAAACCCTGGCTGTACTAAAAAATATAAAAATTAGCTGGTCATGGTAGTGTGCACCTGTAATCCCAGCTACTCGGGAGGCTGAGGCAGGATAATCATTTGAACCCAGGAGGCGGAGGTTGCGGTGAATCAAGGTTGTGCTGTTGCACTCCAGCCTGGGAGACGAGTGAAACTCCATCTAAAAAAAAAAAAAACCGAAAAACTATTAGCAACTTAGCATGAAGCACTCTGTCACCTGATAAGAACTGAGAAAGTGTAGCACAGGACAGATCAGGTTTGTCTTGATGGAAGAAAGGAAAGAGGAAATTACTGATGGTAATCTTGAGCCGAGCACAGAGAAAGGCAAGAAGGGATGGCTCTGGTTTCAAAGAATCCATGTCTGATTCCTCCCAAGCCCATTCTTTGTTATCTATTGTAATGTCAATACTCATATTAGGTAGGGAGTTCCCTTTAATGACCTCTAAGGATTCTTTCAGCTGGAAGAGTTGTATCCATTCATCTGCTAATCTTCTTCATCAAAGGACAGTTGGAAAGGATGCGGCATTACTCCTTACAAGAAGGTGGAAGTCTAATTTTTAAACTATGAGCTTTTACCTTAATGTGAGCCATTTCTTTTTAAGCTAGGCATTTACATGTACTCCAATATAATTCCTTAGTAGAATACATTTATTTTTGGTGCAAAACAAAATTATTTAGTCCAGAGACACCCTTCACTGGCAAAGAAAGACATTCATTGTGCAGTGCAGTAATTCAGAGAAATATTACTTCCAAGTCTTTTTAAAGTTAAAGAAGAATGTTTTAGGGCCCATTTGAAAAGTGCTATTCATATGAACTTGAAGGTCATTACTCACAGATAATATTCAGGAGAACTCCTGTCTAGGCTGAGAGCAGCCACTTCTGTGCTGTTTCAAGTTTTCAGAAACCATGGTACTGTTACTCCTCTATAAGGTAGAAAAACCATATCTAACATATTTGATTTATTCCAAAAACTCAGCAAAATCGATTTCTTTTTCACTCTTTGGAAGAAAGTACAGAATGAGGAAAATCACTTCTTAAAAAATTCATCAAAATAACTATGTTAAGCCCTTATGATTTCCAGGCCCTGAGCCCGGTTCTGGAGTCATAGAGTTTAGAAGAAAAAGATGGAAATATGCAATCCAGTGGGACTTCCTTTATCAAATGAACGCAAGGGCCTGATTTCTTTGGTAGATAATGCGTTCAACTAAACGGATCTCTTTGAGATGAGGATATTAGCTGCGCTGCACTGTCTGTACAATTGTGTCTGTACCTGGAGGAGTTTCCACAGCAGCAGAGCCTGAGATTCTATGCATTTTAGATTTAGAAACCTCATTATACCAGTTCCTACAAGAATAGGTCTCTGAAAGGACGAATCTCACAAATCAAGCTCATAAAAAATGCATAAACAATGCTTACATCATTTATAATGAGAAGATGTTCATTCCCAGCAATAGGGCAGAGCAGATAATTGAGTATCTCCCTAGTGCAGAACATTCAGAAGTACTGGATACTGTAGCAAACAGTTTCAAATGGGGAGCTGAAATTCCAACAAAGTCCCAAGACCACATTTTAAGACGAATCTGCAAACCAGAACTGTAAAGCACATGAGTGGACCTCACTGACATCTTTGTTTTATAGTAGGAGGTGGTGCTCTGGGCTGCATCAGGTAGAAATTAGACCTAGATCCACAGTAAGCCTGTCCTATATGCTGACACTGCCCCTCCCTCCCAGTAAGCCAGAGACTAGAAAAACATTCAACCTCCTGTGGGTTCAGAGAAACAACAGAGAGCCTGTTTGACTGATCGCAGGTTCTAGGTGGTAAAGTCTCCCCTAAGAATTTATAGGCAAAGGCTGATGCCTCCAGTGTATTCACGTGTGAATTCATGCTCTCCTTGTGGCTTGGGAGTGGACAAAGTAAGACACTGATAGGAATTGTTTCCTGGATGGTAATACCACTGTGACATTGTTGTGGGAAGCAAGCTCTGAGACAGAGACTGACATGCAGGAGAGGGATGAGGGAATGCTCTTGGAATCTCCACCTGGAAGTGAGGAGTAGAAAGCAGGACTGGGACTGGGCCGAGGAAGAGGGCAAGACTCAGCCAGCCTTGCAGGGAGTTCTAAAGATTACGTGGCTCTTAAGAATTATCTGGAGTAGGGCGAGAGGCGAGGCCCTTAGTGCTCCAAGTGAATCAGTCTCGGGATGCTCTGGGAGGGGGCCATGACCTTGGGTGGTGGGGCCATGTCGGAAGGGCTGGCACCTGACTGCACTGTCAGATGGGGCAGGCAGTAAGTCCTTACTCCTGAAAGGACTGTCTGTCCAGGGCTTCTGCTGGCAGCACTGTCAGTCTTGGGGCAATAAGCCCTTTACTCCTGAAGGGATATCAGGGTGGCCATCACTGTGTCACCACAGGGTTCTAGCAGAAGCAAACACAAGGCAGCTGTGAAGGGCAGGCCCTCCACCTAGGATTCCAGTTGACCCATCTAGCAGGATAAAGATAGAAAATGATGGCAGTTCTCGTAACTACAGCATAATTAATTTCAGATTTAAAAAACCAGGTGAAGCTAAAATACCAGATTTTAAATAATGGAACTTGAAAGGGAGCTGATTAGAATTCATGAATCCTAAGGTCTTTGAATTATCCTGGTTAACTGGTGGAATTAAAACTGTATAGTTAACTATATGTATTAAAATATGAAAGGGAATCTTCAAAAATAGGGAAATAAAATGTATAGCTCTCCAGCAAGATACTAAAAAGCAAAAACAGAAAAATGAGCATAATACATAGCATATAATAAAAAGAATGGAATACATCTAAATGTATTGGTAAAATAATAAATATAAACGATCAAAAGATGTTTCTTCTAAGGCACAAAATTAACATTATCTGCCACTTTATACGTAGAATCTGGAGGACCTTGAATAGCCTAACTATAATACCCCTACCCACCCTGCTCCAGTGGCAGGTCCACTAGACAACCTTCCTTATCATGGGTGGCAGAGCCCGGAAGCAAGTGTCACTCCACCCTCTTGTTACTACAAAGCCTGACTCCCTCAGCTCCTGCTTGTTCACTCTGTTTCCAAGCGCAGCCCTCATGTGGCCCCACATCATGTGGTTCCATCCTCCCCTGGGCTGTGTGTGCCTGTGACTAATAAGCTGGTGTGAACTCAACTGTCTAGTGTTGGGTGTCATGTGTCCAGTCATTTCCATAACCCCAGTGTGGGAATCTCTCCTCCACAAATGGGATGGAGACGAGATGAATACATGCCAATAAAAAGACATAGATATTCGTATTGAAATATTTTATAACAGAAAAATGTTGAGAGTAAACATGTGTATAGTATAGGGAAATAGACATATTAATATAAAAGGAAGGAAAATATATAGCAGACATTTTCTAATCAGAAGAAAGCCACCATGGTATTATTACCATCCAGAAAAATAAACCATACAGTAAAATGTATCATTAGGAATAAATACATTCAGTACATGAGGGTCAAGTATACAACTCCTCAGAAATAGACAACAGTTTTTGTCTAAACCTAAGAACATAATATCAACTATGCACAGTCAGAACTTCATGAAGAAATTGGTAAGTAAAGTGATCACATATTTGTCAAGTGTGTCAATATTTAACTGCAACAAATAATTAGAAAGTACATATTCTCATTCACTCATGGAACATTTATAAAAATGGGCTATGTGCCATAAATACAAGAAAATTTTCAATAAAGATATGCAGACGTTATCCAATTGTTCTTCAGTCGTAAGGCAATGCAATTAGAAATCAAAATAAAAAATAACAAAAAAGATTGTATGTTAATATTTTAAAATCCTCATAAGTCAGTCAAATAACAATTTTTATTTGTAATCATAAGAAAACATTTGTATTAGTAATATATTGTTGCATAACAGGTCGCCCCCCTACTTAGTGATTTCAAAAACAATAATCTTTGATGATCTCTCATTTGTGGGTGGGTCATGTACTTAGGAGCAGCTCAAATATATATTTCTGGTTTGGGAGCTCTCAGGAGGCTTCAGGCAGATGTCTGGGGTAACGGCCATGTAAAGACTTGAACTGGTCGGGGGCTCCGCTCCGCACTGCCGGGCGCCGCCTCGCCATGGACGCGCGCGGGGGCGGCGGGCGGCCCGGGGAGAGCCCCGCCGCCGCCGCGCCCCCCCAACAGCAGCCGCCCCGGGCCGAGGCGTTGCCCCCGGAGGCGGCGGAGGAGGGCGGCCCGCGGGGCCAGCGCCGCAGCCGCGACAGCTAGTGCGGCAGCCCCGGCATCCCGGGCACGGCGAGCACGGCCAAGGGCAGCCGGAACGGCCGAGTGCGGGCGCGGCTAGCCGCAGTGCAGCCCCGCGGGGCCCGAGGGCCCGGCGCGGGGGCCCAAGGTGTAGTTCTTGTGCCCCGGGGCGGCCTCGGGGCCGCGCCGGGGCCGGGGCCGGGGCCGGCGGAGGAGGCCGGCAGCGAGGTGGCGGCCCGGCGGCGGAGCCGCGCCGCAGCCGGGCCAGCTTCATGCAGCGCCACTTCGGCGCGCTCCTGCAGCTGGGCGTCAACAAGTTCTCGCTGCGGATGTTCGGCAGCCAGAAGGCCGTGGAGCGCGAGCAGGAGCGCGTCCAGTCAGCGGGGTCCTGGATCATCCACCCGTACAGCGACTTCAGGTTCTACTGGGACTTCACCATGCTGCTGTTCATGGTGGGAAACCTCATCATCATCCCAGTGGGCATCACCTTCTTCAAGGACGAGACCACCGCCCTGTGGATCGTGTTCAACGTGGTCTCGGACACCTTCTTCCTCATGGACCTGGTGTTGAACTTCCGCACCGGCATTGTGATCGAGGACAACACGGAGATCATCCTGGACCAAGAGAAGATCAAGAAGTACGTGCGCACGTGGTTCATGGTGGACTTCGTGTCCTCCATCCCCGTGGACTACATCTTCCTCATCGTGGAGAAGGGCATCGACTCCGAGGTCTACAAGACGGCGTGCGCCCTGCGGATCGTGCGCTTCACCAAGATCCTCAGCCTCCTGCGGCTGCTGCGCCTCTCGCGCCTGATCCGCTACATCCACCAGTGGGAGGAGATCTTCCACATGACCTATGACCTGGCCAGCGCGGTGATGCGGTTCTGCAACCTCATCAGTATGATGCTGCTGCTCTGCCACTGGGATGGCTGCCTGCAGTTCCTGGTGGCCATGCTGCAGGACTTCCCGTGCAACTGCTGGGTGTCCATCAATGGCATGGTGAACCACTGGTGGAGCGAACTGTATTCCTTCGCACTCTTCAAGGCCATGAGCCACATGCTGTGCATTGGGTATGGCCGGCAGGCGCCCGAGAGCATGACGGACATCTGGCTGACCATGCTCAGCATGATTGTGAGTGCCACCTGCTACGCCATGTTCATCGGCCACGCCACTGCCCTCATCCAGTCGCTGGACTCCTCGCGGCGCCAGTACTAGACGTACAAGCAGGTGGAGCAGTACATGTCCTTCCACAAGCTGCCGGCCGACTTCCGCCAGAAGATCCACGACTACTACGAGCACCGTTACCAGGGCAAGATGTTCGACGAGGACAGCATCCTGGGCGAGCTCAACGGGCCCCTGCGGGAGGAGATTGTCAACTTCAACTGCCGGAAGCTGGTGACCTCCATGCCGCTGTTCGCCAATGCTGACCCCAACTTCGTCACGGCCATGCTGACCAAGCTCAAGTTCGAGGTCTTCCAGCCGGGTGACTACCTCATCCGCGAAGGCACCATCGGGAAGATGTACTTCATCCAGCACGGCGTGGTCAGCGTGCTCGCTAAGGGCAACAAGGAGATGAAGCTGTTCGATGGCTCCTACTTCGGGGAGATCTGCCTGCTCACCCGGGGCCACCGCATGGCGAGCGTGCGGGCCAACACCTATTGCCGCCTCCTTTCGCTGAGCGTGGACAACTTCAACGAGGTGCTGGAGGAGTACCCCATGATGCGGCGCGCCTTCGAGACGGTGGCCATCGACCGCCTGGACCGCATCGGCAAGAAGAATTCCATCCTCCTGCACAAGGTGCAGCATGACCTTAACTCGGGCGTATTCAACAACCAGTAGAACGCCATCATCCAGGAGATCGTCAAGTACGACGGCGAGATGGTGCAGCAGGCCGAGCTGGGTCGGCGCCTGGGCCTCTTCCCGCCGCCGCCGCCGCCGCAGGTCACCTCGGCCATCGCCACGCTGCAGCAGGCCGTGGTCATGAGCTTCTGCCCGCAGGTGGCGCGGCCGCTCGTGGGGCCGCTGGCGCTCGGCTCGCTGCGCCTCGTGCGCCGCCCGCCCCCGGGGCCCGCACCTGCCGCCGCCTCACCCGGGCCCCCGCCCCCCGCCAGCCCCCTGGGCGCGCCCGCCAGCCCCCGGGCACCGCGGACTTCGCCCTACGGCAGCTTGCCCGCCGCCCCCCTTGCTGGGACCGCCCTGCCCTCGCGCCGCCTGAGCCGCGCGTTGCGCCCACTGTCCGCCTCGCAGCCCTCGCTGCCCCACGGAACGCCCGTCCCAGCGGCCTCCACACGCCCGGCCAGCAGCTCCACACCGCGCCTGGGACCCACGCCCGCTGCCCGGGCCGCCGCGCCCAGCCCGGATCGCAGGGACTCCGCCTCACCCGGCGCCGCCAGCGGCCTGGACCCCCAGGACTCCGCGCGCTCGCGCCTCTCGTCCAACTTGTGACCCTCGCCAACCGCCCTGCGGGCCCAGGAGGGCCGGAGGCGGGGCCGTCATCCAGACCAAAGCCATGCCATTGCGCTGCCCCGGCCGCCAGCCCGCCCAGAAGCCACAGACAAGACATAGGTAGCCGTAGTTGGACTGACGGGCAGGGCCGGCGGGGCAGCCCCCTCCGCGTCCCCGGCCGTCCCCCCTCATCGCCCTGCGCCCACTCCCATCGCCCCTGCCCCCGGCGGCGGCCTCGCGTGCGAGGGGGCTCCCTTCACCTCAGTGCCTCAGTTCCCCTAGGTGTAAAACAGGGACGGGGCGGCCCAGTGGCTGAGAGGAGCCGGCTGTGGAGCCCCGCCCGCCCCCCGCCCTCTAGGTGGCCCGCCGTCCGATGAGGATCGTTTTTTAAGTGCAATACTTGGCCCACCGGCTTCCCGCTGCCCCCATCGCGCTCATGCAATAACCGACCCGGCCCCGGTCCACGCGCGTCCCGCGGTGACCTTGGGGAGCAGCACCCCAGCTCCCTCCAGCACTGGCACCGAGGGGCGGGCCTGGTTGCGCCGGGCGCGGGGGCGAGGCTGGGGTCCCGCCACCGTGATGAATGTACTGACCAGCTGAGGCAGCAGTGCCCCCACCGTGGCCCCTACGCCCAATTAACCCCCACACCCCCATTCCGCGCAATGAACGACAGCATCGGCAAAAAAAAAAAAAAAAAAAAAAGACTTGAACTGGAGAACCTACTTCCAAGGCAGCTAACTCACATTTCTGGGAAGTAGGTTCTGAGAAGTCCATTCCTTCCCACACAACCTCCTGCCCCAGGGCTGCTTGAGTGTCCTCTCAGGGTGGTGGCTGACTTCTTCCAGAAATGAAGAGATGTAAGAGCCAGGGAGAGCCAGGCAGAAGTTACAGGTCCACTAGACAACCTACAGTATGGCAAATTACAGTTGCCTGTTTCCTAGAAAAATTTATACCAGCTGAAGTAATTACAGGAGATAGAAAACTTTAATGGTCCTACATGAATTAAATGAATTACATCAACTCTTGAAAATTAACTTTGACAAAGTACCAAAGATGTGTTGCTAATAAATTCTATTCAAGGTACAGATACTTCTAGTCTTATATCATCTGTACTAGAGAATAGAAAAAGAAACAGAAATAAATATATAAAAATATGTGAGAATAAAGCATTATAGTCCAAGCTCGTTTATGGAGAGAGATGCAAATATCCTGAATTTAAAAAAATAAAGTATATACTTTACTCACAGAAAGCAATATACCTAAAATTAAATCTAACATAGATATGCAAAACATTTATGCAGAAGTAAATGTAGCATTGTCTTTCAACACAGAAAATAAACTAAAAATGAATGAGTAGATAGGCAAAGTTTTTGTATCAGAGGCCTAAATATTATGAAGATATTTAATAATTAAATGCAATTCAAATATAAATACCAGCAGGGTATTTCATTGAAAAAAGTTAAATATAAAATTTATATGAAAGTGTATAGGGCCAAGAAAAAAAAATTTTGGAAAAGAAGAACTGTGCAGTAAAGTGTTAACTCAGCAGGCCTGGGCTGCCCAAACCCTGCATATTCCGAAGGGCTTCAGGACAGTCCCTGACAGGCTCCTGGAGATAACCTCTGAGCCTTTGTAATATTCTGTGTGATTTGAGTGACTTTGTAAACCTGAAGCTTTGGGTCACACCACATGCTATCAACATGCTTTATAGTGAACACCTGTTTATGTATGCCTGGGCCTTGGGTCACATTGTGTCACTTTGACCTCTGGGGGTGGCAGACAGCTGACTGGAGACTGAGTGGTTGAGGTCAGTCATGTGGAGCACAACTGGAAGCCCATGCCTCCTCCTTAGTGCTGGACTCTGCTGTGTGCACCTTTTTCCTTGCTGCTTCTAATCTATATCCTTTCACTGTAATTAACAATAGCTGTGAGTCTAACAGCTGTCTGTGTCCTGTGAGTCTTTCTAGCAAATCGTGCACTGGAACCAAAGTGGGTGGGCACTCACCAACTAAAACTATCAAACCTACTAGGAATCTATGAAAATTAAACAACGTGGCAGTACATAGACATAGCCAATAGGCAAAAGAGAATCAAACCTTAAGTGCAAAGAAATGCATTGCAGATCAGCAAGTAAGAGGTAAATTATGGGATAAAGTGATCCAAACACTGTTTATTCAGGAAAAATGTAGATTTTTATCAGACACCGTTTATAAAAATGTTTCAGATAGATTAAAACCTAATAGTGAGCAGCGAAATTAAGCATGTCTTTGGAAGAATAAGGATCATGTTCTTGTTCTCAGGATGGGGACAGATTTACTAATGTAGACAATCATAAGAAAATAGGTATTATAATAATTTGACAACATTAAAGTTAAACATACCTGTATGCAAAAAGACACCATAAGCCAGCAAGGATTAGGTATCATGTATCTCTAACCATGTGATATAGCTGACAGGGGCTTAGTATATTCAGATTATACATCAATCAAGTTAATTAATCCATTCAAACAAATCCTTATTGAATGTCTATGTGCCAGGCCCTGTTCTAGTCACCAGGGTAACTGTAGGAAACAAAACTAATATCCTCCCCTCATAGGAGAGGCAGACACTAATAAATACGTCATTACATATGTTGATAAACCTCAGATTTCAGAAAGTACCAAGGAGAGAACTAAAGCAGGTGGGAGAATAGAGCTTCGTGAGAGATGGGAGATGCTATTTTAGATTGGCTGTTCATAAAAAGAATAATTTTGAACCCAATGGGTTATGTAAAAATCAGTATAGAATAGAAAAATGACCCAATAGAAAAAGACAATTTTCAGCCGGGTGCGGTGGCTCACACCTGTAATCCCAGCACTTTGGGAGGCTGAGACAGGTGGATCAGTTGAGGTCAGGAGTTCGAGATCAGCCTGGCCAACATGGTGAAACCCCGCCTCTAGTAAAAATACAAAATTTAGCCAGGTGTGGTGGCACACACCTATAGTCCCTGCTACTTGGGAGGCTAATGCACAAGAATCGCTTGAACCTGGGAGGCGGAGGTTGCAGTAAGCTGTGATCTTGCCACTACGCTCCAGCCTGGGCGACAAAGCAAGACTGTCTCAAAATTTAAAAAAAAAAAAAAGAAAAAGACAATTCTTGATTGAATGAACTGAATGCCCAATAAACATTTGAAAAGATCTCTGTAATGTATTTAACATAATTTTACATCTCTGTTCATATTAGAGAATTTATGGGGTTTTTAATAAAACACTTGGCCCTGAGTTGATAATTTTTGAAGCTGGGTGATAGGTTAATGGTGGTTGATTATATTATTCTCACTCTCTGTCTCACTCATTACACACACACACACATGAAATCATACATGATGATTTATACAGTTACTTATAGTTTACATAATTTATATATTTAACATAAATATAAGTATAAAAATAATTATTATAAATATAAATTATATGAAAATAATTTATAATGAATTCTAAGGTAATTAAGACACAAATAACAAATTTTAGGACTGAAACAGAGATATGGCCACAGATCATACAGGTATTAAAAAATAACTAGTAAATCTATGAAAATCTTTATACAAAATTATCTTTATACTATGAAAATCTTTATACAAAAATTGCTGAAAAACAGACAACTTCCTCCAAGCATATGATTTATTAAAGTGCATTCAAAAATATAAAGTCTTCACAACCCTATAATTATAAAATTGAATCTGTAATTAAACAATTTGTCATCAAGAAATGCCAAGTCCCAAAGGATTTACTGATGATTTTTACCACCAAACATTTGAGGAAGAAATAAGAAGTCATATTACACAAATCATTCTAGAGAATAGAAGAAGAGAAAATACTTTCCAATGAGGGAAAGATAATCTTGGTCACAACCAAAACCAAAATAAGAGTATCGGAAAAAATAAAATTGCTCTTGAATTCTTAATAAGTTACTCTAAACTCTTGAAAGACAATTTCTCTCTTGAATATGACTTAAAAATAAATCCAAGCCAGGCGCAGTGGCTCATGCCGGTAATCCCAGCACTTTGGGAGGCCAAGGCAGGCGGATCACTTGAGTCCAGGAGTTCGAGACCAGCCTGGCCAACATGGTGAAACCCCATGTCTACTAAAAATACAAAAAAATTAGCCAGGCGTGGTGGCGGGTGCCTGTAATCCCAGCTACTTGGGAGGGTGAGGCAGGAGGACCCCTTCAACCTGGGAGGCAGAGGTTGCAGTGAGCCAAGATTGTGCACCACTGCACTCCAGCCTTGGCAACAAAGTGAGACTGTGTCTCAAAACATAAAACTACAAAATAAATCCAAATAAAAACATTAGCAAACTGAGTCTAGTGACATATACATAAAGGAAAATACATCATGGTCATGTTGGGGGCCAGGGATACAAGATTAGTTTAACATATGAAAATCAATCAACATAATTCTCCATGAAAAAAAACATTTTAAAAAATTGAACTGTCTAGTTATGATTGTTAAAAAAGAAACTATCACTATATTAGAAATAGGAATACACTTTCTAAATGTGAGAAAGGTGTTTTTATATTGAATGAAAAAATGTTGTAAGAGCATTCTCAGAGATTAGAAATTAAAACAACAGGATGTCTGCTCTTACCATTGTTATTCAACATGATACTGGAGGTGCTAGTCTGTGCACTGAGGCAAGAGATAGCCAGAAAAGCGTGTATCATTTTCAAGTGCCAGAATAATGAAAATGCTCAAAAAAGCAAAAAGGATGGGGCATATCAGAGAGATATAAAAGTGACCCTGATATAAAATAAATAACATGGTATTGGCTTACAACCCAAAGTATAAAATCAATATACATGAGGTTACACTGATATAAATAAATGATTAAATGAACAAGTAAATACAAAAGAAAGAAGAAGGACAACTCTTTGTAGAAGAATTCCAGATAATATGAATAGATACTGTCTCTTCCAGGAATTGGACCTTAGTGTCTACCTCCCAGGCCACCTTGTGCCTGGCCTGGACTTAGTGATTCACATGCAAGACTAGAGTATTGAAAGCCGGGAAAGAGTATCTGTGTGGTAGAGAAACCTAGCAAACGCCTCCTTGACCACATGATCAAGGTGAACATCACCAGTAATGAGGCATGTTGATATCACATCCCCTTGATATGAAGTGATGAGAAGGAAGCTTAACCTCTGCAGAATTTTTTCCAAAAGCTCATAATTCCAGCCTAATCAGGAAAAAAATAATCAGACAAACACAAATTAAAGAGCATTCTAAGGACCTGACCAGTAATCTTCAAACTGTCGATACACAGTAACAAGGAGAGGCTAAGAGTTGGCCACGGGCCAGAGGAACCCAAGGAAACGTAATGATTAAGTGCCAGATAGTATCCTGAACTGGATACTGGGAACAGAAAAAGAACGTTGGTGTAAAAACTTAGTGGAATGCAAATACATTACTGTTAATGAAAATTCAGAATTTAATATTGGTTTCTTAGTTTTGGCAAACGTAGCATGGTTGTGTAACATGTTAACTTTAAGGGAAGCTGGATAAGATAACTCTCTTTACTTTTTTTGCAGCTTTTCTGTAGATCTAAAATTATTCCAAAAGTAAAAAGTTTATTACATAAAAGAAAGAAGTCACAAAACTCTTATTTTAAGACTTACATGGCAAATTAAGTGGCCATGATTAAACAAGTCATATTTTTTCTATGTATGTATGTATTTATTTTTAAAATTGGTTAATTTATACATATATATTTTTAAATTTTACTTCAAGTTCTGGGATACACGTGCAGAATGTGCAGGTTTGTTACATAGGTATAGAAGTGTCATGGTGGTTTGCTGTGCCTATCAACCTGTCATCTAGGTTTTAAGCGCCGCATACATTAGGTATTTGTCCTAATGCTCTCCCTCCCCTTGCCCCCCACTTCCCTACAGGCCCCAGTGTGTGATGTTCCCCTCCCTGTGTCCATGTGTTCTCATTGTTTAACTCCCACTTATGAGTGAGAACATGCAGTGTTTGGTTTTCTGTTCCTGTGTTAGTTTGCTGAGAATGATGGCTTCTAGCTTCATCCATGTCCCTGCAAAGGACATGAACTATATTTACTTTTTTTTTTTTTTTTTTTTTTTTTTTGAGACGGAGTTTCACTCTTGTTGCCCAGGCTGGGCAATGGTGCAATCTTAGCTCACCACAACCTCTGCCTCCTGCTTCAAGTGATTCTCCTCCTTCAGCCTCCCGAGTAGCTGGGATTACAGGTATGTGCCACCACGCCTGGCTAATTTTTAGTAGAGACGAGGTTTCTCCATATTGGTCAGGCTGGTCTTGAACTCCCAGCCTCAGGTGATCCACCTGCCTTGGCCTCCCAAAGTGCTGGGATTACAGGCGTGAGCTACCATGCCTGGCCTATATTTAATTTTAATTGACAAAAAAATTGTATGTTAAAGGTATACAAAATGATGTTTTGATATATGTGTACAATGTAGAATGTTTAAATGGAGCTAATTAATATATGCGCCACCTCACATACTTATTATTGTCTTGTGATGAGAACTTTTAATATTTACTCCCTTAGTGATTTTTAAGTATACAATACATTGTTGTTAAGTACAGTCACCATGTTGTACAATAGAGCTCTTTCAGTCATTCCTCCTGTCTGGCTGAAAATTTGTGTCCTCTGACCATTATCTCCCCATTTCCTCTTCTCCCTAGCCCGTGGAACCACCATTCTGAGCTCTACTCTTAGAAGGTTTTTAGATTTCATATGTATGTGAGATCACGTGATATCTTCCTTCCTCCCTCCCTTCTTCCTTCCTTCCTCTCTTTCTCTCTTTTCTTTTCTTTCTTTCTTTCTCTTTCTTTCATCTCTCTTTCCTTCCTTCCTTCCTTCCTTCCTTTCTCTTTCATCTCTCCTTCCTTCCTTTCTTCCTTCCTTTCTCCCTCTTTCTTTCCTTTCTTTCTTTCTTTCTTTCTTTCTTTCTTTCTTTCTTTCTTTCTTTCTTTCTGTCTTCCTCCTTCCTTCCTTCCTTCCTTCTTTCAGACAAGGTCTCACTCTGTCATTCAGGCTGGAGTGCAGTAGTGTGATCATAGCTCACTGCAGCCTTGAACTCCTGGGTTCAAGCGATCTTTCTGCCTCAGCACCCTCCAAGTAGCTGGGACCACAGGCTATATCACCATGCCTGACTAATTTTTTAAATTCTTTTTTTTTTTTTGTAGAGACAGGGTCTCCCTATGTTGCCCAAGCTGGTCTCAAACTACTGGGCTCAAATGATCCTTCCTCCTTGGCCTCCCAAAATGTTGGATTGCAGGTGTGAGCCACTGCACCTGGTTCATTATTTGTCTTTCTGTGCTTAGCTTATTTCGTAAAGAAGTCAATATTAAATATTAAAAGTTATTATAAAGATATATTAGCAAGACAGTATGGTAGGGACATAAATATAAACACACATACCAACAGAACATGACAAAAGAACAAAACCAGCCGCATGCATACTCGATGGAGACAAAGGTAACACTGCAGAATGGTGAAGGAAGAACAGTCATTTTAATGACAGTGTTGGCTTAATTGAGTATTCATGTTCAAAAAAGAAATTTGAGCCTTATTTCACATCTCATAGACACACACTATAACTTCCTTGTGGAGTTTAAATCTAAATGCAATAAGTGAGCAATAAAAATTTTAGAATATATTCTAACAGATTATATTAATGATCTTGGTGTAGGAACAGATTTTTTAAAACACTATATAGGAAACTTTAAACATAAAAAAGATTGATAAGTTAGACTACACTAAAATATTGAATATATCTTCAATGAAATACAATGTTTAAATAATGAAAACATAAATCACAGAGTAGGAGAGAATATTTTAAGTATGGCAGCGAAGGTCCTATGCCTAGATGATATAAAGTGCTTCTAAAAGCCAGTAAGAAAAAGACTCAATTAAAACATTGGGAAAACGTTTGGATAGGCACTTCATAATAAAAGAGTATTCAAATGATCAATGCTCACATTAAAAGTGGTTCAACATCGTTAATCATCAGGAAACTGCAAAGTAAACCAACCAAGAGATAACACTGTATACTCATCAAGAGGCCTACATTTTTTATTTTATTTGCTTACATTTTTACTTTAGATTCAGGGGGTACATATACAGGTTTGTTACAGGGGTATATTGCATGATGCTGAGGTTTGGGCTTCTATTGATCCCGTCATCCATGTAGTGAACATACTGCACGATAGGAAGTTTTTAGCCCTTCTCCCCTCTTTTTCCTCTTTTGGAGTCCCCAGTGTCTATTGTTCCCATCTTTATGCTCACATATACCCACAATATAGCTCCCACTTATAAGAGAACACGTGACTTTTGGTTTTCTGTTGATGCATTAATTCACTTAGGATGGTGGCCTCCGACTGCATCCATGTTGCTGCAAGGGATATTATTTTATTCTTTTCTATGGCTGCATAGTATTCCGTGGTGTATAGGTACCACATTTTCTTTATCCGATCCAGAGTTGACGGGCACCTGGATTCCATGTCGTTGCTATTATGAATAGCACTGCAATGAACATATAAGCTCATGTGTCTTTTCAGTAAAATGGCTTATTTTCCTTTGGGCATACACCCAGTAATAAAATTGCTGGATCAAATGGTACCTCAAATCTTAGTTCTTTGAGAAATCTCCAAACTGCTCTCCATAGTAGCTGGAGTAATTTACATTCCCACCAACAATGTATAAAATTTCCCCTTTCTTTACAACCTCACCAACATCTGTTATTTTTTGACTTTTAATATTGGCCATTCTGACTGATGTGAGATGATATCTCATTGTGGTTTTGATTTGCATTTCTCTAGTGATTAATGATGTTGAACTTTTTTTTTCATCTGTTTGCTGGCCACTTATATGTCTTCTTTTGAGAAGTATCTGTTCACGTCCTTTGCCCACTTTTTAATGGGGTTATTTGTTTTTTGCTTGTTGATTTGTTTAAGTTGCTTATAGATGCTGCTTTGTTGGATGTACAGTTTGCAAATATTTTCTCTCATTCTGTAGGTTGTCTGTTTACTGTGTTGATTTTTTTTGTTGTTGTGCAAAATCTCTTTAGTTTAATTAAATCCTACTCACCAATTTTTGTTTCTGTAACAGTTGCTTTTGGGGACTTGGCCAAAAATTCTTTGCCAAGGCCATGCTAAAGAAAGGTATTTTCTATGTTTTATTCTAGCATTTTTACAGTTTCAGGTCTTACAATTAAGTCTTTAATCCCCCTGAGTTAATTTTTGTATATGGGCTAAGTGTCCAGTTTCATTCTTCTGCATATTATTAGGCAGTTTTCCCTGCACCATTTGTTGAATATGGAGTCTTTTCCCCATTACTTGTTTCTGTTGACTTTGTCAAAGATCAGTTGGTTGTAAGCGTGTGACCTTATTTCTGGGTTCTCTATACTGTCTCATTGGTCTATGTGTCTCTTTTTGTACCAGTACCATGCTGTTTTGGTTACTGTAGCCTTGTGGAATAGTTTAAAGACTTTACCAAAAAACTCCTAGACCTGGTAAATGACTTCAGTAAAGCTTCAGGATACAAAATCAGCATACACAAATCAGTAGCATTTCTATATACCAATAGTTTTTAAGCTGAGAGCCAAATCAAGAGTGAAATCCCATTCAAAATAGCACCACCCCCCAACAAATTAAAATACTTAGGAATACATCTAACCAAGGAGGTGAAAAATCTCTACAAGGAGAACTACAAAACACTACTCAAAGAAATCATAGATGACACAGACCAATGGAAAAACATTCCATGCTGGTGTGTTGAAAGAATCAATATTGTTAAAATGTCCATACTATAGATTCAGCATTATTTCTATCAAATTACCAATGCAATTTTTCACAGAATTAGAAAAACTGTTCTAATATTCATATGGAACCCAAAAAGAGCCAAAGTCATTCTAAGAAAAATAAAACCAGAGGCATCACATTACTTAACTTCATGATGGCTAAAATTTAAGGATTGACAGAAACACATTATATTACTGGTGTAGGTATAAATTATTACCATTAATTTGGAAAACTATTGACAGTATGTCAGTTTTGAACAAAATCATACCCTATGAGTTAGCAACTCCACTTTTGGGTACACACCCAGAACATGATTATCAAAAGGCATCCAAGTTTTATTTCATAAGCACCTAAGGATGTGGATCAAAATGCAAATCTGCTACACAAAATTAGTAGCCAGAGGGTTCTTGGTGAGTCTGGAAGCAAAGCACAGCATTGCTTTTTATTACTCAGCCGTCATGGCCCAGTTGCCTTTGGCAGGTGAGGCCAGCTGGCCAGTAGCTCAGATGGAGCAGGTATGAGGGGGTAAGAGCAGTGGTCCATCTGTCACTGGAGAAGCCTAGTCACCTGGGCAGAATATCTTGAACCTAGGATAAGTTCATCCATGGTAGACCAACTCTGTGATGGAGTTATGAGATGGGGAAGGAGGGTCTGGCACCATGCAACAGGATTTCCCCCAAAGCTCAGCACTCCAAGGAGCACATCAGCATCAGGAATGTCTGCTGGAAGCCAGCGGCTGTGGAGGAGGGGCAGTAGCCACTGAGCCTAGGTTCAGACCTTCAATCCCCTTCAGTCCTCTTGACTGGCAAGAGAACAGCAGAGTCTATTAGAGAGGAATTACCATTCCAAGCAAGAATTTAGGCCACATCTTTCAGAATGAGACCATTGAGTTGAGGTCCACTTAGCAGGGAAAGTGGCTTCAGGTTGTGGTTGACTGTTTAATTACACCCTGCTGTTCACTCTCTTCACCATTGTATGCAAAGTACAGCATCTCTGACAAGCAAGGAACACTGGCTTGCCCCACAGTGGCTGGCTGGGGTTGATGAAATGAGCAGCGAAGTAGCAGTGTGCCCAGTCCAAGCAGAGACTACCTCTAGCAGGGGCATGACATTCCCCAAGAGAGGGCATCTCCTTTAGCCTGGACCTTGGAGCAAAAGCAACCCATGGATCAGACCAATAGACAACATGCAGCCCTCATCTAACCCAAGTGGAATATAGCTGTTGGTATAAGCCCCCGAGATTTTGAGGTTGTCCCCACAGGAAAGCAAACTAGCATAACACTGAATTGCTGAGCAAGTGGGTGGTTAATTAATAGCTCTCTTTCCCAACTAGAGCTTCCCTGAAAGTCCGAGGAGGCCTGGAGCATGCAGGGAGAGGACAAGCAGCCTCGGAGAGAAAGAGGGGAGGTACAAGTGACCTGGATGCAACACGGCCTGGCCCAGGAGGAATTGGATACTCTTAAGGGATATTTCACACAAGTCATATGAATCTGGAAGACTACCCCAGATCCATATAGGTATATAGGACAAGGCCAGACTACTCTCTATCCCCAACATGTCTCTCAACTGGAGAGTACTAATAAATACTGCCAATTCTTACTACCCAATTCCTGTTTTAATCAGTTATAAAATACAATTTAGTATATTGCCGTGGATTTTTATATTGGTAATATTTTCCTAAGGTGGCTTGCCAATTATCCCAGCCCCATTTGTTGAATAGGGTGTCCTTTCCCCACTTTATGTTTTTGTTTGCTTTGTTGAAGATCAGTTGGCTGTAAGTATTTGGCTTTATTTCTGGGTTCTCTATTCTGTTCCATTGGTCTATATGCCTGTTTTTATACCAGTACCATGCTGTTTTGGTGACTATGGCCTTAGGGTATATCAGTTGATACCTCCAGATTTGTTCTTTTTGCTTAGTCTTTCTTTGGCTACGTGGGCTCTTTTTTGGTTCCATATGAATTTTAGGATTGTTTTTTCTAGTTCTGTGAAGAACGATGGTATGTTTTGATGGGAATTGCATTGAATTTGTAGATTGCTTTTGGCAATACGGTCATTTTCACAACATTGATTCTACCCATCCACGAGCGTGGGATGTGTTTTCATTTGTTTGTGTCATCTGTGATTTCTTTCAGCAGTGTTTTGTAGCTTTTCTTGTAGAGGTCTTTTACCTCCTTGGTTAGGTATATTCCTAAGTTTTTTTTTTTGTTTTGTTTTCAGCTATTGTAAAAGGGGATGAGTTCTTGATTTGATTCTCAGGTTGGTTGCTGTTGGTGTATAGTAGAGCTACCGATTTGTGTACAATAAATTTGTATCCTAAAACTTTGCTCAATTCATTTATCAGTTCTAGGAGCTTTTTGGAGAAGTCTTTGGGGTTTTCTAGGTATATAATCATATCATCAGCAAACAACAACAGTTTGACTTCCTCTTTAGCCATTTGGATGCCCTTTATTTCCTTCTCTTGTCTGATTACTTTGGCTAGGACTTTCAGTACTGTGGTGAATGGAAGTGGTGAAAGTGGGCATCCTTGTCTTGTTCCAGTTCTCAGGAGGAATGCTTTCAGCTCATCCCCCTTCAGTATTATGTTGGCTGTGGGTTTGTTGTAGATGGCTTTTGTTACCTTGTGTCCCTTCTATGCTGATTTTGCTGAGGGCTTTAATCATTAAGGGATGCTTAATGTCAAATGCTTTTTCTGCGTCTATCGAGATAATCATGTAATTTTTGTTTTTAATCCTGTTTATGTGGTGTATTGCATTTATTGACTTGCATAGTGTTAGTGGCTCTTTCTGCATACTTGAGAATATCTAGTTTTATGTCTCGTTTGAATCTGGGTAGGTTACTTAACCATGATGACAGTTCATTATTATATTTTATTTTAAAAATGTATTTTTTAAATTTTAAAATATTTAATTGACAAAGATTGAATATTTTTGGTGTGCAACATGATGATTTGACATATGTATGCATTGTGTAGTGATTACCAAAATCAAATTAATTAACACATCCATCACCACCCATGCTGTATATGAGAACCCCAGAACTGATTCGTCTTGTAACTGAAAGCTTGTATTCTTTGTCCAGTCTCTCACCCAGTTTCCCCTCTCCCCCACCCCTGGCATCACCATTTAACTCTCTGCTTCTATGAGTTTGACACTTTTATTTATTTATTTATTTTTGAGACAGATTTTTGCTCTTGTCGCCCAGGCTAGAGTGCAATGGCACAGTCTGAGCTCACTGTAACCTCTGCCTCCCGGGTTCAAGTGATTCTCCTGCCTCAACCTCCCGAGTAGCTGGGATTACAGGCATGGCATGTGCCACCACACCCAGCTAATTTTGTAATTTTAGTAGGGATGGGGTTTCACCATGTTGGTCAGGCTCCTCTTGAACTCCTGACCTCAGGTGATCCACCTGCCTCGGCCTCCCAAAGTGCTGGGATTACAGGTGTGAGCCACCATGCCCTGCCCAGTTTGACACTTTTAGATTCCACACATAAGTGAGATCATGCAGTATTTGTCTGTCTGTGTCTTTCTATGCTTATTTTATGTAACATGTCCTCCAGGTTCATCTGTGTTGTTGCAAATGGCAGGATTTTCTTTTTATGGCTGAATAATAGTCCACTTTATACTTCAAATTCTTCCTATCTTTCAGAACCAGATCCAATGCCATCTCTTCCGCAAAGCCTTCTTTGATCTTGAAGTTTGGCAGAGGAAGTTCTCCCCACTGTGAGGTTTAATTATATTGATTTCCTCCTGGCCATGGGTCTGTTTGTAATAGGGATTTATGCAGGAGATAGATAAGGTTTCTCATGCAGCTTGTCAGCTGGTATCATAGAGTGTTTTCTGTAGTTATTATTCTATAACTATTTATTTATGTTTTATAAGTCCTATGAAATATCACTTAAAGGAAAATTCTCTCAGCCTTGTTCCCAAATTCTGTGTGATCACAAAGACACTATTGCTTTCTAGGCCTTGCTTTCATGGAACTGAACCTAAATAGTGTACCTTTTTTAGGTATCTCCAGGGTCTTTCTTTAACTATTTTTGCTCAAGTAAAAGTGAATAGCAAAAATGGAGTATTTTAAACCTGAAAAAAAAAAAAAAAACAGAAAGGAAGTGAGGTGGCTTGACTTCCTCCTAAGTTTATAGTAAGTATATTTTCTCATGGGAAGAAAAAAACACACTGATGATTAGAAACACTTTGCTTTTTGTTCAGCCACAACCTAGCTATTTCCCACAAAATTAATCCACTGTTACCAGAATAGGGAAGCATCTGTACACATAGAGAGAAATGGAACCTAAATATTTCTGGAAACCTCAAGTCACTTACACATTCCACAAGTTGCCTCATATCGAGAAACACAGAATTTGTTCAAACATTTCAATACTTCACCAGATTGAGTTTGCAAACAAAAACATTTTGGAATTGTGGCAAAGGGAGTGGCTGTCATGGCAGAGGTGAGCTCAGACATGTGGATTAGTATTCAGACGATAATTTGGCTCCAGAAATCATCACCACGGGGCACACAACCCTGTAGTCAGAAAGGACCTCATGAATCACCCCATAGATTACCCTAAAATTTAAAGATTTTCTCCAGAATGAACCTAGTAAAGAAGACTATTCTAAGAGGCAGCTTATCTCATTCTGAAAACATCTTTGTTGTTTCTTTCTTTCTTTTCTTTTCTTTTTTTTTTTTTTTTTTGAGATGGAGTCTAGCTCTGTCCCCCAGGCTGGAGTGCAGTGGCGCAATCTCGGCTCACTGCAAGCTCTGCCTCCTGGGTTCACGCCATTCTCCTGCCTCAGCATCCCGAGTAGCTGGGACTACAGGCGCCCGCCACCACGACTGGTTAATTTTTTGTAGTTTTAGCAGAGACGGGGTTTCACCGTGTTAGCCAGGATGGTCTTGATCTCCTGACCTTGTGATCCTCCTGCCTTGGCCTCCCAAAGTGCCGGGATTACAGGCATCAGCCACTGCGCCTGGCCTGTTTATCTTTATTTCTTTTTTTTTTTCTTTTATTATTATACTTTAAGTTTTAGGGTACATGTGCACATTGTGCAGGTTATTTACATATGTATACATGTGCCATGCTGGTGCGCTGCACACACTAACTTGTCATCTAGCATTAGGTATATCTCCCAATGCTATCCCTCCCCCCTCCTCCCACCCCACAACAGTCCCCAGAGTGTGATGTTCCCCTTCCTGTGTCCATGTGATCTCATTGTTCAATTCCCACCTATAAGTGAGAATATGCGGTGTTTGGTTTTTTGTTCTTGCGATAGTTTACTGAGAATGATGATTTCCAGTTTCATCCATGTCCCTGCAAAGGACATGAACTCATCATTTTTTATGGCTGCATAGTATTCCATGGTGTATATGTGCCACATTTTCTTAATCCAGTCTATCATTGTTGGACATTTGGCTTGGTTCCAAGTCTTTGCTATTGTGAATAATGCCGCAATAAACATACGTGTGCATGTGTCTTTATAGCAGCATGATTTATAGTCCTTTGGGTATATACCCAGTAATGGGATAGCTGGGTCAAATGGTATTTCTAGTTCTAGATCCCTGAGGAATCGCCACACTGACTTCCACAATGGTTGAACTGGTTTACAGTCCCACCAACAGTGTAAAAGTGTTCCTATTTCTCCACATCCTCTCCAGCACCTGTTGTTTCCTGACTTTTTAATGATTGCCATTTTAACTGGTGTGAGATGGTATCTCATTGTGGTTTTGATTTGCATTTCTCTGATGGCCAGTGATGATGAGCATTTTTTCATGTGTTTTTTGGCTGCATAAATGTCTTCTTTTGAGAACTGTCTGTTCATGTCCTTTGCCCACTTTTTGATGGGGTTGTTTGTTTTTTTCTTGTAAATTTGTTTGAGTTCATTGTAGATTCTGGATATTAGCCCTTTGTCAGATGAGTAGCTTGCGAAAATTTTCTCTCATTTTGTAGGTTGCCTGTTCACTCTAATGGTAGTTTGTTTTGCTGTGCAGAAGCTCTTTAGTTTAATTAGATCCCATTTGTCAATTTTGGCTTTTGTTGCCATTGCTTTTGGTGTTTTAGACATGAAGTCCTTGCCCATGCCTATGTCCTGAATGGTAATGCCTAGGTTTTCTTCTAGGGCTTTTATGGTTTTAGGTCTAACATTTAAGTCTTTAATCCATCTTGAATTGATTTTTGTATAAGGTGTAAGGAAGGGATCCAGTTTCAGCTTTCTACATATGGCTAGCCAATTTTCCCAGCACCATTCATTAAATAGGGAATCCTTTCCCCATTGCTTGTTTTTCTCAGGTTTGTCAAAGATCAGATAGTTTTAGATATGCGGCGTTATTTCTGAGGGCTGTGTTCTGTTCCATTGATCTATATCTCTGTTTTGGTACCAGTACCATGCTGTTTTGGTTACTGTAGCCTTGTAGTATAGTTTGAAGTCAGGTAGCGTGACGCCTCCAGCTTTGTTCTTTTGGCTTAGGATTGACTTGGTGATGCAGGCTCTTTTTTGGTTCCATATGAACTTTAAAGTAGTTTTTTCCAATTCTGTGAAGAAAGTCATTGATAGCCTGATGGGGATGGCATTGAATCTGTAAATTACCTTGGGTAGTATGGCCATTTTCACGATATTGATTCTTCCTACCCATAAGCATGGAATGTTCTTCCATTTGTTTGTATCCTCTTTTATTTCCTTGAGCAGTGGTTTGTAGTTCTCCTTGAAGAGGTCCTTCACATCCCTTGTAAGGTGGATTCCTAGGTATTTTATTCTCTTTGAAGCAATTGTGAATGGGAGTTCACTCATGATTTGGCTCTCTGTTTGTCTGTTGTTGCTGTATAAGAATGCTTGTGATTTTTGTACATTGATTTTGTATCCTGAGACTTTGCTGAAGTTGCTTATCAGCTTAAGGAGATTTTGGGCTGAGACAGTGGGGTTTTCTAGATATACAATCATGTCATCTGCAAACAGGGACAATTTGACTTCCTCTTTTCCTAATTGAATACCCTTTCTTTCTTTCTCCTGCCTAATTGCCCTGGCCAGAACTTCCAACACTATGTTGAATAGGAGTGGTGAGAGAGGGCATCCCTGTCTTGTGCCAGTTTTCAAAGGGAATGCTTCCAGTTTTTGCCCATTCAGTATGATATTGGCTGTGGGTTTGTCATAGATAGCTCTTATTATTTTGAAATATACGTCCCATCAATACCTAATTTATTGAGAGTTTTTAGCATGAAGGGTTGTTGAATTTTGTCAAAGGCCTTTTCTGCATCTATTGAGATAATCATGTGGTTTTTGTCTTTGGCTCTGTTTATATGCTGGATTACATTTATTGATTTGCGTATATTGAACCAGCCTTGCATCCCAGGGATGAAGCCCACTTGATCATGGTGGATAAGCTTTTTGATGTGCTGCTGGATTCGGTCTGCCAGTATTTTATAGAGGATTTTTGCATCAATGTTCATCAAGGATATTGGTCTAAAATTCTCTTTTTTGGTTGTGTCTCTGCCTGGCTTTGGTATCAGAATGATGCTGGCCTCATAAAATGAGTTAGGGAGGATTCCCTCTTTTTCTATTGATTGGAATAGTTTCAGAAGGAATGGTACCAGTTCCTCCTTGTACCTCTGGTAGAATTCGCCTGTGAATCCGTCTGGTCCTGGACTCTTTTTGGTTGGTAAGCTATTGATTATTGCCACAATTTCAGCTCCTGTTATTGTCTATTCAGAGATTCAACTTCTTCCTGGTTTAGTCTTGGGAGAGTGTATGTGTCGAGGAATGTATCCATTTCTTCTAGATTTTCTAGTTTATTTGCGTAGAGGTGTTTGTAGTATTCTCTGATGGTAGTTTGTATTTCTGTGGGATCGGTGGTGAGATCCCCTTTATCATTTTTTATTGCATCTATTTGATTCTTCTCTCTTTTTTTCTTTATTAGTCTTGCTAGCGGTCTATCAATTTTGTTGATCTTTTCAAAAAACTAGCTCCTGGATTCATTAATTCTTTGAAGGGTTTTTTGTGTCTCTATTTCCTTCAGTTCTGCTCTGATTTTAGTTATTTCTTGCCTTCTGCTAGCTTTTGAATGTGTTTGCTCTTGCTTTTCTAGTTCTTTTAATTGCGATGTTAGGGTGTCAATTTTGGATCTTTCCTGCTTTCTCTTGTGGGCATTTAGTGCTATAAATTTCCCTGTACACACTGCTTTGAATGCGTCGCAGAGATTCTGGTATGTTGTGTCTTTGTTCTCGTTGGTTTCAAAGAACATCTTTATTTCTGCCTTCATTTCGTTATGTACCCAGTAGTCATTCAGGAGCAGGTTGTTCAGTTTCCATGTAGTTGAGCGGTTTTGAGTGAGATTCTTAATCATGAGTTCTAGTTTGATTGCACTGTGGTCTGAGAGACAGTTTGTTATAATTTCTGTTCTTTTACATTTGCTGAGGAGAGCTTTACTTCCAAGTATGTGGTCAATTTTGGAATAGGTGTGGTGTGGTGCTGAAAAAAATGTATATTCTGTTGATTTGGGGTGGAGAGTTCTGTAGATGTCTATTAGGTCTGCTTGGTGCAGAGCTGAGTTGAATTCCTGGGTATCCTTGTTGACTTTCTGTCTCGTTGATCTGTCTAATGTTGACAGTGGGGTGTTAAAGTCTCCCATTATTAATGTGTGGGAGTCTAAGTCTCTTTGTAGGTCACTCAGGACTTGCTTTATGAATCTGGGTGCTCCTGTGTTGGGTGCATATATATTTAGGATAGTTAGCTCTTCTTGTTGAATTGATCCCTTTACCATTATGTAATGGCCTTCTTTGTCTCTTTTGATCTTTGTTGGTTTAAAGTCTGTTTTATCAGAGACTAGGATTGCAACCCCTGCCTTTTTTTGTTTTCCATTTGCTTGGTAGATTTTCCTCCATCCTTTTATTTTGAGCCTATGTGTGTCTCTGCACGTGAGATGGGTTTGCTGAATACAGCACACTGATGGATCTTGACTCTTTATCCAATTTGCCAGTCTGCATCTTTTAATTGGAGCATTTAGTCCATTTACATTTAAAGTTAATATTGTTATGTGTGAATTTGATCCTGTCATTATGATGTTAGCTGGTTATTTTGCTCGTTAGTTGATGCAGTTTCTTCCTAGTCTCGATGGTCTTTACATTTTGGCATGATTTTGCAGCGGCTGGTACCGGTTGTTCCTTTCCATATTTAGCGCTTCCTTCAGGAGCTCTTTTAGGGCAGGCCTGGTGGTGACAAAATCTCTCAGCATTTGCTTGTCTGTAAAGTATTTTATTTCTCCTTCACTTATGAAGCTTAGTTTGGCTGGATATGAAATTCTGGGTTGAAAATTCTTTTCTTTAAGAATGTTGAATATTGGCCCCCACTCTCTTCTGGCTTGTAGGGTTTCTGCCGAGAGATCCGCTGTTAGTCTGATGGGCTTCCCTTTGAGGGTAACCCGACCTTTCTCTCTGGCTGCCCTTAACATTTTTTCCTTCATTTCAACTTTGGTGAATCTGAGAATTATGTGTCTTGGAGTTGCTCTTCTCGAGGAATATCTTTGTGGCGTTCTCTGTATTTCCTGAATCTGAACGTTGGCCTGCCTTGCTAGATTGGGGAAGTTCTCCTGGATAATATCCTGCAGAGTGTTTTCCAACTTGGTTCCATTCTCCCCATCACTTTCAGGTACACCAATCAGATGTAGATTTGGTCTTTTCACATAGTCCCATATTTCTTGGAGGCTTTGTTCATTTCTTTTTATTCTTTTTTCTCTAAACTTCCCTTCTCACTTCATTTCATTCATTTCATCTTCCATTGCTGATACCCTTTCTTCCAGTTGATCGCGTTGGCTCCTGAGGCTTCTGCATTCTTCACGTAGTTCTCGAGCCTTGGTTTTCAGCTCCATCAGCTCCTTTAAGCACTTCTCTGTATTGGTTATTCTAGTTATACATTCTTCTAAATTTTTTTCAAAGTTTTCAACTTCTTTGCCTTTGGTTTGAATGTCCTCCTGTAGCTCAGAGTAATTTGATCGTCTGAAGCCTTCTTCTCTCAGCTCGTCAAAGTCATTCTCCGTCCAGCTTTGTTCCATTGCTGGTGAGGAACTGCGTTCCTTTGGAGGAGGAGAGGCGCTCTGCTTTTTAGAGTTTCCAGTTTTTCTGTTCTGTTTTTTCCCCATCTTTGTGGTTTTATCTACTTTTGGTCTTTGACAATGGCGATGTACAGATGGGTTTTTGGTGTGGATGTCCTTTCTGTTTGTTAGTTTTCCTTCTAACAAACAGGACCCTCAGCTGCAGGTCTGTTGGAGTACCCTGCAGTGTGAGGTGTCAGTGTGCCCCTGCTGGGGGGTGCCTCCCAGTTAGGCTGCTCGGGGGTCAGGGGTCAGGGACGCACTTGAGGAGGCAGTCTGCCCGTTCTTAGATCTCCAGCTGCGTGCTGGGAGAACGACTGCTCTCTTCAAAGCTGTCAGACAGGGACATTTAAGTCTGCAGAGGTTACTGCTGTCTTTTTGTTTGTCTGTGCCCTGCCCCCAGAGGTGTAGCCTACAGAGGCAGGCAGGCAGGCCTCCTTGAGCTGTGGTGGGCTCCACCCAGTTCGAGCTTCCCAGCTGCTTTGTTTACCTAATCAAGCCTGGGCAATGGCGGGCGCCCCTCCCCCAGCCTCGCTGCCGCCTTGCAGTTTGATCTCAGACTGCTGTGCTAGCAATCAGCGAGACTCCGTGGTGGTCCTAGGACCCTCCGAGCCAGGTGCAGGATATAATCTCCTGGTGCGCCGTTTTTTAAGCCCGTAGGAAAAGCGCAGTATTCGGGTGGGAGTGGCCTGATTTTCCAGGTGCTGTCCGTCACCCCTTTCTTTGACTAGGAAAGGGAACTCCCTGACCCCTTGCGCTTCCCGAGTGAGGCAGTGCCTCGCCCTGCTTCGGCTGGCGCACGGTGCACGCACCCACTGACCTGCGCCCACTGTCTGGCACTCCCTAGTGAGATGAACCCGGTACCTCAGATGGAAATGCAGAAATCACCTGTCTTCTGCGTTGCTCATGCTGGGAGCTGTAGACCGGAGCTGTTCCTATTCGGCCATCTTGGCTCCTCTCTCTATCTTTATTTCTTATAACTTGTTTTAATCATCCTGTTTGGGACTCGTAGCTCTGACATTTGGTGATATTAAGAACACAGGGATTACTTATTCACAGGCTGTGATATCACATAGTGGAAAACCTTTATTATTTATGACTCCTGGGATAAATATTCCAGGTTTCTACACACAAGATGATTTTCATGTTTTCTGCCATCTGTATTATACCCTCTTTGTCAATATCATCCTTAAAATGAGCTGCCCTGCTCCCAGCAAAATGACTCATCTAGCAATGCTTATATGAGATTCCTGAATGCATTACTATGACAGGGTCACATCTCAATTTCATTTTTCTCTTTATAAAAGGAATTTATAATCTTTCCCAGATTATAAATTGTCAATTAACAGAACTAATAAAAATTATTTTAAAAGTATGTATATAAGTAACTGCTACAAGCATTTTCAACAATGATGAACATGAGAAAAGCTATCCTATTCTCTGGAGTTAAATATTTATTTTGAAATATTAAGATATTTCTAATTTTTCAAATCCATTGATAATATATCATTATCTGATGGGAAAATTTTCAATAGATATAAATGTATTTAGAATGTAAAAATGAATTCAGAATGGAATAATAATTCTACTTATAGTAGTATTCACAGAGAAAGTAGAACTATTGCCACCTTTTAATTGGGTGGTAGATTTCAATTGTTCTCACTGTTTTGGCAGCCTTGTCACAGGATTCCTTATGTGAGGTTTTATTTGCCTAAATCTCATTCCTTCCTCACATGAGTCATCACCAAGCCAGGAATCTTTTGTACCTTGCAAGCGACTTTCTGGAATACAGGCTATCACACTTTTTCCTAATAAATTTTATTTCATTTTTCTGTAGCTCCTCATTCTTATCTGTCAATGTCATTTTACAAGTCTTGAAGCTGTCTTCTACAGCAGAGCTGCAAATCTGTTTCCACTTGAGCTTCTGATAAACATACTAAACAATATATGCTGATGACCCAACATTCAGAATCACCTTTCAATTTGACACAGACCTGGTAGTAATACTCTTTAGAGATCTAGTTTAGGATCTCTAAACCCAGGAAATCACTTGGGTTGATCGCTAAACCCAGGCAAATTCTCTTTACCCAGGAAATTCACTAATCTATCAAGATACAGACACAGTGTCAAGTACTCGGCTGAAGTAGAGATACATACCACACTCTGTTCTAAAGGGCAATAACAGGTTTTTTTCCCCATTAGAACGGACTTACTCCTGGTAAACCTGGAGCTGTAAAGCTGATACGTAGGAATCATTCAACAAAGTGTACGCATTAGTATTATTGTTATCAGTTTGTATTAATCAATACACTATCCTCTAAATGCTCCCAAATTCATTGTTTAAAAACTAGATAAGGGGTTGGGTTAAGATAATAAGTCCTTATTTTCTGAAACGAGGAAACTAGTTAAGGTTAACTTCAGTTTGGTCATCTGGTACCACAGAAAAATCTAACACCACAGAGACACTGGGTCATATGCAGAGATTTATTCTTAATATTTCCTAACTGAAAAACAGCTCATTAGGCACATCTGGAGACCTTGGAGCTGTCCTAGGTACAAGGGTGGGGTGGCAGAGAAAAGCTTAATGTAGACTCTCTACTCTCAAACGACTCATTCTGGTGAATAGACACTAGTTAACTATGCAGGTAAAGTTTTCTTCATTCTTGTATCTCAACATCTGACACAGACCCTGGCTTGGTAACGGGAACTCACATGTGTGTGATGAAGGTAAGGAGCACTCCGAAGAGAGCCTGGTGATGCAGAACTAGCAGGCATGTGGTGCATCCCAATTCCCCTAGTGCTTCAAAGCCCTTACAAAGCAGAACCGTGGCCCCGATGTGAGGCACACAGGCTGGGGACACAATTCCTTTTCAAAGAGAAGCAACTGAATGCTCAGAAGTAGAGTGACTTGTGAAGGGTCACTGGGAAGAACGTGGCAAAGCTGAAATGAACACTCAGATCTGCAGACTATAAGTCATTTGCAGGGCCAGGCATGGTGGCTCATGTCTATTATCCCAGTGCTTTGGGAGGCCAAAGCAGGAGGATCTCTTGTGGCCAGGAGTTTGAGACTGGCCTGGGAAACATAGCAAGACCTGTCTCTACAAAAAATATAATAGAAAATTCACCAGGCATTGTGCTGTGTGCCTATAGTCCTAGCCACTGAGGAAGCTCAGGCTGGAGGATTGCTTGAGCCCAGAAGTTTGAGGCTGAACTGAGCTATGATCATGGCACTGCACTCCAGCCTGGGTGACAGAGTGAAATCCCACCTCTAAAAAGAGGGGAAAAAATAGCTTTTTTTTTTTTTTTTTTTTTTTTTCCTGAGATGGAGTTTTGCTCTGTCGCCCAGGCTGGAGTGCAACGGCACGATCTTGGCTCACTGAAACTTTTGCCTCCCGGGTTCAAGGAATTCTCCTGCCTCAGCCTTTCGAGTAGCTGAGATTACAGGCACCCACCAGCACACCAGGTTAATTTTTTTTTTTTGATAGAGACGGGGTTTCACCATGTTGTTCAGGCTGGTCTTGAACTCCTGACCTCAGGTCATCCGCCTGCCTTGGCCTCCCAAAGTGCTGGGATTACAGGAGTGAGCCACTGCACCTGGCTGGAAAAAATAGTCTTAACTATAGTCCCAGCTACTTGGGAGGCAGAGGTGGTAGGATCGCTTGAGCCCGGGAGGTCGAGGATGAAGTGAGCTGAGATCGCACCACTGCACTCCAGCCTGGGAGGCAAAGTGAAAACCTATTTAAAAAAAAAGTGGTGACTTCAAATCACTCTCTTTCAGCATTAGAGTAAGGTAGGAAGTCTGCATATTTTTAGATTCTCATGATTTTTCTCATGGAAGGGGTGATCATTTCTGATCACTGCCATTGCATCATGACAACAAAGCTGCTTCTGTGTGTCCTAGAATACAAAATGCAAATGGAATCCAGCCTGGTAAAAATGTGGAAGGAGAGCAAGAAGCCCTTTGGTGAGCATAGCCAGGCCACCCATTTAGGTTGTGTTGGTGCACATCCTTGCAGGCCCCATGCACATCACAACTTCCACAGACTCACATGTGCTTTACAACAGTTCTCTAGAAGATGGTAGTAGGAGATCTTATTCTAACAAAACAGTGTAATATGACAGCATCCCAAGAGATAGAAGTAACATGTCTTGAGAAAGAAGTGCCTCTTTTCTAATCTTCATGGAGACAGCTCATGGACTGTGATTGCTTTGCATCCAGTCTCTCCAGATGACCTACTGCTCTCAAATATCACTAATGACTGACTACAAGCCAACAAGAGAGAGGGTTGAGTTTCATGTATCTTGTGCAGAGTAGGTGCTGAGTTAATATTTCTCGAATTCAGAGTTGTGCTAGGTCTCCCAAGAATTTCATAATGTAATGCTGAAGAGCATGGGCTTTGGGGTCAGGCAAGCTAAGGTTCAAACTTTGACTACTGCTTAGGATACTAGAATAAGTTCTACATCTTCATTGTCCTCATGGAAAGATTCATGGTCCTCACGGGTAAAATGTGATGAATAAAATCTGCAGGACTGGGAGGAGTAAAGGATATAAATAATATTGCATTCCATGCCTGGTACGTAGTTGGTGCTGTCGACAGTAGCTAGAGAGAGAGAAATGAATGATGGTAAAGAGTGCAGGCTACTCTACCTGTACCCATGTTCATCATAGCACTATCCACAACAGCCAGAATATGGAATCAACCTCCGTGTCCATCGACAGGTGAAGAAAATGTGTTATAAATACACGGTTGAGTACTATTCAGCCTTAAGAAACAAGGAAATCCTGTCATTTGCAACACCATAGATGAACCTGGAGGACATTATGCTAAGCGAAATAAGCTGGGTGCCAAAAGACAGCTACTTTATGATCTCACTTATATACAGAGGCTAAAAATGTCAAACTCACAGAGGCAGAGAGTGGGATGGTGCTTACCAGAGGCTGGGGCAGGGGAAGGACTGAGAAGAGGTTGGCCAGGGATACACAATTTCAGTTAGGAGGAGAAACTTCAAGAAATCTGTTGCACAGCATGGTGACCACAGCTAAACACAGTGTCTTGTATTCTTGAGCACTTCTAAGAGAGTAGTTTTAAGTGTTCTTACCACAAATAACTGGCAAGTAGGTGAGGCAATGCATATGTTACTTAGTTCAGTTTAGCCATTCCATAGTGTACGCATACTGTATATCAAAACACTATGTTCTTCTTAGGACAGGCGATGAGGACAAAAAAAGAAAAAACATTATGTCATATACCATAAATATATACAGTTCGTGTCCGTCAATTAAAAAAAAAAATTATGGCTGGGTGCAGTGGCTCACGCCTGTAATCCCAGCACTTCAGGAGGCCGAGATGGGCGAATCACCTGAGGTTGCGAGTTTGAGACCAGCCTGACCAACATGGAGAAACCCCGTCTCTACTAAAAATACAAAATTAGCCGGGCGTGGTGGTGCACAACTATAATCCCAGCTACTTGGGAGGCTGAGGCAGGAGAATCACTTGAACCTGGGAGGCGGAGGTGGGGTGAGCCGAGATCGCACTATTGCACTCCAGCCTGGGCGACAGAGCGAGACTCCTTCTCAATAAATAAATAAATAAATAAGTAAAAATTTACAAACAGAGCACAGACTGTGGAGTCCAGCTGCCTGGAGTCAAGGCCAAGCTTGTCTCTACTTAGCTGTGTGGCATTTACACAGGTCCCTGAAGCTCTCCATGCCGCATTTTCTCTTCTGTAAAAGTCTTTTGGGGAGGTAAATGACAGAACACATGTATGGGGGTCGTTGCTGCTGGCACCTAATATTTCTGATCCTTAGGCACAGCCTGCTCCCCTTCAAATCAGGCCTGGCCTTGGGATTGTGCTTTGGCTTGTGGTATCTGTTTGTTCACTTCTGGCTGGAGCTTCAGGAGACAGCGTGTGATTTGATATTTCTCTTTATCTGCCAGGTAGTGCAAAATGACATACAGCACAGCCTGGCCAGTCCAAAACTGACACATAGTACCATAAAATCTTCTGGGACTTTGTCGGTTTAGGTCCCAGAAAATATTGATGATATTTTATTATTGCAATATGGCCTCCCCCATCTTTTTTTTTTTGTGACAGAGTCTCACTCTGTCACCCAGGCTAGAGTGCAGTGGCGTGATCTTGGCTCACTGCAAGCTCCGCCTCCCGGGTTCAAGTGATTCTCCCGCTTTAGACTCCAGAGTAGCTGGGATTACAGGAGCACACTGCCACACCTGGCTAATTTTTTAGTGTTTTTATTAGAGATGGGGTTTCACCATGTTGGCCAGACTGGTCTCGAACTCCTGACCTCAGGCAATCCACCTGCCTCGGCCTCCCAAAGTGCTGGGATTACAGAAGTGAGCCAGCACGCCCGGCCAGCCTCCCCCATCTTAAGGAAAACAGAATCTAAAGTGCCCAAACTCGTGTCTGGCCCATAGTTGGTACTCAGCAAATGTTTATTATTGTTATAATAATAATGATTATTCCTGTCATCATTCCTAATGATGTTCATATTTGAACAGCCCCAGCTCTGCCTAGCTACACCTTGGCCATTGTTGGACTTCATGATTTTAAGATCTCTCTTCTCTAGAAGAAACAGTTTAGTATTTGGCACAAGAGAAACACAGAAAACTACTTCAAACATCTATTGACTGACTGTGGATGCATCTGAAAGTGATTCATCTCTGAGTCTTTATTTCATTATCTGTACAATGGAGATGAATCCTAATGACTGAGAAGTTTGGTCACAAGCAAACTTCTTTTGGCTGCAGTGCCTGGGACAAGGTCAGCACTAGCCACTCCTGTCCGTGCTATCTCCTTTGCAGCACCAATCCCAGCTCCTCCAGCCTTCACATCCTAGTCTCTCACCAGCTATAAGACTTTTCTTTCTCCTAATTGTTGGCTGTTCCACAGGGAGATGGAGAGGAGCTTGCTCACTTGTTAATTTTGCTATTGATAGCTTGAGGAAAAAATTACATCTAGTAGGAGACTCTAATCAGAATATCTGTGGAATTTAGGTAGCTCCATCATTTCTAGTCCACAAATGTAGCTATGAAACATTGGAATCCTTTATGGTTTTAGAACGACCTAATGCATTTGGTGTCTGTGGCTATGTGTAGCTCAACAATGTTGTAGCCTGTACTCACACTTAGCTATACCAGGTGATCATTTTCCCACTGTCTTGGCTTTTCTGGGAAGACCTGCTCAATGCTGCTACGGGCACACGCAGGTGGACAGGTCACGACCTAGGAGTCACTGCTCTCAGCCAAATGTCACATGTAATTGTGTTCCAACATCCTCCTGAAAGGAGCCTTTCAAATAACTGAAAAAAACTAATTAAATACGTATAGCATGAATCATTTCTGGAAGATAACTAAACCCAAGCAGTTACGCCAGTTGGTCTTCATCATAGTTCCTTAATTTAATAGTAATCTTCATAGGAAATTGTGGTATCACGTGAGGTGGATCTGGCAAGCTTTTTCATCCGGTTCCAGATGGGGAACTTAATTGATCTCAAATTTGCTCACTGAGCTTTAAAGTATGGAAAAAGACCCAGAGCCCTGACTTTCCAGCCAACTCTCAGGTCCCCACCACTGGGCCACATACCCTTCCCAGGGGCCAGCAGAGGAAATAGAACTCAATTTGTGTTAAAGGTTTACAAACCTGTTAATGCTTTTTGTTCAGTATTTCAAAATTTAGAGAACATGGTGCTGCACATTTTAAGGAATATTACTTTTCTTCCTTCCCTCCTGCATCCTGTTTTCTCTCGGTGCTATTATGGTTCACATTGGTTGGCAATACATTGCAGCAAGAAAGGTATTAAAAGCTTGAGGTGGTAAAACTATAAAGTTACCACCTTTCCATGCTAATTCGTGTGAAAACATGATGCGCTCCACATCTTTCATGGTGCAATAACATAGGTGAGTCAACATCAGGCACGTGAGTTTGTTCAAGCAAGTCATTTGAAGTCAGAATGGTAACTTGTGGAGGCGGATCTGTGACATGCTGGGAAGAAGTCAGGTTTAGTATACCATATTGCAGTTTATTATCCATGAAGTAGATTACCCAAAAAACTTAGCCATTTTGCAGTACGTATAAAACGTGCCTTTATTCAGCAATTCAGTTTCTAAGAATTCCTTCTAAATAAATAAGGATGTGTACAGATATATAGATGTAAAGATGGTTATTGTAATTTCTTTAGGATAATCAAATCATGGTACATCTGAACTGAATCATCCTGCATTCATTAAAACAGCAGTGCTGGGATTTCATCATTTATATAAATATGGAAAATTCATTTAAGTACTAAGCAGGTTGCAGAGCAGCAAAGATGTCATTATTTTTACTTTTGAGCAAGTGAAGATGGAGAGACAGACCCACAGTCAGAAGCACATATTTCCAGGTATCCGTAATTTTGTAATTTTCATTTTCCTTTTACCTATATTTCATAATTATTCTGTATGTAACGTGGGTTATTTGCATCATCAAAATGCCTTTCAAAATAATGTGTAAAAACAGTATTAATTGCCTTTTTAAAAAATTATTATTATACTTTAAGTTTTAGGGTACATGTGCACAATGTGCAGGTTAGTTACATATGTATACATGTGCCATGCTGGTGTGCTGCACCCATTAACTCGTCATTTAGCATTAGGTATATCTCCTAATGCTATCCCTCCCCCCTCCCCCGACCCCACAACAGTCCCCAGAGTGTGATGTTCCCCTTCCTGTGTCCATGTGTTCTCATTGTTCAATTCCCATCTATGAGTGAGAACATGTGGTGTTTGTTTTTTTGTCCTTGCGATAGTTTACTGAGAATGATGATTTCCAGTTTCATCCATGTCCCTACAAGGGACAAGAACTTATCATTTTTTATGGCTGCATAGTATTCCATGGTGTATATGTGCCACATTTTCTTAATCCAGTCTATCATTGTTGGACATTTGGGTTGGTTCCAAGTCTTTGCTATTGTGAATAAAAAATATGGAACGCTTCACGAATTTGCGTGTCATCCTTGCTCAGGGGCCATGCTAATCTTCTCTGTATCGTTCCAATTTTAGTATATGTGCTGCCGAAGCGAGCACTAATTGCCTTTTTTTTCTTGGACTGAGTTTGCTAACATCTGTGACATAAGGTTAAAGATGCACCATTTAGTGTCATTTTGCCCCCAACTCACTCTGTGACAACTTTTGGTGCCATGAATTTCCAGAGGGTGGGATGCACGTCTTGCTAACTGCAGCATCACCCCAACAGAGCAGCTCATGGTTATTGGCCTGAAATGGGAATTTTGATTAGGAACTAAGGAAAGGGCATCTCATTTCCTAGCTGTGAGCTTCTGGACAGTGGGGCTGTGTCTTTTGTCATCTTTGGGCTCCTGTTCTCCTTTCCACTGAAACATGGGCCAGTGGCTACCTGGTAGCAGTCACTCAGAAGTGTGATCCAGATCTCATTGTGGGTGGGGAGATCGAGGCACATAAAGATGAAGTGGCCTGTCCCCAGGCGCATAGCACCTGCCCCTGCTCCACTCACAGATACTGGGCGTTCTGTGCTAACAGGGGCACCTTCTGGGCAAGAGGATGAGGGGAGCACTGAACACCTCTCTCGAGAAATTTTTTTTCTTCTGTCACACATGCATACAAACAACAACCGATGAGCTTGTGGTTTGTCTTCAAGGTTCAGGAAGACTCAACTTTTCCAGCAGAAAGGACAATGATGCCTCAACAGAGCCGGATGACTCTCGATGGCCATGCCACTTAACAAAGCGTGGCCACCCACTTGTTCACCTGCAGCCTGAGGAAAGGAACAGCTGCAACACCTGCCAGGGACTTAGGGGATGAAGCCCTGGAGGCTGATCAGATATCCTCCTCTGGAGGTGGAGCCACATGGCTAATACGCCACTGGACACAGATGTGTGCAGTTTTGTGTTTGCTGTGGGCTGTGATGCAAATCGCATTTTGTAGTCCCCATCTTTGGAGATGCTCCAGACAGTCCCTCGGAGAAAGACAGAAATGGATCCCTTTGTTCTTTCTGTTCTTTCCAGGCAACCTGCCTCTGAGGGGAAGAGGGCCCAGACATAGGATGCTGGTAAGCAACTACTGTAATTGTCAGCGTAAGGGGCTGGAACTCAGGTTCCATCCTGCACACTTGCACAAGCCCACCAGTGGGATCAAAGATGAAGGGTGGCAGCGATTGGAGAGGTCAGGATAAGAAGATTCAAGATGCCAGAAATCTGCAACATGAGATACAGCCCAGGCTCTGGGCTCGTTCCTCCAGGGCTGCGTCGCTGCGTAGCTGATGTGGCCTGTGAGCTGGGCCTCAAAGGACATTGCATTTAAAGCAGAGGAGAGGAGGAAATTTTTGGGAGATAAGATGGGATTTACAGAGACACCAAAAGAGCAAAAGAAAATAATTCCTGATGGTCTGAGCACATAGAGAGTCACCGTGGAGGAGACTGGACATTGGTACATATCCTACAATGCCTGCCCCATGGCTCTGGCCTCATGCCATGCCATGCAACATGGCACCTGGCATCTCAGTCAACAGATGTCCCAGATCTCAGTCGTTGGCATTTATTACCAAATTATTCTGCCATCTTATATTCAAGTCCTTCCAAAGCCTTTCTTGTTGTGGGAGGGGGAGAATCTTATTTTTTAAATTTTATTTTAGTTATTTTATGTATATAAGTTGTACATCATGATGGATTTTTTAAATACATTTAATTGTGTATGTTTAAGGTAAGCATCATGATGTTTATATATATATATATATGTGTGTATATATATATATATATATATATATATATATATAGTAAATTGGTTAATATAGTGAAGCAAATTAATGTACCCATGTTTTGTGTGTGGGGCTGAAGTATCTACAATCAACTCATTTAGCAAAAATCCTGAATACAAGACACTGTTAGTATTGGCGGTCCTCATGCTTTACATTAGATCTCTAGACTTGTCCACCCTCCTTATCTGCGACTTTGTAACCCTTGACCTACTTCTCTGCAATTCCTTCCTGCCACACTGCCCCTGGTAACCACGGTGTAATTCTCTATTTCTGTATATTTGAATTTGTTTAAAAGATTTTACATATGAGTGAGATTATGCAATATTTTTCCTTCTGCATCTGACATATTTACTTAGCATAATGTCTTGCAATTCCATCCATGTTGTGGCAAATGGCAGGATCTCCTTTTTTGAGGCTGAAGGATATTCCTTTGTACATATATATCACAGTTTCTTTACCCATTTGCCTGCCAATGAACATTTAGGTTGTTTCTTATCTTAGATATTGAGAATAATGCTGGAATGGACATGACAGTGAAGATATCTCCCTGAGTGCTGATTTCCTTTCCTTTGGATGCATACCCAGAGGAGGAATTGCTACATCTTATGGTACTTCTAACTTTAATTTCTTTAGGAAGCTCCACTTGCTGGTGTCAGGTGATAACGCATAATGGTTTTGATTTGCATTTCCCTGAGGATTAGTGACATTGAGCATCTTTTCATTAACCTGTGGGTCATTTTGATGTCTTCTTTGGATAAATAACTATTCAGATAATTTGCCCATTTTTTAATTGGGTTATATGTTTTTTGCTATTGAGCTGTGTGAACATTTTATAAATTTTGGATATTAAACCTTATCAAATATATGTTTTGCAATTATTTTTCCAATCTATAGGTTACTTTTTCATTTTGTTGATTGTTTTCTTTGCTGTGCAGAAGCTTTTCAGTTTGACATATTCCCATTTATTTATTTTTGCTTTTGTAGCCTTTTGGTGTGATATTCAAAAATTATTGCCAAGGGCAATGTCAAGGACCTGTTCTCCTATGTTTTCTCCTTGGAGTTTTATGGTTTCAGATTTTACATTTAGGTCTTGTATCCATTTTGAGTTGATTTTTGTGTATGGTACAAGGGCCCAGTTTTATTCTTTTGCGCATGCAAATCCAGTTTCCCCAGCATCATTTATTGAAGAGATTATCCTTTTCCCATTTTGTCTTCTTGGTGCCTTTGTCAAAAATTAGTTTACTGTATATATATATATAGATTTATTTTGGGGCTCTCTCTTTTGTTCCACTGGTCTGTGGTCTGATTTTATGCCAGTATCATAGTGTTTTGATTGTTATAGCTTTGCAATCTAATTTAACTCAGGAAGTGTGATAACTCCAATGTCATTTTCTCTTCTCAAAATTACTTTTATTATTTAGTTTTTTTATGGTTCCATACAAATTTCAGGATTTTTTAAATTTCTGTGAAGAATGCCATCGGGATTTTGATAAGGATGCCATTGAATCTGCATATTCCTTTGGGTAATATGGACATTTTAACAACATCAAGTTTTCAGATCCATGAATATGGGTTATCTTTCCACGTATTTGTGTCTTCTATTAATTTTATCAATGGTTTATAATTTTCAGTGTACATGTCTTTTACTTCCATGGTTAAACTTATTCCTAACTGTATTTTTGATGCTTTCATAAATACAATCGTTTCCTTGATTTCTTTTTCACGTAGGTTGTTATTTGTGCACATAAATGCAACTGATTTTGTATCCTTTAACTTTACGAAGTTTGTTTTTTAGTTCTAACATTTTTTTTTTTTTGGTGGAGTCTTTGGGGTTTACTAAATATGGGATCATGCCATCCATAGAGATAATCTGAGTTTTTTCTTTCTGATTTAAATGCCTTTTATTTCTTTTTCTTGTCTAATTGCTCTTGCTAGTATTTCCAGTACCACGCTGAATAGAAGCAGCAAGAGTGGGCATCCTTGCCTTGTACCAGATCTTAGCGGAAAAGCTTTAATTTTTTTCCCATTGACTATGATGTTAACTGTGGCTTTTTCATAGCCTTTTTTATGATGACAAACTTTCCATTTATACCTAAACTGTTGAGAGTTTAAATCAAGAAACAATGTTGAACTTCGTTGAATGCTTTTTCTGCATCAATTGAGATGATCATGTGATTTTTATCTTTCAGTCTGTTAATGTATCACATTGATTAATTAGTATATGTTAAATGAGGGTCCATGTCAGTGATAAATTTCACTTGATCATGATGTATAATATTGTGATGTGTTGTTGAATTTGGTTTGCTAATATTTTATTGTGTTTTTTTCATCAATATTTTCAGCGATATTGGCCTGTAGTTTTCTTTTCTTACAGTATCTGTCTGGCTTAGGTATCAGGGTGATCCTGCACTCATAGAATGTGTTAGGAAGTATTCCCTCTAGGTCTATTTTTTGGAAGAATTTAGGAAATGTTGGTATTAATTTGTCATTGAATGTTTGAAGGAATTTAGTTGCAAAACCATTTGATTCTGGGCTTTTTGTTGTTGTCGTACTTGTTATGAAATTTTTAATTACTACTCTGATCTTTTTATTTGTTATTGATCTGTGTAGGCTTTTTATTTCTTCCTGATTCAATTTTGGTAGGTTAAATTTTTCTTGGAGTTTGTCTGTTTCCCTTAGGGTATCCAATTTGTTGGCATAATATTGTTCACAATAGTCCTTTATGATCCTTTTTATTTCTGAGGCATCTGTTGTAATGTCCTTCCTTTTATTTCTGGTTTTATTTATTTGAGGCTTTTCTCTTTTTTTTTTTTTTTAAGTTTACCTCCGGGTCTGTCGATTTTGTTTGTTTGTTTTTAAACTAACTCTTAGTTTTATTGATTTCTTCTATGGTTTTTTATTCTATTTTGATTTATTTCTGTTCTGATATTTGTTATTCCCTTCCTTCTTGTAACTTTGGGCTTGCTTTGTTCATTTTTTAGCTCCTTGAGGTGTAATGTTAGGCTATTTATTTGGGGCCATCTTCTCTTTTAATGTAGGTATCTATTGATCAGTACTCTTAAGAATCTTAACTTTGGTGGTGCATACATGAACTTAACATGGGTGGTAAATTTATCTAGAACTAAACGCGCCTAAATACATACACAGACACACAGATAAGTATAAGTAACACTGGAGAAATCTGAACAAAATCAGTGAATTGTATCCATGTCAATATTCTGGTGTGATATACTAAAATGGTTATTGCTGGGGGAAGGTGAGTTAAATGTACCTAGGATTTCCCTGTATTATTGTTTGCAACTGCATATAAATCAACAGTTATCTCAATAATAAGTTCAATTAAAAAACCAAAATTTTATGCATATATCAATATGACATGCTTAAAAGAAGACTTGTAAATTTGCCTTTGCAGAAGGAGGGAAAGGTCGTGAGTGATTCCCACTTCTCTTGGAAAGGCCCATAGTTAGCCCATATTCTCTGAGCCCACATGCAGTGTGCTATTCACATCCCAATAATGCCGATTGATAAATGACACACAGTTTTTATACTTTTTACTCGAGACTTTTACAAGGATAAGCTTAGCTGAATTGTACAATAACATTGTAAATTAAGCTATTTGAACTTTATTTTACAAGAAAGCAAAAGTGTTGCAAAATGCCTTGCTAAATGCCCACAGATGGTGAATGATAAGGAGTTAAACATAGCTGTTTGCTCCAAGTCCAGAGCTCCAAGCTGCTTGTACTGTCTCAGCCCCATTCTTTTTTTTTTTTTTTTTTTTTTTTTTTGAGACAGAGTCTTGCTCTGTCACCCAGGCTGGGGTACAGTGGTGCAATCTTGGCTCACTGCAACCTCCATCTCCCGGGTTCGAAAAATTCTCCTGTCTCAGCCTCCTGAGTAGCTGGGATTACAGGCATGTCCACCATGCCTGGCTAATTTTTGTATTTTTAGTAGAGAGAGGGTTTCACCATGTTGGGCAGGCTGGTCTCAAACTCCTGACCTCATGATCTGTCCTCCTTGGCCTCACAAAGTGCTGGGCCACACCCAGCCCAGCCCCATTCTTAACAAGAGATCCTATTGCCCAGATTCAAAGGCTCTGTGGGAAACAAGGATACCATTTACAGTACTGGTGAGAATACAGAACGTTTCTCTTTCTTAAGCCTTGTATAGTCACCACCCCCACATTCATGCCTGCCGCCAGCCTTGGTTGTTGATAATGCCATGAACACTAGGCTCAGGCCATAGAGCTGTGCGGGCTCTAAGCAATGCCCACTCCTGAGATGGGGCTTATCAGCTGCAGAGACCTCCTTGTCCGGGTTTGGAAAATTCCAAGGGTCAGAGTGCAACTGAACTTTTTCTTTTGCAATTTGCACCTGTGGGTCCTAGTGCTACCTCTGGAGTTAGCACTTCTTTCGTATGCCAGTTCTCCCAGGGTCTGCTGGCAGTGTGCTGGAAGTGGCTGGTGCTGCGGGGCAGCTGTGGGCAGAGGACCAGGGGAGCCACTCCTCCTGGTACACTGGGAGATGGAGGTGACAGCCTGAGCTATATGGGTTCCCTTAGCAGCTGACACATTCTCATCTCAACCCAACAAGGATGAAAGATCTACCTTTGGGGAAAGGTGATGGAATCATAGCAATGATGTTCTAGGAATCCAGTTTCTTCATATTTGAGAAAATGACTTACATGTGCAAAAATGTCTATGCTGGAAATAATACAGCTTTATACAATATAGCACTCTGATTTGAAGAACCTTGCCCTGCATTCTCTTGTGTGAACCTGCCCACAGCCATGTGACACGAGCCAGGCAGCACTCTTGCATTTAGAACTTGGCAGAGATAAAAATGAGGCTCCACACCTAATGCTTTCCTTCAGTACTGGATTCAGCCGCTTCACTTATTTTTTTCTGCCAAAACACCACTGTATTTTCAGCCTCCCAGGTACGGGGACGAATTTAAGGCTGCCTGCCCAGTAGACAGTTTAGTGTGGGGTAAATAGCACCATTCTAGCTTCATGGCTTCCCCAAGCCCATCCTGCTCTGCCCCCGGCTGGCCGCCTGTCGTTCCAGCCTCGCCCTGTTTCCCTCCGTCCCCTCTTTAGCACTTGTTCTCTTGGTCCTCATCTTTCTTCCAGGAGGGCATGTCCTGGGTCCCTGTGCCTAGGATCTGTTTCCCTTTCCTGCACTGCCCTTTCTCCTGGCTCTTCTTTTCCGTCGCCCTCCCCCTCCTACCAGCTTGCTCCTTGCCTTAGACACAGACATTGACAGGTCCAGCGAAGAGCGCCTTTGCTGCAGCCCAGTGTGTCCAGATCTTCCCGCACCTGTGCCGCCTGGCGCTGCTGAGGCAGGGACTCCCGTCTCCCCAGGAGCTACCTGGAGGAGGCTCAGAATCCATCCTAAGGACTTTGATGACATATGTGCCAGATCGTGTAGAGGTGTCCAGGTATGCCCCACCATGTGGACCGTAACACAGACACGCGGGATGGATGGACGCGTCCCCCCTTGGAAGTGTCCAGAGAGTGCCAAGGGCAGGCTCTCCATCCTCGCTGGGAGCATAGCCAGCGCCACACACAGAGGCCAGGTCTCAGCTCAGCTTGGGAGCGCCCGGTTCTTTTTACTACTCTGTCTGCCTCCCTTTCTGAGTGTAACAGTTCCTCTCCTTCCTTCTTCACCTCTTCCAATCTGTCCCAAACACCAACTTCCCCAGGGATTCACGTCCCAAATCCTTAACCACCACATGGGACAAGCATCAACCCCGACACGAATCAAGCAGAATCCGTACCAACCAGGACCCCAGAGGTCCCTTCAGGACCTCAGGGAGTAGGGCTGGGTCGGGGGTGTCTTGAGGAAAGCCAGGGTGACCCGAGGCCCTGGGGGAATCTCAGTCTTGTAAAAAAGCGGCTTGGCCACAGCTGTGGTTACCACTCATCTCTCATGAGCGCTCTCATCATGCCTCCCTACTTTCCTCCTTCCGCGAGTCTGCAGGAAGGGTTTTCTAGGCCCCTTTGCCCATTTCCCATCCACTCGGCCTCAGCACAGCCCGTAGCGGCCACCAGAGGGCGCCCCTCTCCTGCAGCTCCGCATCCCCGCACAGCTGAAGTCCAGCCAAGCCCTGGCCTTGGAAGACCCTTCTGCTTTCTAACCTGACAGAGGCGCGTGGAGGTGGGGGGGCCCTCAGAGCTGCAGAATGGACAAAAACTCAAAAAGGGTGTGAATTTCGCCATGAGGTCCGGGTTCCTGGGGCTTCGCTGTTGTTCTGTTTATTTTACCCGAACCCTCCTATACCATCTGTATGAGAAAATATTCTCAAATATTGAATCATGTAGGACTTTTTTTTTCTTTTAAAGGATTTGATATGTTAATGGGTTAATTTGGGCAGAGATACCTCCATCTCCAATCCCCTTCTGTCAATAACAGCTCTAGTTACCATGAGAACTTTTGGGCTTTTCTTAAACAGCCCATTCTCCTGTTCAATCTTTTTGGTAATCAGAATAGCCTCCAAAGGGCATTCTTTTAAAATCCCATAAGATCCTTCATCACTTTTGTCACCATAGAAATAATAAACACATAAATAACCCTCCAAAGGCAAAAAATTTATCAAAAATGAGATATCAGAAATATAAAAATTCAGTGGCTCTTGGTCAGCTGGTGCTGGAAGACCCGTGGCTTACAGAAGAGAGAAGGGACCTCTGAAGTTCTGCACAGTTGTTGAAAAGCCAGATGCAAAATCTGTACCTAAGACTGGTGCGTGAGAGACTCACGTTCCTCCATTTCGAATCTGGTTAACTTGCTATGATTGAGAAGCTCGCTCACAAATCCTCACCCTCTCATTCCTATCCTTTCTGGATTGAGTGAAAGATTTTCAGGTTGTGAAGGCTGAAGAAAATGGCTGCTGACTTCACAACCTGTTTCAGCCAAATTGCAAAGCCCCAAAGGGTCAGTAAAATTCTTGCTGGGCTTCATCAGACATTACATTTCATAGGGGCACGGGAGGAGTGTGCTCTTCTGTCTAATGAAATGTGGGCCTTCAGCCTCACTTCCACTGTGATTCTTGAAAAACATTTATTTCCTCACTAACGGTTCAGTGTTCAGCAACCTGGGAGGTTTGCCCTAGTACTATTCTACAAGGTCACAGGTATACTTTGCAAGGTTCTGCCTCTCTTTCTCTCGGAGAGCTTATTCTCTCTTGTGGCCTAAACCTCACCTCTGTCTGCACATGACACTCAAATCAGTTTTTTTCTGCTTTATGCTTGTGTCTCCAGAGCTGTTTCAATGACTGTATTCGGAGTCTCTGCTTGCAGCGTGCTCTGCATGAGAACAGGCACCAAGCCTGCCTGTAATTGGAAGATCTGCCTGAATTTCCATAGTGAAGGTCTACACTGCCTCCCAGCCCATTCATTCCCTTCATCATTTCATTCCAGTAGTTTTCTAAAGTGTGGCCACTATGTTGTTGATTATGGCAACCCAGCATCCACACAGGACAACAGGGGGCCCAGGGCCAGTCCTGGCTGCTGCTTATATTTTGGCCCCAGGGATCCATCTGATTTTGTCATTGAAGTGCTGGCACATCCATCCCCACTGATGTTTGTCAAATGATTTCCCAGCTCAGATTGGAATCTCAAAGGTAATTTTCACAAAATTGGAAATAGCTCCTCTGATATGTCCCTGAAAACAGTTTTTGTTGCCCATATGGAGGATGTGACAGGACATCACTAGGAAGATGGACAGACTCAGCCTGCAACATCCCCTTTCCACTGCCAAAGTTGTTAGCAATCCAGACAGACTGTCACCTTGAGGCTCAAAGATCATCTTACCCCCAAACACTCTGACGACCTCTCTCCCTGTGTGCCTTGATGCAGGTACTGAGTCTTGCAGCAGAGCAGTGCCAGGCCCTGTGCTGAGGCCTGCCTGCCAGCAGGATTCGCTCCTTCCAGTAACAGGCACTGATTGAGTCCTCCCTGTATCACAGGCATCGGGGAGGAGTGGCAGGTCCAGCTGTCTGTGAGCCAGACACCGTCTCTCTGTCTTCAGCCCAGCTGGATATGGAGAACATTCAACAAATAATTGCACATGTAGTTAATAATTACATTTGTGATAAATACCAGCAAGGAGAAGGATGTGTTGTCATAGAATATGCAACAAGATGGTCTCTGGGACTGGATGGGGGTGGAGAATCAAGAAGTGTATCTTGATGGATGGGCTCAGAGGGGCTTGCAGAAGAGGGACACCAGTGTTCAGGGTCATTTGGTGGCAACGCAGGATTGGCTGGAGCTGCGGTGCTCGTGTTCACCTTGCCAGCTACCATTTCACATCCTGCAGAGGAGGCAGGAGGCAGCCGTGGAGATGGTTTTTCACAAGACAGCAAGGAGATTAAGATGGTGGAGAGGAGGACTAGCTTAATGCTCCCACTTGGACGGACAGAGCAGTGTGTGGAGACTCACATTGTGAACTTCTGCTCCAAGAAGTACCACAGGAATCTACCAAGAAAGTCAAGAGAATCCACAGACCCTTTGAAGGAACTGGATCCCTGCTACAGGCTCCCTGAGATGCCAAAAAACTATGAGTCTGCTTATTTTCTCAGTGGGGAGGCTGGTGGTCTGGGGCAAGTTCTCAGCCCTGGTCACCAGCTGCCTGGAAGTAGACTCAGTGCTGTTGCCGGGGCACAGTGGAAGTAATACTGGCCTCTAGGACTGCCGGCTGCATGGGAGTGGGGTGAGGCCTATGATTGCCGGTTTTCCCCCACTTCCCTGGCAACCTGTGTAATGCAGCAGAGACAGCCATAATCTCCCTGGAAATATAACTCCGTTGGCCTGGGGGCCACACCCCCACAGCAGCCACAGCAAGCCCTGCCCCAGGAAAGTCTGAGCTCAGACATGCCTATCCCTGTCCCCACCTGGTAGTCTTTCTCTACCCTCCCTGGTAGCTGAAGAAAAAGGCCATAGTCTCTTGGGAGCTCTGTGGCCCTGCCCAACACCTGAGAAACCTGAATGCTTAACCAGGTGACCCTAGGCCAAGTTTGCATCCTCCCTCATGCACCTCATGCACCTCATGCACTCTTGAAAGCACCACCTCCTGGCTGGAGGCCAACCAACACAAAATCAGCACAAAGCCAGCACACTAAACAAAAATACAACTAAGGACCCTCACAGAGTCCACGTCACTCCCCTGTTGCCTCCACCAGAGCAGGTGTTGGTATCCACAGCTGAAGACCTGAAGACAGATCACATCATAGGACTCTTTGCAGACACTCTCCAGTACCAGCCTGAGCCTGGTAGCTCTGCTGAGTGGCAAAAAATAATCACAGCGGTTTGGCTCTCAGGAAGTCCCATCCCTACGGGAAGGAGGAGAAAACCACATAAAGGGAGCACCCTGTGGGAAAAAAGAATCTGAACAGCAGCCCTTGAGTCCCAGATCTTCCCTCTGACATAGTCTACCCAAATGAGAAGGAACCAGGAAAACAATTCGGGTAATATGACAAAACAGGCTTCTCTAACACCCCCAAAAAATCACACCAGTTTAACAGCAATGGATATAAACCAAGATGAAATCACTGAATTGGCAGACAAAGAATCAGAAAGTTGATTATTAAACTATCAAGGAGACACCAGAGAAAGGTGAAGTCCAACTTAAAGAAATCAAAAACATGATATAGGACATAAAGGGAAAAATCTTCAGTGAAATAGATAGCATAAATAAAAAACAATCACAACTTCTGGAAATCAAGGACACACTTATAGAAATGCAAAATCCACTGGAAAGTCTCAGCAATAGAACTGAACAAGCAGAAGAAAGAACTTCAGAGCTCGAAGACGAGGTTTTCGAATTAACCCCATCCACCAAAGACAAAGAATAAAGAATTTTAAAAAATGAACAAAGCTGCCAGGAAGTTTGGGACTATGTTAAGTGTCCAAACCTAAGAATAATTGGTGTACCCGAGGAAGAAGAGAAATCTAAAAGTCTGTAAAATATATTTGAGGGAATAATTGAGAAAAACTTTCATGGCCTTGCTAGAGATCTAGACATCCAAATACAAGAAGCTCAAAGAACACCTGGGCAATTCATCACAAAAATATCATCACCTAGACGCATAGTCATCAGGTTATCAAAAGTCAAGATAAAGGAAAGAATCTCAAGAGCTGTGAGGCAAAAGCATTAGGTAACCTATAAAGGAAAACCTATCAGATTAACAGCAGATTTCTCAGCAAAAACCCTGCAAGCTAGAAGGGATAGGAGTCCTATTTTTAGCCTCCTTGAACAAAACAATTATCAGCCAAGAATTTTGTATCCGGCGAAACTAAGCTTCAGAAATGAAGAAAAGATAAAGTCTTTTTCAGACGAACAAATGCTGAGAGAATCTACCACTACCAAGCTGGCACTACAAGAACTGCTAAAAGGAGCTCTAAATCTTGAAACACATCCTCAAAATACACCAAAATAGAACCCCCTTAAAGCATAAATTTCACAGGACCTGTATATCAATAGCACAATGAAAAAAACAACAAAGTATTCAAGTAACAAATAGCGTGATGAATAGAATACTACCTTACTTCTCAATACTAACGTTGAATGTAAATGGCCTAAATGCTCCACTTAAAAGATACAGAATGGGGCCGGGTGCGGTGGCTCATGCCTGTAATCCCAGCACTTTAGGAGGCCGAGGCGGGCGGATCATGAGGTCAGGAGATCGAGACCATCCTGGCTAACACGGTGAAACCCCATCTCTACTAAAAATACAAAAAAATAGAAAAAAATTAGCCGGGCGTGTTGTTGGGCGCCCTCAGCCTGTGAGAGGCTGAGGCAGGAGAACGGTGTGAACCCAGGAGGCGGAGGTTGCACTGAGCCGAGATCATGCCACTGCACTCCAGCTTGGGCGACAGAGCGAGACTCTGTCTCAAAAAAAAAAAAAAAAAAAAGATACAGAATGGGCCCAGTGCAGTGGCTCATGCCTGTAATCCCAGCACTTTGGGAGGCCAAGACAGGTGTATCACCTGAGGTCAGGAGTTCGAGAACAGCCTGGCCAACATGGTGAAAACCCAAATACAAAAAAATTAGCTGGTCATGTGGGTGCATGCCTGTAATCTCAGCTACTCAGGAGACTGAGGTGGGAGAATTACTGGAACCCAGGATGGAGATTACAGTGAGCTGAGATCATGCCACTGCACCCCAGCCTGGGTGACAGAGTGAGACACCATCTCAAAACAAACAAACAAACAAAAAGGAATGGCAGAATGGATACAAATTTACCAACCAAGTTTCTGCTGTCTTCAGGAGACTCAGCTAACACATAAGCACTCACATAAACTTAAGGTAAAGGGGTGGAAAAAGATATTCCGTGCAAATAGAGACCAAAAGTGAGTAGGAGTAACTATTTTTATATCAGACAAAACAAACATTAAAGCAACAGCAGTTAAAAAAGACAGAAGGCAGTTTGTGGGGAAGAGGGGGCTTAGGGAGCACATAGCACTGGGCAGACCTGGTGGGGGCAGGAGGGCTGGAGAGTGAGGCTTGGAAGTTTCCTAATTCCATGGGCCAGGGTCCTGCCAGTGTTTATCTCTACCTTTCAAAATCTGTACTATCATTGGAGTCAAATGTACATTTGCACACAAAAACTAAACAAAGAAATGAAAACAAAAGTCTGCCCCATGTCAAACCAACATCTGGGATGCCTGCTCAAAGCCAGCTCTTGTTTCTGTTTCTTCTTCTGTTCCTCTGGAGGATCTTCTATCCCTCATTTCTTGATTTAGATACTTTCTATTATTCCTTGCCTCTTCTCTCTTTCCACTCCCTCTCAATTTTTCTTAGTTATGGTCTGATTTTTACTTCTTTTGCCTTTAAAACTTTTTATGAGTTGTGTGAGCATATTTTTCTGGTTGCACCAATTTGACAGTCTCTCTTGTCTCCCTTTTATCTGAGATGAGGAAATATTTTTCCCTGTGCTTCCCTTCTGCTAGTTTCCGGAGCTGTACCTGACTTTCACATTTATGACGTTTTAACTCTTACACTCCTATTCCTTAATCCCAAGTCTCCTGGGCTTGCTCTAGATGTTGACTGAAAACTAAGAAGCAGCCTTCACAATATTAGGAGGATTGTCACTGCAAACAGGAGTGTAGTGCACTTGGCTGCAGATAGAAGGACCTGGGATTCCCAGACTGATACATCTAAGAAGCACATACTAAAATTCAAAGTCAAGTCAAATGAAGTCTCAAACACTTTTGTAGCCTATCTAAAGGTATAAAGCAGGGATTCGCAAATATTTTCTGTACAGAATCAAATAGCAGATATTTAGGCTTTGGGGCCATAGGGTGTCTGTCACAGCCACTACCCTCTGCTGTTGCAGAGTGGAAGCAGCCATAGAAACTGCAGGATAAAATAAGTGTCATGAGTTCCAACAAAACTGATTTACAAAAAGAGGCCACTGCCAAACCCTGGTCCAATGCAGAGGATCAAAAACCCCTGGAGGGCTTGCTGAAGGCAGATTGCTGGGTGCCATCCACAGTTCCTGATTCAGCAGGTCTGGGGTGGCCTAAGGATGTGTATTTCTAACAAGTTTCCAGGAGGTGTCCATGCTGCTAGCCCATGGCATGTGCTTGTTGCTTGGCACTAAAGCATGACTCTCTTCTACATATTTGTGAGTTTCCTAGAATTCCCAACATTTTCCCTTTGTTTTAAACTTGTCCTCTGACTTATCACCAAGATTTTCCACCATCGTGATGCTTTTGCTTTCACAAGTCTGCTTTCTTCTTAAACGTTTCTCCCTAGCAACATTTGCACCTGCACTCCCCTGACCTTGCACTGTGGTAGACCAGTTGCTCTCTAAGTCTGCTGCTCAGTTGTCATCTGAGATAGTCCTTTATTGTCTTGAGGATGGGGCTATGTCTCCTTTTGTCTAGGATTTTTATTGGTTTTACTGCAGAATATCATCAAGGATTTATCTTTTTCACTGAAGATGCATAAAGGGTAAACATTCTGAGGCCTAGGATGACTGAAAATGTGTTTATTTGGCATCGACACTCAGTATAATTTTTTTTTACCAGGTGTAGAATTCTAAGTTGAAAATAATTTCCTCTGTGGACTTTGAAGTTACTGCCTCATTGTATTCCAGTGTTACTAATGAGAAATCTGATGCGAGTTTGACTGTGATTTCTTTACAGATGCCCTGTTTTGTTCCTTCTCTTCTGAAACATCACAATGATGCATTTAGGGGTGGGTGATTTTTTTATATCTCCTGATCAACCGTCGGTGACTTTTTAAGTCGAGATGCACGCAGCACCTCCTCATAGCTCTGGAAAATGTTCTCCTAATAGGCTATTCTTTGATCATTTCATTTTTATCAGTTTCTGTATTTTCTCTTTATGTAACTCTTTGGACTTCCTGGATTTAAATGCTCTTATTAAACTTTTTTTCTCATATCTCTCTTCATGTTTTCTCTTTTTATGTACATGCTGACAGTTGTCCTTCAAGTTTTCTTTCAGACATCGTATCTTTATTGTAATGATTATATTTCTAATATTTAAGAATATTTTATTTTCTGATTTCCTCTTTTTCATTGACATATGCCCTTGTTTAATGGGTGCAATATTGTCCAGCTTCTCTTTAAGATACAAGTTAGAATATTTTAAAAGTGTACTACATTTGATGAATTTTTGAATTTTTGCCATCTTTCTCCTGAGTCAATTATTCTGTTTATGCATCTTGGCCTATTATGAATAGAATGTTTGTGTCTCCCCCAGATCCACAGGTTTAAGCCATAATGCCCGGTGTGGCTATATTTGGAGGTGGGGGAGGGGGTCTATAAAGAACTAAAGTTAATAAGATCTTAAGGGTGGGGCTTTGATCCGAAGGGATTTGTGTTCTTATAAGAAGATACACCCCAGTGCTCTCTCACAGCATCTCTCTGTCTCTTTTCATGCAAGCCCCAAGGAAAGACCATGTGAAGACACATGGAGAAGGTGGCTGTCTGCAAGCCAGGAAAAGAGCCCTCACCAGGAACATGTTGAGAGAAGCAGTCACACAAACGTAGTCTTTTGACCTCTGTACAGTTGCATAGGAGTGTGCCTTGGGTTAGGAACATTTTCTTACAAAGAGATAAAGAGCTTTCACAGCCTGCGCTGTCCATTACCCTTTATGGGGAACCTCTTTCTCTGTTCTGGACTGGAGGCGTACTTCTTCGTTCTACTAAAGCATGTGCATCATATGGCACCTGAACGACCCCACTGCTGGGAACAGGGGCCTTTGTCTATAGCATGAGTGTGTGGAACATCTCCCTGTGCTGGCTGTGGGGTGAGACCCACTGGCCATGAGGGATCAACAGTCGAAACTGAAGCTGCTCTTGCTCTGTGTCTTCTCTATGTGCATAAAGCGTTGTTCCATCCAGTGCCTGCATGAGTCGTGCCTGAAAATCATGTGGTGGGTTGACGTCTTGGGATTACTGCTCCTGGAGGCAGGCATTGTTATGCTTTCTGTTCTCCACTGTTTAGTGGGACTCTGCTGCTGGAGGTGGTCACAGGTGTCACTTGCTTGACTTGGACTTCCAGCCTCCAGAAACTTAATCTTGAACTTGCATCCTCCATCACTGTGAGAAAAAATTTCTGTTGTTTGAAGCACTCAATCTATGACATTTTGTGATGTCAACCTGAGCAGACTAAGACATGACCCCTCTTTTGTATGTAATTAGGTTTATTTAATATTGAATGGACTTTGTTGATCCTCAGGTTTATTCCCCTACCCCTGGATGACAGACTGCAGACTGCTGCCCCCATACAAACATGAGGGTAGCTTTATTTGTAAGAGCTGACATCCACATAGGGAGCCCTAACACTCCCTCTGCAGTCCAGTGACAATTATGTTGACTGTCAGTGAATGTCCAAGTCAGTGTGTGTTCAAGGGGCAGCCAGCTGACATTTGCCTGCAATGTGGATGTGGCAGCACATCCTGCCAGTGTGGCAGAGGGGGGACCCTGGCCTCAGCATGGGAATGTTCCCTGGAAGGCTCAGTCCTTTCATCATTCAGGTTATCATGGCGTCATCATTCGTGTAATGTACTGTGAGGCCATGTGGCCCTCACTCATATATACCTGACATGTGACACAAATTCACTGTTTGTTTTATTATAGAATTTTTTTCACTTAATACAAAGTGGAAAACTTATAGAAAGCACAAGCATATTTCTGTGTGTTCTCAGTGTCTTTGGGCCATAGTTTCTGCAGAATATCTTGGAATTGGTTCACTTGGAGCATAATGCCAGAGCAGCATTTTCCTAACAGATATCTCAGGGTTGGTGAGGCACCTCCCCTTGTCAGAGAAAGAGCACTGGACACTGTTAGAGGCAGCAAGACAGATTTCACTCAGACTACTGCAGTAGGGCAGAGAGGCTCCAGTATGAATCAGTTTAATTCCAAATAAGACAAAGGTGACTGGGGTTTTCAAAGGGAGATCTGATAGGGCACACAACGAGATTATGGGAAGTAAAAAAAGGGGGACCAGAAAAGAGACTGGGGGCTATAAGTAGGAAGCTACAGAGTGGAGTTGCAGAGGATTACTGAAAATGGTTTGGCCTTGTGGGTTGGGACAATTTACATCTGGCAGTTCAGGAGCATTGCATTTTCTTGAGCAGAGACTCACACAAGAGCTGTGTCACTTTTAGGCACATGACTAGTGCAGGTAGAAGCCAGGCTGAAGTGTGGCCAAGGATCTCAGCACTGCATGTGGGCAAGTCCTTTGGGTCATTGGGAAGTTCACAGTTCACACCCCAACCCAAATAAAACATTTGGAAACAAAAACATTTGGAAATCACGCAAGGTCTATCTTCCCACTTTCCCACCTGTGGACATATAGGAAGTTTTGCATGAAAGAAACTTTGTTTTCTGTCATGCAACATTTCTCAAACATTCTTGGTATCCTACACGAAATCTATTTATATCCAACATAACTAATGTTCTGAGGAACCCACTTTATGAAACAGGATTTTGTACTGCTATTAGTGGTGAGTCACAATAAGAAGGGAAAGATACCCAAGCTCGCATTGTGAGAGGTCATACAGAGATGGGTCCAAATGGAATCAGGAGTTGAAAGGCATAGAGATGTCCCTAGAAACTGGAGGAGACCACCAAGTTGTTCTAAAGCCAGGAGAAGAATCTAACATTGGCCTGAAAGCTAAAGCCTACCTGTGGGTACAAATTGGACAAAGGATACTTTGCTGGACAGTCAGAAATTCAGCTGTGGAGCACCAGGCTGGCAGTGAGCTCTGCCCTCAGGCACGCCACATAGGCAGCACCAGGACTGAGGACATCTGAGGCTGAGAACGGATGTAAGAACCATCTTGGGTGTTGTAAGATGAATTGCATCCCCCCCAAATTCAGATGTTGAAGTTCTAACCACCCCTTTGGTGCCTCAAAATTCAGAACGTGACTGGATTTGGAGCTAGAGTGTTTAAAAAGGCAATTAAGGTTAAACGAGGTCATATGCCTGGGTCCTAATTCAATATGACTTCCGTCCTTAAGAGGAGATTAGGATGCAGTCCTGCACAAAGGGAAGAACAGGCAGAGACAAAGGAAGATAGCAGCCATCTACACATCAAAGAGACAGGCCTCAGGAGAAAGCAACTCTGCTGACACCTCGATCTTAGACTTCTAGCTTCTAGAATTGCGAGAAAATAAACTTCTGTCACTTAAACCACTCTGTCTGTGGTATTTTGTTATGGCAGCCCTAATAAACTAATACACTAGGGGCACAGAGCAGGTGGGGAAGCCAGATGCAATCGGTCAAAAGAAAAAAAAACTATTTAGTAGCCAAAGAAGACAGGTGCAAATAAGCAAGCCACGGTTAGAGTCTACAACAGTTAGCTTAACTCTGAGCCTAACCCTAGCTGGCCAAGAGACACAGACCATCATGACAAGGGACTGGGGGACTGGACTTTCCAGGAGGACTGGAACACAGGACAAAGCAGTGGGCAGGACCCAGCTCCCCTATCAGACAGGGAAGAATCAGAGACTTGTAGCCACAGGGAGCTCTTCAAAATTCATGCTGGAGCTGGAACCAATCTCAAGATATGAATTGAGTTGAGAGATGTGAGATATTTAAGATGCTGATCATAAAGTTATCATGTCTGAGCCTGGAGCAGAGAGTACCGGTGACATGAAGCAATCCCAATTGTTTTAGATGATTTAAATCTATGACAATTAGCCTTATCTCTGTGTTCATCACAACATTTGGACATGACCATGGCGAAGAAATTACTGCCAGTTGTACTTAATGGGCTCAAATTCAAGCTGAAGTTTTAAAACATGAAAATAAGAAGATTTTATTAATATATAAATTGTAATGTTTTCAAGGGAGAGTTAGCATCACAGTCCCTTTGCAAAATGTTGTCTAGGGAAGCTCAATTTAAGTGTTTCTCATTGGGCCAATGGAGACTTAACAGAAAACACATCTTGACAATAGATTTGGTCTGTTGAAATGATGACGTTTGTTGGCCAAGGACTGAGGATTCATGCTGTGCACTGCCAAGTCCTATGCTCTTCTTCAACTCTGCTACTGCCTGCTTTTCATTGTCGTCATTGGTTCTTCTTCCAGAGTACAAAGAAGAAAAGAACATAGGGCAAAAAGTGCTATTTGTGACTTTTTAGCACACATAAAGTAATTATAAGTAGGCATGAAAGCAAGGCATCCCAGAGTTTGGAAAGTTTAATAAACACACTTTAGTTAAAGTGTAGGTAAGTGGGTAAGTATGCAAAGTTAGACTTAAAAAAACAGACCGTGCAAAAACAAGACAAAATTGCATTTTAATTGATGATATTGATCTACCTGAAGAAGTAATGTGTCACTTAGAAGAAAAGAGTCCAGCGTGGATTACAAGAAGACATAATCAGAGATGCAAGTTGAAGGTCATTTAAGAAAACATGTCAGTGAAGTTCCTTCCAGGCCTGTGCTTGGGGGCCATACACATTCACTGAGTGAACTTACATATAAGACCTCTAACTAATTCCCATTGCTGTGAATCTATATGCACCACAAAACTTTCGGATTCTCATTTGACTTCCCTTAAGTCAGAATAAACTTTCAGTTTTGTGGTAGATAATTTTATTATAAAATAAAGAATTATTTTGCTTCATATATTGGTTTCCTGTCTGCTTGTTATTGTGGATTTTCTTCAGTGATGGCCCTCAGCCTCTACTGAGGCACAAACAAAACCAAGTTTTGCTATGGCAAAGGAGGTGGCGACTGTGAAATGCTCTAGTGCATGCAACTCAGGACTGCTGGGGAGGCACCGGTTTGGAGCAGGCATGCAGGCATCCCTCTGCTGGTACCCTCTCACCTGACCTAGGCCTGCAATCCAGAACAACGCTTTTGGGAAGAAAAACTGATGTCTGGAACTGATAGGGAACCTGAAGAATTTATGTGGTTTATTATTGTGTCTGTGCCTTGAACTCTTTTTAGCAAATAAAATCTAATTGAGTTTAATTGAATTGAACATGGATACATTACATAGATAACATTTTCTAAGGCTACAGCTGCCATAGATAGTGATCGCTTTGATGTATCCAGGCAAAGTAAATAAAAAGCCTTTTGGAAAGGACTCACCATTCTAGACGCCACAAAGAACATGTGTAATTCATGGGAGGAGGTCAAAATATCAACATTAACAGGAGATTGGAAGAAGTGTATTCCAACCCTAAGGATGATTTTGAGGGGTTCAAGGCTTCAGTGGGAGAAGTAACTGCAGTTGTGGTGAAAATAGCAAGAAAACTAGAATTAGAAGTGGAGAATTGCTGCATCTCTTGATAAACTTGAATGGATGAGGAGTTTCTTCTTATGAGTTACCAAAGAAAGTGATTAGTTAAGATGGAATCTACTCATGGTGAAGATACCATGAACACCATTGAAATGACTACAAAGGATTTAAAATATTACATAAATTTAGTTAGTAAAGAAGTGGCAGGGTTTGAGAGGATTGACTTCAATTCTGATTGAAGTTCTACAGTGGATAAAATGCTATTAAAGGAAACTTGCTTAAGGAAAGAGCCCAGGGAGGGATAACTTAAGCCAGCATTTGAGTTGAGGAGACAGAATTGGGACAGAGTTGGCTCAGGGGAACCAACGTAGCTAGAGTTCATGGGACAGAGTACGAGGGAAGAGACAACGAGAGAGAGAGAGGAAGAAGAAGAGGCAGAGCAAAAGGAAGAGGAAGAGAAGAGAGGAAGAGAGGAAAGAAGAGAGAGACATTGAACTCCAGATATCTGCAAAGATGTCACTTGAGTCTCCAGGTTAGTATTGATAAGTGCATGTGTATGAAAATATCCAAGACCAAAGTACAGTCTAATGAAGTAGGCATAATAATTTCCAGGGATCACATGGAACTAGGGATATTTTGTTTCTATCAGCCAGAAAGGCAAACTGTTAAAATGCATGACACATTGGGTACAGTAATCGGAAATATATTGGCTCAGTAACAGAAAAAAAAAATAGCCCTTGATTAAAGGTTTGATCTATCCCACGTAAGAAAGATTAAAAGCAAAGCTAGAAAAGATCAGATTTGTTTCTAAATAACTTATCTGCGTCCTAAAACAAAACTAAAAAATTTTTTTAAATACAGTAATGTATTAACACATACTGAAACTCAATACATACAGAGAAACGAAGATAAGAATAAGAAGTCCAAGTGCAGCGGCTCATACCTGTAATCCAAGCACTTGGGGAGGCCAAGGCAGGGGATCACTTGAGGCCACGAATTTGGGACCAGCGTGGGCAACACAGCAGAACCCTGTCTTTACAAAAAAAAAAATAATAATTTTTTTCCTTTTTGGTAGAGACAGGGTTTTACTGTGTTTTTTCGGGGGGAAGAAAAACTGATGTCTGGAACTGGCAGGGAACCTGAAGAGTTTATGTGGTTTACCATTGTGTCTGTGCCTTGGACTCTTTTTAGCAAGTAAAATCTAATTGAGTTTAATTGAATGTGTTCCCAAATAAAAGGCAGAGATTTTCAGATTGGGCAGAGAAAGTAAAACCAACATCAAAAAATTAACCTTCAGTCCCAGCTTACTCGGGAGGCTAAGGTGGGAGGATCACTTGAGCCCAGAAGTTCAAGGTTACAGTGAGCTATAATTGCACCACTGCACTGTAGCTTGGGTGACAGAGCAAGACCCCATCTCTAAAAAAAGAAAAAAGAAAAAGAAATCAGCTGGACATGGTGGCTCATGCCTGTAATCCCAACCCTTTGGGAAGCCAAGGCATGCGGATCACCTGAGGTCGGGAGTTCAAGACCAGCCTGACCAACATGGAGAAACCCCGTCTGTACTAAAAATACAAAACTAGGTGGGTGTGGTGGCGCATGCCTTTAATCCCAGCTACTTGGGAGGCTGAGGCAGGAGAATCACTTGAACCTGGGAGGCAGGCAGATGTTGCGGTGAGCTGAGATTGCGCCATTGCACTCCAGCCTGGGCAACAAAAGCGAAACTCCATCTCAAAAAAAAAAAAAAAAAAAAAAAAAGAAAGAAAAAGAAAAACAACAGTGAAATAGTGGAAACAATAAGCCAGAAGATAGTGGAAAAACATCTTTCAAGTACTGAAGGAAAATCTGGCAACCTAGAATTCTGCAACCAACAAAAATAGAAAAACCAGAAATTGACTTTCTCCATAAAAGCAGATAGGAATGTGCATCTACCTAAATGAATGAAGAACACTGGAAATGGAAATGTGTGTGTTAATATTTGGGTGAATACAATGACATTTTTATATTTTGAAATCACTCTGAAAATAGATGATTAAAGCAAAGTAACCATGTATTTTAATTTTAAAACAAATTCAGAAGTAAAATGTGACAACAATCATGCAATAATGGGAGAGGAAAATGTAAGTATACAGTTGTAAAGCTCTTATACGAGATTTGAAGTGGTAATATTATTTGAAATCAGACTTTCATAAGTCAAGATGCACATTATAAACTAAGAGCAAATAGCCATGAGTGAAAAAATAACTAAGAAGATAAATTAAAAGTATGAAAGGTGCTCAGTTGACCCAAGTGAAGGCAGAAAAATATAAGAAAGGAGAACAAAGAACAGATGGGAAACTATATTAATATCAAGGTATATTTCAGGACAAGGGATGGTGCCAAGAAAAAAGAGGGTCTTTCATAATGATTACAGGAGCAATTCATCAAAACAATATAATAACCCTAAATGTTATGCTCCTAATAACATAACTTCAAAATACATGAAGGAAAAAAATCTGAGAATTACAAGAAGAAACAAATTCACATTTATAGTTGGAGATCTCAACATCCCACTGACAATAATCAGTGAGAAGTAGATAGAAAATCAGTAAAAATATAGCCAACTTAAGCAACATTACCATAATCCTGACCTAATAGACATTTATAGAATACTCCATCATACATATTCCTTTCAAGTGAACATGCACTATTTACCAAAATAGACTATATCATAAACCATAGAAAAATTCTCAATAAAAAAGGACTGAAATCATCCACAATTCTTCTGACAACAATTATATTAAATTAGAAATGAGTAACATGAAAATCTGAAAAATCTTCAAATATTTGCAAATAATAAACATGACAGCAGAAATCAATGAAATAGAATAACAATCAGAAATAAAACTAAAATCCACTTTTTAAAAAGCAGTAATAAAATTAGTTCATTATTATCAGGAATTAAAAAGGGACATCACTACAAATCCTACAACTATTAAAAAGATGATTTTTAAAGTATTATAAACACCTCATTACGGTAAGTGTGGTAACTTAGATAAAGTGGACATATTTCTTGGAATATCCAAATTATCGAAGCTCTGAGTAGCTCTGTATCTATTTTTAAAATTGCATTCATAGTTAAAATATTCGCACAATAAAAATTTCAGACGTACCTGGCTCCACTGATTATTTCTACATTCAAGGAAGAAACAATAACAATTCTCAAAGTTTAGATAAAGAAAAAGGGATCAAATCATTAGTCTGGGTTCCTACCTCAAGAAACTGAAAAAAGGAGAGCAAAATACATTCAAGGTAAGCAAAAGAAAGGAAATAATAAAGATAAAAGCAGGAATTTATAACACTAAAAATATAAAAACAATGGAAGAAAACCAATAAATCAAAAGCAGCTTTTTTGAAAAGAAAATAAAAAATGATAAACATCTAGCAAGTTGACAAAGATATAAAAGAGAGAGACGTGTCACCAGTATGAGGAAGGAAACAGGAGTTATTACTGCAGATCATGTAGCCATTAAAAGAATAAGGGAATATTATGAACAACTTCACACTCATAAATTCAACAACTGAGAAGAAATGGATCAATTTCTCAAAAGTCACAAGCTATGAAACTCAATCAAGAAGAAATAGAAAATCTGATTAGTCTTACAATCATTAAATTAATTGAATACATAATAAAAATCTCCCGCAATGAGATGTTCAGGCCCTGATGGTTTTACTAGAGAATTCCACCAAACATTTAGGAGAGAATTGACACAAATTTTATGCAATCACTTCCAGAAAATAGAAGAGAAGGAAACACTAACTCATTTATGAAGTTAGTATTACCCTAATACAAAATTAAACAAAGAGTACAAAAAACCCCCAAACTATGGACCAATATCTCCCATAAACTTGGATGCAAAAATCCTCAAAAGTATTAGCAAATCAAATCCAAATGCATAGAAAGAATTACACGTTTGACCAAGTGGGATATATTCCAGAGATATATATCTGGTTCAATATCTGAAAATCAATTAATATAATAATTATATCAATAGGCTAAAGAAAAATCATATAATCATATAGATATCCTCAGAAAAATATGACACAATCCAACACTCATTCAAAAGACACGCCTATCACTCGGGAAATTGCAGTTCTGTGCCAGGAACCAGGGACAAAAACCAAATATATTTCATCTTGTGTATCCATAGGTTCTGCATCTGTGGATCCAACCTATCATGAATCAAAAATATTTTAAAAAAATGGAGTTCGTATTGAACATATACAGACTTTTATCATTATTGCAAATAATACTGTATAAGTATAATAATTATTTACATAGTGTTTACATGGTACTAGGCAATATAACTAATAATAGAGATGATTTAAAGTATATGGGAGGAGGCGCATAAGTTATATGCTAATACTATGCCATTTTATATCAGAGACTTGAACACCTGGGGATTCTGATTGTCAGTGGGAGGTTCTGGAACTCTGCCCCATTGATATCGAGGGATAACTGTACATGAAGTTGACGCTTGAACAATGTGAGCATCAGGAGCTCCCCTCCCCGACATATATGTGGATTTTTGTGCAGTCAAAAATCCACATATGACTTTTGACTCCCCAAAGCTTAACTACTAATACCCTGTTGAGTGGAAGACCTACTGATCACACAAACAGGTGAGTGAAAAAATCTTTGTATGTTATATGTATTATGTACTGTATTCTTACAATAAAATAAGCTAGAGAAAAGAAAATGTTATTAGGAAAATCGTAAGGAAGATAAAATATATTTACTATTCATTAAGTGGAAGTGAGTCATCATAAAGGCCTTCATTCTCATTGTCTCCATGTTGAGTGAGCTGAGGAGGAAGAGGAAGGGAAGGGTTTGGTCTTGCTGTCTCGGGGTGGCAGAAGAAAATCCACATATAAATAGATTTGCACAGTTCAAACCCATGTTGTTCAAGGGTCAATTGTATGCATATTTTATTAGATACACAATAAGGGATATTATGTAGCTACAATAATCAAGACAATGTTTATTAGCAAATAATAGATACACAGATAGATGGAACAGGATAAAGAACCCAAAAATAAACCCACACAAATAAGCCCAACTGACTAATAAAGGAATTCATTTCAACAGAGATGATAAAGCAATTTAATGGAGGAAGGATCGTCTTTTTAACAAGTGACGCTGGAACAATTTGGCATTCATAAGCCAAAAAACGAACATTGTCCTAAACATCACAGCCTACACAAAAGACTAACTCAAAGTGCATCACACACACAAATGCAAAACATAAATTAGAAAACCTTTTTAAAAAGACAAATGAAAATCTTCCACGATATATGGCTAGGCAAAAACTTCTTAGACTTGGCACAGAAATCATGATCTAGAAAGGGGAAGAAAAAATTGATAATAGGACTTCACCAAAACTTTTGCTCTGTGAAAGCCTATGTGAAAAGAATAAAAACCTGGGAGAAAATATTTATAAACCACGTATCTAAACAATGACTTGTATCTATAATGTATATAGAACACTTAACACTCAACAGTTAAAAATCAATCCAATGAGAAATTAGCAAAATATATTTCACTAAGTAGGACAGACAGATGATGAACATATGAAAAGACATGCAATATCATTAGCCGTTAGAGAAATGCACATTAAAATCCCAGTGAAATATCACTATACACCTGTCAAAATGGCTAAAACAAACAGGCAAACTAACAGTGATGACACCAAATCCTGGCAAAAATGCCACATAACTGGATAACTCATAGATTTTTGGTGGAAATATAAAATGGGACAATAGTATGTACAGCCTCTCTGGGAAAGGTTCAGCAGAAACACTTCTTACAAAACACTTACAGTATACTTATTATACAACCCAGGAATTACACTCTTGGGCATTTATCCCAGAGAAATGAAAACTTATGTTCACAAAAAACCAGTATGTGAATATTCACAGCAGTTTTGTTTATAATAATTGAAAACTGGAAACAGCTCAAATGTCCCTCAGTGGGCAAATGGTACAACTGTGGTACATGCATATGGAACACTCAGAAATAAAAAGGAACAAACTATTAATATGCTTAACAACTTTGGTGAACTCCAGGAATTTGTGCCCACCAAAAAAAAGAAAAATAAAGCCAATCGTAAGAAGTTACATGTGATATGATTCCATTAATATAGCACTCTCAAAATGACAAAATTATAGAGTTGGAAGACAGATTAATGATTGCCAAGGGCTCAAGATACAGGGAGAGGCTGTGACTATGAAGGTTAGTAAAGAATTGTTGATGGGTCTGTTTGTATCTTGACTGTGGCGGTGGTCACACAAATCTATAAGTAAGGTAAAATTTCATAGAAATAAATATCCACACACAGACAAATGAGTGCATGTAAAGCAGGTGAAATTTGAATAGAGGCAATGGATTGCATCAATGCCAGTGTCCCACTTTTGATACTGTACTCTTGTCATGCAATATGTTACCACTGAGTGAAATTGGGGGAAGAGTTTATGGGATGTGATTATTTCTTAGAACTGCATGTGAATCTATAATTATCGTAAAATAAAGAGTAAAAAATGTATAAATACCTCATATACTGGTGCTTAGTCTACCACTAAAATTTGGAGATGACTCAGAAGTTGTCTCCAGAACCTGAACTGAGCAGCCTAGCTGGGGTCTCAGGTGAAGGAGCCCTGCTCAAGGGGCTGGATTACCCCCATAAACTCAGGCTTAAGGTACAGCAAAGCCAGCCTTGGTGGAGAAGTGTGGGGTTGAAATATTTTGATAATTGATATTTTAATAGAAGCATTTCAGTAGTCATTATGAGGGGGGAAAGAGGAAAATCAGTAAATAAATGTAGAAGGAATGAACAAAATAGAAAAATCACCATAGTGTAAACTAGTAAAATAAGGGATTCAGATAAGGATCATCAAGAGATGCTGAAAAGCAGTAAAGGCAGGGTAATAAGGAACACGATATTCCTGCAGTCTCATAACATCACCCCATGGAGTGCTTGCGGACTGGAAAGGGTAAACATACCTTAGATAACGGAGCACCGTTACACATTTAGCTATGCAATACAATTAACATCACTAACAGAAACTTCCTAATATTATGTGCCTCTTGGTGCAAGGTGGTATGAAATACACAGAAGCCGTATTCTTGCCAAAAATATTTAGTACAAATCTAAACAAGCTTTTAAATCTAGTTTCTCAGTTGTATGAAATATGGAAAATAGAAGATTCAACCATGAATCCAGAATACAAAATATTCCACAAGCTCAGTTCCCTCAATAAATCAATACCACGACAAAAGAAAAAAGGAGAGGGCTTTCTTTATTGAAGAGACGCAATAACAAAATGTAATATGCGAATGTAGACTGTATTCTTGTTTTAATAAAATTATAAAAGTCATTTTTGAAGCACTTGGAGAAATTTGAATATGGACTGTGTACGAGATGATAGTGGGGATTAGTTTAATTTTCTTCGCTTTGATTATGGGGGTGTCATTTTATAGCAGGATATTTCCATTTTAAGGAGATATATAATGGACATTTTTTAGTGGTGAAATGTCATATTGACAGTATCTTCCTTCTGAAAGAAAAAGTATGGAAGAGACAAAAATAGATCAGAAAGAGCTTTTCCCCAGTGTCTCAGAGACGTTTTCTACCTGGACTGGATGTTGTGTACTGGATGCGCTCCGAATGTGACTTCAAAGGGAACGTAGTTGGGTGCTTACTAAGTGCCAGTCTTCTTACACAGCAGGCTTTTAGGGATTATCTCGTTTAGTCCGCACAGCAATCCTCTCAGTTGAAATGCAATAGATTGTCTATTAAGATTATCTGAAATAAGAATCTTCTCGGGCAGATGAATTGGTTCTGAGAGTCAGGAGAGTGCATCAGGAAGTGAGATCATGGAAAAGTGGCTTTCTTAAGAAGGGAGTGAAGCTTCAAACATGGATTCACTTTTGGACATGTAGCGAATCGAAGATTTGGATTCCTTAACCGAGAATGCTTTTAAGAAATTGAACTTCCTGGCCGGGCGCCGTGGCTCACGCCTGTAATCCCAGCACTTTGGGAGGCCGAGGCGGGCAGATCACGAGGTCAGGAGATCGAGACCATCCTGGCGAACACGGTGAAACCCCGTCTCTACTGAAAAATACAACAAATTAGCCGGGCGTGGTGGCAGGCGCCTGTAGTCCCAGCTACTTGGGAGGCTGAGGCAGGAGAATGGCGTGAACCCGGGAGGCGGAGCTTGCAGTGAGCCGAGATGGCGCCACTGCACTCCGGCCTGGGTGAAAGAGCGGGACTCCGTCTCAAAAAAAAAAAAAAAAAAAAAAAAAAGAAAGAAAGAAAAGAAATTGAACTTTCTTCCCGAGGACCAAATAGATTCATTTTGCCTTAACGAGATGTTAATACTTTGTGACTCAAGTGAGTTTATAAGTATTATATGTATTTCTACACAAAATGCAAATTTGAATAATAAAAATTTAGGAAATTTTTCCTGTATTCACTTTACATCCCTTAACTTCACATTCAGTTTTGAATGAGTAACAATAATGTGTGCAGAGCCTACCAAAGATGCAGAAAGGGAAAGCTCAGAACAAGCAGAAATAAAAGCTGTAACTTCTGAAAAAACTGAATTAATAGGCTGGGCGCGGTGGCTCACGCCTGTAATCCCAGCACTTTGGGAGGCTGAGGCGGGCAGATCACAAGGTCAGGAGATCGAGACCATCCTGGCTAACACGGTGAAACCCCGTTTCTACTAAAAGTACAAAAAATTAGCCAGGCGTGGTGGCGGGCGCCTGTAGTCCCAGCTACTCGGGAGGCTAAGGCTGGAGAATGGCATGAACCCAGGAGGTGGAGCTTGCAGTGAGCCGAGATCGGGCCGTTGCACTCCAGCCTGGGGGACAGAGGGAGACTCTGCCTCAAACAAACAAACAAATAAAAACAACAACAAAAAAACTGAATTAATAGCAAGTGTATTTCCTGATGCTGTTGTAGACCCAAAGAATACTAACGAACTGCTCCCTAATAGTTAGGCAGAACTTTTAGGCTTACATAGCATCAAGTAGTCTTTTCTAGGTATCTAAACGCTACAACCCCTAAAGACATGAATGGAATGGAGAAGAACCCAGTAGCTCCAGACATTGGACACAGTATACATTCTTCTTTGAATCTGTGTGATATTTTGAACTCTGTGTTGAGCTCTTCACATCTTGAATTAAATGAGGAAATTAATTGTGTTGATATACCTAATGCTAAATGACGAGTTAATGGGTGCAGCACACCAGCATGGCACATGTATACATATGTAACTAACCTGCACATTGTGCACATGTACCCTAAAATTTAAAGTATAATAAAAAAAGAAAGAAAAAAATGAAAGATTTCCAAAGGATTATGTGAAATTTTATTTTATTGTTTAAATTATTTTATTTTATTGTTTAAATTATTTTATTTTATTTTATTGTTTAAATTATTTTATTTTATTTTATTTTATTTTATTTATTTTATTTATTTTATGTTATTTGAGACTGAGTCTCTGTTGCCCAGGCTGGAGTGCAGTAGCACGATCACGCCTCACTGCAACCTCTGCCTTCTGGGTTCAAGCGATTCTCCTTCCTCAGCCTCCCAAGTAGCTGGGACTACAGGCATGCACCACCAAGCCCGGCTAATTTTTATATTTTTAGTAGAGACAGGGTTTCACCATGTTGGGCAGGCTGGTCTCGAACTCCTGACCTCAGGTGATTCGTATGCCTCGGCCTCCCAAAGTGCTGGGATTACAGGTATGAGCCACTGCGCCGGGCCAGATTATGTGAAATTTTAGATAAACACAGAAGAATTTATGAATGACGATGAACAGGAAATGGAGAAAATTCTAATATCATGCGGTACTTTGTCAGCCAGAGTCAGTGACAATTATTAGGCTGATATGTTGACTGCCATGCCAGGGATGATCAAATCTCTTACCATCCACTGTCTGGAGGTGCCAACACCTGCTGAACTGGCTTTCCAGATCAATGAATTACAGTCAGACACTGTGTAATAATGTTTCAGTCAGTGACAAACCGCGTATACGACAGTGATCCCATGGATTATAACAGAGCTGAAAAATTCCTATAGCCTCTTGAAGTTGTAGCCATCGTAACATAGTGCAGTGTTTTCCTCCCATGTTTGCGGTGATGCTGTGAAAATAAACCTATTGCACTACCAGTCTTATAAAACGGTAGCACGTAGAATTATGTACAGTATTAATGCTTGATAATGGCAATAACTATGTTGCTGGTTTATGTATTTACTATACCGTAGGTTTTATTTTTATTTTAGAATGTATGTTTCTACTTATAAAAAAGGTTAACTGTAAAACAGCCTCAGGCAGGTTGTCAGGAGTTATTCCAGAAGAAGGCACTGTTATCTTAGGAAGTGACAGCTCCATGCGTGTTACTGCCCCTGAAGACCTTCCAGTGGGACAAGTTGTGGAGGTGGAAGACAGTGACACTGATGCTCCTGACCCTGGGTAGGCCTCGGCTAATGTGTGGGCTCATGTTTTAATTTTTAACAAAAAAGTTTAAAAAGTCGAAAGAGTAAAAATTAAATTAAAAAAGCTTATAGGATAAGAATATAAAGAAAGAATTTTTTTTATAGCTGGACAATCTGTGTTTTAAACTAAGTATTATTACACAGTAGTCAAAAAGTAAAAAACAAAAACAAAAAAATACTAAAACGCTCATAGGGTAAAAAAGTTACAATAAGCCAAGGTTAATTTATTACTGAGGAAAAATATATTTTCTTATAAATTTAGTGTTGCCTAAGTGCACAGTATTTATAAAGTCTACGGTAGTGTACCGTAATGTCCTAGCCTTCACATTCACTCACCACTCACTCACTGACTCACCCAACGCCACCTCCAGTCCTGCAAGCTCCATTAGTGGTACCTGCCCTAAACAGGTGTACCATGTGTGTCTTTTATACTGTATTTTTTACTGCACTCTTTGTATGTTTAGACATGTTTAGATACAAACATACTTACCGTTGTGTTACAGTTGCCTACAGTATTCAGTACAGTTACATGCTGTGCAGGTTTGTAGCCCAGGAGCAGTAGGCTGTACCACAGAGCCCAGGCGTGTAGTAGGTTATGCCATCTAGGTTTGTGTAAGTGTACTTAGTGATGTTCGCACAGTGATGAAATTACCTAACAATGCATTTTTCAGAACATATTCCTATCATTAAGAAACACATGATATTTGGCCATGTTGGAATGGATTTTAGGGTCTCTAACAGTTGAGGATAGTCTAGTTCATGTAGATTTGAACCTGACAAAAGTGACTTATGAGAAATTGCAAGAATTCTTGGCAGGTTTCTTTTTATGAAGAACTCCCTTTGTGCTCATTTTGTCACCTTTACTTTTGTCACCTTTACTTTCTATAACAAAATAAACCATGTTACATGAAATAATTCTATTGAATTTTGATTTTGAGAGAGAACTTTCACCAGTTAACACGTTGCTGATTTTGTTTTCCTCTAAGTTTTTAGATTAATATCAGATTAGGCAAATTATACCATTAGTGATGAAACTTAATGTGAATGATTGTTTCTGAGGGGAAAAACCTCGAAACAGTGAGATTTTTACTCTCTCAGTTAAATAATGCAATGCTGATTGATTGAGTTTTAAAAACAGTTTTTATTTTTTAAAGCAGCAGCCGAATTCTCTTAAGTGGAGGGATCGCATAGGTGTCCTGGAGCTCCACCATGGTGAGTGGAGTCACACTTTACAATTTTATTTATCCAGCTTTATTTGTTGACTTACATTTAATAAGAATGATTTTGTCACAATTCTAAAAGGCGAAATGATTTCTAGAAAAAATAATATAAATATATTTACTAATATACCCGTCCTTTGCCAATCTCTTGTCCTGCACATGTGTTTAGAAGTAACAAAAACAAGCTGTGTCCTATGGCAAGCTTACGGGAGGCCCTCCCCTGGTTGGGCATGTTGGACTTGATCATACTGAACAAAATTCATCTCAGAGAACAAGAAATTACTGCAGACTTTAGCAGCACCCGAAGTGTTACTCTGTCTAATTGGATCATCGGAATAGTCAAGTTTTTAAAATTGTCACTCAGGCCGGGCGCGGTGGCTCACGCCTGTAATCCCAGCACTTTGGGAGGCTGAGGCGGGCGGATCACAAGGTCAGGAGATCGAGACCATCCTGGCTAACACGGTGAAACCCCGTCTCTACTAAAAATACAAAAAAGTAGCTGGGCATGGTGGCGGGCGCCTGTAGTCCCAGCTACTCGGGAGGCTGAGGCAGGAGAATGGTGTGAACGCGGGAGGCGGAGCTTGCAGTGAGCCGAGATCGCACCACACCACTCCAGCCTGAGCGATAGAGTGAGACTCCGCCTCAAAAAAAAAAAAAAAAAGTGTCACTCACAGAAATAGCTAACAGAAGAAATTGCCTTACAGGAAAAATCACGACTTAAGAAGGAAGTCACTTATCTTTGTAATAGAATGTGTCATCAGACTGAAGAAGCAGCAGCTCTCCAAGTTACTCCTCGCCATTAACCAAAATTTGGAGGTGTACACTTTCAAGGACCACAGTTATTTCTTAGAACATACAGTGCAATTTTAAAACTGTGTTCTTGAAAGGAATCGTTTACAAAAAGTTATAGCACAGGAGTTTTTCATGAAAATGCAAATGTCACTTCTGCTGAATGGAAGGCTAAAGAGAAAAGGCAAAGAAAGAGACTCAAGACATACGAAGTGGGCCCGGTCGTGGTGGCTCATGCCTGTAATCCCAGCACTTTGGGAGGCCGAAGCAGGCGGATCACCTGAGGTCAGGAGTTTGCGATTAGCCTGGCCAACATAGTGAAACCCTGTCTCCACTAAAAATACAAAAATTAGTGGGGCGTGGTGGTGGGCACCTGTAGTCCCAGCTACTTAGGAGGCTGAGGCAGGAGAATCGCCTGAACCTAGGGACAGAGGTTGCAGTGAGCCAAGATTGCACCACTGCCCTCTAGCCTTGGCAACAGAGCGAGACTCTGTCTTAAAAAAAAAAAAAAAAAAGTGGACCATTTCTAGGCATTGGATGGTTGCAGAGGAGATGCCCTCATGCACCTACAGAAGTGGAGGGCATGCCCACCAGGTCAGTCCCCATAAGTAGACGTGCAAAGCTCATCACGCCTCCCTGTTGTCACCAAATGTCTCAGACCTCCATGGGCTGCATGTGGACAAAGCTAGAGAATATTTTATGACAATGCTACAGCAAAAACCTGAAGATTTAAGCAAAATGCCTCTCTGTGATTATGGGGGTTGAAAAGCATAGCCAGGGAGCAGCCACTGTCATCAGACCAGCTGCTGCCATAAAATGCCTCACAGCCACAACTTCTGGATCTCTGAAGTTAAACCAGACTTTAGCTCTGAAGTCGGGCTAAAGTAAAAGACACTTCCTTAACTTAGAACTGTGAAGAATTTAATAGAGAAACAAGGCTGAACACATCTGAATTTTGAAGAGCTATTTATGACTTCATGTCGTATATGACAAATTTTATTATCGTTCTCTTTAAAATCGAGCAATTGATTCTCATCATCCAAAGGGTGAACCTGTTTTTAATAAATGAATTAACTATGAGACTGCTCATTAAAATGTAATATTGCAACTATCTATGGAAGAATAGATTATACAATTTTCAGCCAGCATAAGAAAAACAAAAAGATTTTATTTGAACTATTAAAAAAAGTAATTTTCCTGTCAACTCTGTACTTTTTTATATACATTTTTATAACTTTGCTTTAAAAATTTCTTGTGAAACGATTTGCAAATTACATATAGTATAATAGTAAAATAAAATACTTTGGCCAAAAAAAGGATATTTACTAATATGCAATGTAGCCACACTTTAGAAGCTTATACAGACTTTATAATTGTCCTTGAAGGCCAGAAGTTTGTTTTGTCAGTCACTCTGCTTCCTTGGGTTCCACTGGCTTGGAGGGGCTCTCACCAGCATCTTCCATTGTCCCTGAAAGGGTTGTAGAGGTGTGCATTAGTTTCCTGGGGCTGTCATAACAAAATACTGTATAGTGAGTGTGGCTTGACCAACAGAAATGTATGGTCTCACAGTTCTGGAAGCAGGAAGTCCAAAATCAAGGTGGTGGCAGGGTTGGTTCTTCTGAGGGCTGTGAGGGAAAGATCTGTTCCTGGCCTCTCTCCTTGGCTTGTAGATGGCTGAGCTATAGTTTTGTTATTTTTTCCCTCCAAATCCCATGTTGAAATGTGATCCCCAATGTTGGAGGTGGGGCCTGGAGGGAGGTGTTTGGGTCATGGGGGCGGATCCCTCATGGAATGGCTTGGTGCCCTCCCTGTGGTGATGAGTGAGTTCTTTCTCTGTGAGTTCATGCAGGAGCTGGTTGTTTAAAGGAGCCTGGTGCCTCCTCCCTCTCTCTCTTACTCTTTCACTCACCATGTGACATGCCTGCTCCCCCTTCACCTTCCACCATGAGTAAAAGCTTCCTGAGGGCTCACCAGAGGCAGATGCCAGCACTATGTTTCTTGTACAGTGTGCAGAACAATGAGCCAAAATAAACCTCTTTTATTTGTAAATTACCTAGTCTCAGGTATTCCTTTATAGCAACACAAAACAGACTAGTACAGCTGCCTTCTCCCTCTGTCTCTTCAGATCATCTTCCCTGTATGTATGTGCATCTCTGTGTCCAAATTTCCCCTTTTTATAAGGACACCAGGTCATATTGGATTAAGGCCCACCCTAATGACCTTATTAATTTCCCTTTTTATAAGGACACCAGTCATTGGGTTAGGGTCCATCCTAATGACCTCACTTGAAATCCTGCCTCCAGATGAGATCATGCTCTGAGGTATTAGGGATTAGGATTTAACATGAAAGTGAGGGGGATGCAATTCAGCCCATCACAGGGTGGATTCCCCTTCTGGGGCTGTGTTACTCAAACCATCCCAGGAAGGGTAACAGGGCCAGAGGAGCTGAAGAATTGTGAGCCCTTGTTTACCAGGCTTGGGGGGTTCTGTCTTGCACTACTACCCTGAAAACCCTACTGGTTGCCAATTGAATTTATCAGGGAACTCCAGTGCCCAGTGACAAAGGCTGGAAATCTTTTCTCCTAAAGATCTTTAAGGGTGCACCTGCCCTCACAGTCCCTCTGGCTCTGAGCTTGTGGCTCTATCTGTTCCCTATGCCCACATGAATGAGTTCTGCCTCAATCCCTGCTCCCCACTGTGGGGAACCAAGTACCAACCTCAACTTGCTGGGCAGATGCTACGTGACAGTCTAAGTGCTAAGCTCTTTACAGACATGGTCTCATTTTATCTTCCTCATAAGCCAAAGAGGTAAAGAATGACATTACTGTTTTACAGATGAGAAGGCCACATTGTGAAGAAATTAAGTGATTTGCCCGAGGTTTGTGTTGATCATTTCATTAAATGAAGTATCATATCTATCATACTTTTTCATTTATTAGAAACAAAATACCACTCATGGTAAGAACAAAGATGTGGAGGAGCAGTAGAAGAACAGAGAAGTAGGAGTGGAATTTCATGAGTCCCCAAACCGAAGACCAATACCTATGATTAGAAATACAGGGGACTCCATGTTCATAGTGGCGTTATTCACAATAGCCAAAAAGTGAAGTCACCCAGGTGTCCTTGTGTGGATGAATGGATAAGCAAAATGTGGTCCATGTGTATAATGAAACATTACCCAACCTCGGAAAGGAAGGACATCTTCTATACGCCAGAACATGGATGAACCTCGAGGACATTATGCTGAGTGAAATAAGCCAGGCACAAAAGAACAGACACTGTGTGATTCCACTTACATGAGGTGTCTGGAGTGCTCAGTCTCATGGAGACAGAAAATAGAATGGTGGTTGCCAGGGGATAAGGAGTTGGGGATAGCATGTTTGCATTTAATAGGTACAAAATTTCATTTTAAGAAGATGAAAGTTTTATAGATGGTTGGTGGTGATAGTTGCACAAAAAGGTGAATGCATTTAATGCCACTGGACTATATACTTAGAAATGACTAAGATGATGAGTTTTTATGTGTATTCACAACTTAAAAATAATTTTTAAAAAAGAAAGGAAAGGCACTGACCCCAACCCACACACTCAACAGTTTTTGAATCCAGATTTTCTGGCAATGATATAAAATGTCTTTTGATCCAATCACTCAGGAAGGTCAAGAGAAAACCCTGCATTTTTATTGGGAAGAATAGCCTCGAAGCAGGAGCATCGTTTAGAACCTGTCTGTGTGCATCTTCAGTAAACATTCGAGTAATAAATCACTGTTGCACTTGAAGGAAGGTCTCCAGGTTCTGGTGGTAGGTGTGGGGTTGGCAAGAGTGCAGCTTTAAGGTGTGAGCTCCGGGATTTCTCACTGAGGATAAGTTCATCTTTCTACCAGTTCTGCACAGTTGAGTCTAAGCACAGGTGGTGGTGGGGAGGTAAACATGGAGATGACCAAGGAAACACACTCTGACCCATCCCTGATTGCAAAATGAAAGGGTGTTGGATCCAGAATGTGGTTGGTACTTGATAGGTGCACTGTCCCTGACAAAAACGGGGCAGAAGGGTGACCTACACACTCCTATTTCTCATCTCCAGTTTGTTCCTTATCAACTACCACTTTCTCTTCCTGCCTCTCCTGAGTCTTGAAGTTTGTAAAGTCTGGTCTGGCTTACTCCTCATAGGTATCCAGCATTTAGTTTTGAAACATATCAACACTTGTACAAATGGCAGTTAGGGTGACTGTTATGAAAAGGAAATCTAATACACTATTCCTCCACTTGAAATCCTCCATGTCTCCCCATTCCCTGAGGCACATGATTGAAGCCCGAAGAACGCATGCCCCACCTGCTCCCTGCCCATTGGTCCAGCTGCCACCCAGACAAGGTCTGGCACCAGATCCATAGTCAGCAGTGCTGGCCCTGCAGCCTCTGCTAACGGGGCTCACCAGCCTGCAGCCTCGGCTCCTCCATACTCACCTGCCCACCACTACTAGCTCAGCCTACAACCTTAGCCAACTCCTTAGCCTCCAGGAAGACCTCCAGGTGGTTCCTCAACTTAGGTGTCTCTTCTAGCCTTAATCCTGGAAGTTGACTTGCTGGTTGCATTATGATTCCTAAGCCCCAGCTGTGGAGGGAGAGTCCCTGGAAGATGGGACAATGTCTTTGCCCCTGAACTTCCATCCCTGGCATAGTGCCAGCTTTTTCATGGAGGGTATTCAGTAAGCACTGCATGTGAAATGCATTGTGCCAAGTTATTTTGCCTCGTTTAACTCTTGAAAAGCAGGCTTCTGTGCAGACCAGGCTCAAATCCATGCTTCCAGGTGCCCTGTGCGGTGCCACCACAGTGTAGCACACAGACCTGCACGTGCCTACATGGCATTGATTCCAGGCCTTGGTTTCCTCTTTGGGAAGATAAAGTAACTGTACTAAATGCAGAGAGAAATTAGTTAACTTTATCACTTGCTTTTAGAATGATTCTTGAAATATGAATAAAAAATATAAATTTCTGGCTTATTTTGGCTTTTCTTTTCCTAGAGTAACTGAATTTTTAAAAATCAAGCAATGCAGGAAGGAATAAAAACAAATTCAGGTTTACATATATGAGACTGGCAGCACAATACAACTAACCTCTGCTAGTTGGTGACTAACAGTTGGAAATCCATCCTGGAAGTTCCCAAGCACATCAGTGTTGCAGAGGACCTTGAAAGCACAGCAAATGGGTGAGCACACATTATTAAACTTTTATTAGGTTGTCAGCCTTGTGTATCTCTTTCAAAAACGTGTAGCTCATAAAAACATTCTTCACTTATCTTCAGCTGATTTGATGCAATTTTCTTCAATGGTGCTTAGTTATATTTAATCCCTGTGCCATACTTATGTCCAAAAAAATGGGAAATAATGCAAAGCAGGCCATATTCTAAAATGAAAAGCATTAAATTAAGGTTCTAGGTTCCCTCAAAAAGAGCAAAGCAGAGTGGACCTCACCTTATATAGCATCTATCTCTAAACTTTGCATTTTATTTTGAAACTCTGCAAAGCAATAAAAAACTCATTAACTTTTATAGCCAGTCAGAAAGGTAGTAATAGCATCTGTAGCAATGGAGATGTAATTAGGCTTTTATTTAAATGTGGCAGGGAGTTTGTTCTCATTATACGAAATAAATGAACAACCACAAATCACCAGTGGATTCATGCTCCCTATGGTGCTGGTGCAAGTGGTCCAGGAACTTGCCCAGTGCTGCTTCCTTATGTGGCAACAGAGCCTGTGAGCCCCAGAGCCAGGGCTGGATGGAAACCAGCTTTCTGAAGGTTGAATAGTCACAGCAATTATATTAACGATTATAATCATGACAGAAAAGATTCTCCGTCCACATTGTTGTGTTAAAACAGAAAAAGAAAAAAAAAGTGTTGCAGATCATCAATGCAATTCTTAACTTGGTCATAGAAAAACACCGAATTTGATCATCCTCTTGTCTCTGCTGTAGCTAAGCTCCTTTCCTGGCCTCCAATTCCTGTTTCCTTCCCAATACAGCAACTTCCTTCTATCTGTATTATCTCCTTGCCCATTTAGATAGCCTCAGAAAAACATGGGGAAGAACCAATTTGAAAGGTCTCAGTGGGTTTCATCAGGTTCCTAACAGATAATAAATGCTGAGCTAAGGACCCTAGGTTCTTCCAAAAAATGATGATATTAAAGCTCTACATCCTCTTTTTGAAAGTATGTAAAACTACTTTAGTGGTTTTGATTCATTTTAATCTTATGTCAGCTACATTATTATGTAAGGGAAATTCAAAGATGAGGATAGAAATTTACTCAGAAAAAGTATAAATTGATTTCTGTTTAAAGATGATTTTCCGGCCGGGCGCGGTGGCTCACGCCTGTAATCCCAGCACTTTGGGAGGCCGAGGCGGGCGGATCACGAGGTCAGGAGATCGAGACCATCCTGGCTAACACGGTGAAACCCCGTCTCTACTAAAAATACAAAAAATTAGCCGGGCGAGGTGGCGGGCGCCTGTAGTCCCAGCTACTTGGGAGGCTGAGGCAGGAGAATGGCGTGAACCCCAGGGGGCGGAGACTGCAGTGAGCCGAGATTGCGCCACTGCACTCCAGCCTGGGCGACAGCGAGACTCTGTCTCAAAAAAAAAAAAAAAAAAAAAAAAAAGATGATTTTCCTTAATCTCATCTCTCAAAACCCACAAATATATATGTATTACTAGGTATGTGTGTGTATATATATATATATATATAAAATATATATATATGCACACATGTGCATATATATTTTTTGTTGTTGATTTGTTTGTGTATATGTATATGAATGTATACACATATGTGTATATACACATATTTATACACTCATGTATATGCACACAAATCAACAATAAAAAATAGAGGGCAAAAAATCCAATTTATATATAACAAGAAAATGGCTACATTCTCAAAACATCTTGACTGGAGCTCGAGAGCCAATAAAAAGTTGATCTCTGCCACCTGAGACCTTGGGCCAGGATACACGTGCTCTTAAAAGGGCAGGTTCCGTGTTCACTTGTATGTTCCGGCCCCAGCTGCTTTCCCTGATGGAAGAGGGCCAGAGGCACACAGCGGGAAAGTGGAGAAGCTGGAAGGGCTTAAGAGTCTAAGTCTGGGGAAGGTGAAGGAGTGTCCCCAGGGCGAAGAAAGAGCAGGTTTGTTGGAGGGCACTCAAGAACACACCCACGTGAAAGCCGTAGATAGGCTTTCCCTATCCCGCATCCCGCCACACTCCCATCCCACCCCTCGGCAGTACTAGCTCAGCCAATGGGGCTACTGACTGTCCCTTCTCCAAGATGAGTCATATTGAGAAGAACGGCCTGGGCCCATGGAGAACAACTGCCATCAAACAATCAATTGGCAGCATCCATCAAATACCTGATGGAGGGAAAAAAGGAAAGACAGAGGCACATCGGGGCAGATATCACGAAAGACAGTTTTCAAGGACACAGAGAGGGATTCTCACCAACAGTGCTTCATTCTGCACAAAGATTCTATGCAGCAGGCAGCATTTTCTGCACCTGAAACGAGAACTGTCACGGAAGAGTCAGGATATTCAAGTAAGAGGCCGTGTGACAGTGGGAGAGGATGTGAACAGAGCTGTCAGAGTCCATTAGGACATGGAAAGGAGGAAGAACACTGCAGAAATAAAAAATCCATATGAAGCGACAACAAAGGAAAAACAAGACAGATGATATCATGAGGTCTTGACAAATAGACCTGGGAAAATCTCATAAACTACGTATTAAAGAGAACCAGGGAACTTAAAAATGCTTTTAGCAAAACAATGGCCAGGAGAGGGCAAGATAGACAAGGACAGCTCGGCTCTCAGCAGGCGCTTCTAACCCTCTCACTGTCCCCGCCGCCAGCCCTGGGGGAAGAACACTGTGTTTTTGTTTTTGTTTTTACTACAGATTCTTAAATATTTTAAATTTTGAACCATAGATATATGTTTCCATTTTAGCATTAATCAATAAAATGGCTGTTGGAAACTCAGTGAAGAACAATACAAGAAATGTGATAAACCCCACAACGGGTATATGACCATCTTTGATCAATTTTACAACTGCTACTGCTCACCCCTCAATGCCCATCAGTCTCTCACAGGAATGCACCAAGAGAAGAGAATCTCCAGCAGGAGGCCCAGAGGTGGAAGAGGCAGGGATGCGAAGAAGCAGAGGAGGCTGGAAGGAACCGGGCGAGAAGTGGGGACAGCGGGAGTGTAAGTGAGAGCCAGTGAGGCCGCTCACGCAGGGCACCCGGCCAGGTGAAAACTTTTAGAATTTGCTTCAAAAGTCAGTGAAGTGCTCTAAGCAGCACAGTGTCAAAATCAGATTTAAAGTTGTCAAAGGGCATTTTTAATGCAAAAAGCAACAGACTGGGCAAAAGTGTTTTTAATATGTGTAACCAAAAAAAGAGAGTTAAAAACTAGTATTTTTTTTCAAAATGTTCCCAGAAATAACATAAATAAAATTAGTTAGAAAACAAAGCAGACAATTAAAAGAAAAAGAGATACAATTAGTCGATAAATCTATGAAAAAATGGTCACTGTATCGTAAGGCCTGAAATTTCATTTCCCACCTTAACGCCTTCGACCCTCACAAGGCCCCAAGGGTCTAATCCTAAGTCCTTATGCTCACACCAGACGTGTACCCCCGCCAGTGGGAAAGGCTCCTTGCCTGGCCAGTTCCCCATTAGCTGGACTAGCTTCACTTAACCTGATCCTCACTCTAATGGGCTTCGCTTCCCTGCCAGCTCATGAAATTATTCAAAAAAGCTAGTCACATCCTCACATGGGGCCTGGAGGCACCTCAGCATCTTGTTAGTTCAAAGCCTGCCTCCTTTTCACTAGAGTCCCTGCAGGCTCTCTGTGTTCCCATGTGCAAGTCCCTTATGGCCCTGTGTAAAATGCAATGTCCTCCTCCCCGAGGCCTTGAGCATATGTAAGCAACAAACCGCTATGAGCTTATCTGTCCAGTCCCGCAGGGTGGATGCAAGTGGTCAGAACAGTCACCTCATTTGTAATCAGAGAAACATTAACTGAAGCAGCAATGATACGGAATATTTTTACCCAATGGATTCATAAAATTATGAACCAGTATTAACTACCTGTGTTGGCAGTGGTTTGCATGGGAATATATATTGATGGTTTTTCAGGGGATATCTATTAAAATATACAAATCCTGTGACCTCTGATTTACCTTCTAGAAACATTTACTTAGATGCACTGTTGGTAACAGAGAAAAAATTGGATAGAGCTTAAATAGCTACTAAAAGACAATGGTTAAATGAGTTTTGATATGACAACTGATAGGCAATTTTGTGGACTGGCTCATTTCCAATCTTCTTCCCTTGTGTCTCCCTGGACTGCAGAGACCAGAAAGCCAGAAACTACATTTGCTAAGCTCCCTGGATTACAGGCATGACTTAGCTCTGCCAATGAGATGTACTTATGTGTGATTTGACTTTGGATCTGTTTTAGGTGAGATAGAAATAGCATAAAGCAGTGTTTTAAAAAATACTTTATTGTTTAGAATGGTGTTAAATTTACAGAAAAATTGCGAAGCTACAGAGATCTTGCATATGCCAGCATAACCTTTTCCCCCTATTATTAACATCTTACATTCTTAAAGTTAATGGATCAATAGTGATATATGATTGTTATTAAGTGAATACCACAGTTTATTCAGATTTCCATTTATTTATTTAGAGACAAAGTTTCGCTCTTGTTGCCCAGGCTGGAGTGCAATGGCACGATCTTGGCTCACTGCAACCTCTGCCTCCCGGGTTCAAGCAATTCTCCTGCCTCAGCCTTCTGAGTAGCTGGGATTACAGGCATGCGCCACCACGCCCGGCTAATTTTGTATTTTTAGTAGAGACGGAGTTTCTCCAGGTTGGTCAGGCTGGTCTCGAACTCCCAACCTCAGATGATCTGCCCGCCTCGACCTCCCAAAGTGCTGGGATTACAGGCGTGAGCCACAGCCCCTGGCCCAGATTTCCTTATTTTTTGTAGAACTTCTTTTTCTGTTCCAGGTGTCTGTTCATAACTCCACACTGCACTTACCTCTCATGGCTCCTTAGGCTCTCTTGGTGGTGACAGATTCTCTGAGTTTTCTTGTTTTTGATGACACTGATAAATTTGAGGAGTAACGGTCATACTTGGTAAGATGTCCCTCGAATGGAATTGATGTGAATTCTTTCTCTGATTAGGCAGGTGCCAGCATGGCCCACCACTGCTGATGTGGACCTTGGTCACCTGGCTCAGGGAGTCTTTGTCAGGCTTCTTCACGTAAAGTTGCTCTTTTTTTCCCACTTTCCACACCGTACTCTTTGGAACGAAGCACCTCGTGCTTAAGGAGTGGGGATTTAAGCCCACTAGGATAGTTTCAGCACTCAAAAAACGTATGCTTTCAGAAAGACAAGCATCACATGTTTTCACTTATTTGTGGGATCTAAAAATCAAAACACATGGAGATAGAGAGTAGAAGGATGGTTACCAGAGGCTGGGAAGGGGAGTGGGGTGGGGGGTGGAGGGGATGTGGTGAAAGTTAATGGGTACAAAAAATAGAATAAATGAATAAAGCCTAGCATCCGATGGCACAACAGGGTGACTATAATCAATAATTCAATTGTATATTTTAAAATAACTAAAATAGTATAATTGGATTGTGTGTAACACAAAGGATAAATGCTTGAGGGGATGGATACCCCATTCCCCATGATGCAATTGTTATTTATTGCATGCCTGTATCAAAACATCTCATACGCCTCATAAATATATATACCTACTATGTACCAACAAAAATAAAAAATAGAAATCCTGCGCTTTACCTATTTACCCCTCCCATCCCCTCTGGCAACAACTATTTTTACTGACTCCATAGTTTTGCATTTCTTTGAACCTCATATAGCTGGAATCATATGCTATGTAGCCTTTTCAAATTGGCTTCTTTCACTTAGTAATATGCATTTAAAATTTAACCATGTCTTTTCATGGCTTGATAGCTCATTTCTTTTTATGGCTGAGTAACAGTCACTTGTGTGGATGCTCTCTACTTTGTTTACCTCGGTTGCTTTCAGTTTTGGAGTTTATGAATGAAGCTGCTAAAACACACTTTCATGCAGCTTTTGGTGTGAATATAAGTTTTCAAATCAATTCTTACTAGGAACTTGATTGCTAAATCACATAGTAAGACTATGTTTAGCTTTGCAAGAAACTGCCTAACTATCTTCCAATGACTGCACCATTTTTCATTCACACCAGCAGCAAAAGAGAGTTCCTCCATACTGAATCCTCTCCAGCATGCGGTGGTGCAATTTTTGCAGATTTTATCTACTCTAATGCATGTCTACCTGTATGTGGTTTCAATTTGCAATTCCCAATTGGGAAATGATTTCAAAAATTATTTTAGGTTGCCATTTGTATATTTTCTTTGCTGAGTTTTCTGTTCAGATCTTTTAACTTCATTTTAATTGAGTTGTTTGCTTTCTTATTAACTGTAAAAGTTCTTTGTAAGCTTCAGATATAAGTTCTTTATCAGACATATGTTTTGCAAATATTTTCTCCAAGTCTGAGGCTTATTTTTTTATTATCTTGCAATGTCTTTGGCAGAGCATAAGCTTTTAATTTTAATACAGTTTAACTTACCTATTTTTCTTTCATCCACCATGTTTTTGATGTTGTGTTGAAAAACTCATTGCCAAACCCAAGGTTACCTACATTTTCTCTATTTTCCTCTAAAAGTTTCAAAGTGTTGCTATTTACATTTAGGTTTATGATTCATTTTGAGTTACTTTTTTTCTTTCTTTCAGCTATATTGAACTATAACTGACAAATAAAAATAATATACATTCAAGATGTACAATGTGATGTGCATATACTATACACGTTCATTGTGTAATGGTTACCACCATCAAATTAATCAACCTATCCATCACCACAGAGTTACCCTTTGTGTGTGTGTGTGTTGTGATAACACTTAAGATACTTTTTCTTAGCAAATTTCTAGTAAATAATATTATTAACTATAATTATCATGTGGTACATTAGATACTCAGCAATTATTTATCTTATAACTGAAAGTGTGTACCCTTAAATCAACATCTCCCCATTTTTCCCACCCCTCAGACACTGGCATGCACTGTTCCACTCCTTGCTTCTATGAGTTGCACTTTTTAGATTCATATATGTCAGATCATACAGTATTTGCCTTTCTGTATCTGGCTTATTCCACATAGCATAATGTCTTCCAGATTCACTTATGTTGTCACAAATGGCAGGATTTTCTTCTTTTATTATGGCTGGATAATATTTCATTGTATATATGTGTGTATATATGCATCATATATATGTATATACATGCATCATATATATGTATATACATACATCATATATATGTGTATATATACATCATATATATGTATATATACACATTGTATATATGTGTGTATATATACATCATATATATATGTATATATACACATCATATATATGTGTATATAGACAATAGTTTCTTGATCCACTCATCTGTCAATGGACACAGGTTATTCCATGTCTTCCCTATTGTAAATAATGCTGCAATAAACATGAGGGTGTAGATAGCACTTCAAGATATTTTATTTCCTTTCACTATCCTTTTCCTTTTCTTTGGATATGTACCTAGGTATAGGATTGTTGGATTATATAGTAGTTCTATTTTTAATAGTTTGCAGAACTCACAATGTTTTCTATATAAATTGACTATATCAATTTATATACCCACTGACAGTGTACAAGGATTCTCTTTTCTCCACATCCGCACCAACACCTGTTAGTTCTTGTCGTTTGGATAATAGCCATCCTTACAGGTGTGAGGTGATGTCTCAGTCTCACTGTGGTTCTGATTTGCATTTCCCTGATGATTCATGATGTTGAGCAGCTTTTCATACACCCGTTGGACAGTTGTATGTCTTCTTTGAAAAAATGTCTGTTCAGGGCATTTGCCCATTTTTCAATACGTTACTATCATCATCATCATTATTATTATTAATTTGCTATTGAGTTGTATGTGTATTCAGTATTTTGAATATTAACCCATTATCAGATATATAGTTTTTAAATATGTGCTCCCATTCTGTAGCTTGGCTTTTTGTTTTGTTGATTGTTTTCTTTGCTGTGCACAAGATTTTTAGTGTGATGTATTCCCATTTATTTATTTTTGCTTTCATGCTATGTGCTTTTGGTGTTATATCCAAAAAATATTGCCAAGGCCAATGTACAGAAACTTTTTCTCTCTTTTTTCTTCTAGGAATTTCATGGTTTCAAGTCTTACATGTAAGTTTTCTTTTTTTTTTTTTGAGATGAAGTTTCCCTCTTGTTGCCCAGGCTGGAGTGCCATGGTGTGATCTCAGCTCACCACAACCTCTGCCTCCTAGGTTCAAGTGATTCTCCTGCCTTAGCCTCCTGAGTAGCTGGGATTACAGGCATTACAGGCATGCACCACCACGCCTGGCTAATTTTTTTTTTTCTTTTAGTAGAGATGGGGTTTCACCATGTTGGTCAGGCTAGTCTCGAACTCCCAACCTCAGGTTATCCACCTGCCTCGGCCTCCCAAGATGCTGGGATTACAGGCATGAGCCACTGCGCCTGGCCCATATAAGTTGTTAATCCTATTTCAAGTTAACTTTTGCATTTGGTATAAAATAATGGTTCAATTTTATTCTTTTGCATGTGGTTATGGAGTTTTCCCATCATTTATTAAAGAGAGTATCCTTTACCCATCGTGTATTCTTAGGACTCTTCTCAAAGGCATTTAATTTGGGGCTCTCTATTCTGTTCTAAGAGCCTGTTTTTATGCTAGTATCATACTGTTTTTATTTACTGTACCTTGGCAATATAGTTTGAAATCAGGAAGTATAATTCTTAACAGCTTTGTTGCTCTTTCTCAAAATTGCTTTGCCTATTCAGAGTCTTTTGTGATTCTGTACAAATTTTAAGATTGTTTCTTCTATTTCTGTGAAAAATGTCATTGGATTTTTGATAGGGATTACATCAAATCTGTATATCACTTTGGGTAGTATGGATCTATTTGCGATATTAATTCTTTCAATTAGTGAACATGAGCTATCTTTCCAGTTATGTGTGTCTCCTTTAATTTCTTTCATCAGTGTTTTATACATTTCAGCATACATATCTAGATATTTCACATGCATGATTAAATGCATTTCTAACTATTTTATCATTTTTGATGCTATTGTAAATGGGACTGTTTTCTTAATTTTTTGGATAGTTGGTTGTTGATGTATAGAAAACCCACTGACTTTTGTATGTTGATTTTGTATCCTGAAACTTTACTGAATTTAGTTATTAGTTCTAACAGTTTTTTCATGGAGTCTTTAGAGTTTTCAATATTTAAGATCATGTCATCTTCAAACCGAGATAATTTAATGTCTTTCTTTCCAATTTGGGTTCCTTTTACTTACTTTTCTCTCTTAATTGCTGTGGCTAAGACTTCCAGTACTATGTTGAACAGAAGTGGCAAGAGTGGGCATCTTTTTCTTGTACCTGAGTTTAAAAGAAAAGCTTTCAGCTATCATCACTGAGTATGATGTTAGCTGTGGGATGGTCATATACGGCCTTTCTTGTATTGAGGCACAGTTCTTCCATATGTAATTTGTGAAGTTTGTATCATGAATTTATGTTGAATTTTGTAAAATGCTTTTATTGAATCTATGGAGGTGATCATATGATTGTTATCCTTTATTCTGTTAATGTGGTATATCGCAATTATTGTTTTGCACATTATGAAACATCCTTGCATCCCAGGATAAATCCTACTTGATTATAGTGTATGATCCTTTAAATGTGTTGTTGAATTTGGTTTGCTAACATTTTGTTGAGGAGTTTTGCATCTATGTTCATCAGTGATTTTGTCCTGTAATGTTCTTTTCTTGTAGTGTTCTTAGTTAGCTTTGGTATAAAGATAATGCTGGCCTGATAAAATTAGTTTGGAAGTCCTTCCCACTCTTCAACTTTTTGGAAGACTTTGAGGAGAATTGCCATGAATTCTTCTTCAAATATTTGATAGAATTCACCTTGAAGCCATCTAGTCCTGAGATTTTCTTTTCTTTGAGGTTTTAGATTACAGGTTTAATCTCCTTTCTCATTATTGTTCTGTTCATATTTTCTCTTTCTTCATGATTAACTTTTTGCAGGTTGTACATTTCTAGGAATTTATTCATTTCTTCTAGGTTATTCAATTTGTTGGTGTATAGTTGTTCATAGTGGTCTCTTATGATCCTTTGTATTTCTGTGGTATCAGTGGTAATGCCTCCTCTTTCGTTACGTTTTCTTTATTGTGAGCCATTTTTTTTGTTCTTGGTTACTCTAACTACAGTTTTCTCAACTTTGCTTATCTTTTCAAAAATGCGACTTTAGTTTTGTTGATATTTCCTATTGTGTTTCTAGTCTCTATTTTATTTCTTTTTATTCTAATATATATTTTTTAATTTTCTGACTTTGGACTGAGTTTGTGCTGCTTTTCTGGTTTTTTTTGGGCTAAGTAGCTTGTATATTTGAGATTATTCTTATTTCTTAATATAGGCATTTATTGCTATAACGTTTGTTCTTAAAACTGTGTTTCCTGCATCCCATACGTTTTGGTATGTTGTGTTTCTATTTTTACTTGTCTCAAGATACTTTAAAATTTCTCTTTTGATTTCTTATTTGAGCCATTGATTTCAGGAGTATGCTGTTTAATTTGTACATATTTGTGAATTTCCCAAAATCTTTTGTGTTATTGATTTCTAATTTCATACAACTGTGGTCAGAAAAGATACTTGATATGATTTCAACACTCTTAAATTTGCTAAGAATTGTCTTATATCCCAGCATATGATCTATCTTAAAGAATGTTCCATGTGCTCTGGAGAAGAGTAAGTATGCTACTGCTGTTAGACAGAAGGTCAAGACCTTCTGTTGGGTCCCTAGGCTAATGGGATTACTTCTGAGATTGCAGTCAAGTGGAGTCAGAGCTGAGTTACAACTGCTGCTGGGCCCACAGTGGGGACCATGTTTAGTGGGCCTCTTCCCAGGTGCTCAAGCTGGCATGGATTATACCTCCATGACTTTGGTCAGTAGGGCTGGTGATGGGACAAGTGTCTGTCTACTCAGGGTCCATAGTTGGTTGTTACCAGGTGTGTATACCGGTGCGGATCCTTCTAGGTCCTTGGGATAGCTCCTCCTGGGTCACTGGGTAAGTCCCTGGGCAGGCATGACTGCACAGGTAAGAGTGACTGGAGAAGAGTTACAGGGCCATTTTGGAGTCTACTGTGGTATCAAGGTAAACAAGCCTGCCTCCCTGGGTGTGAAAGATTGAGCATGCCTCCTGGGGGGTCTTTGAGTGGGAAAAACTGCTCTCAGCTCACAGATGAGAAGGCCTAGAGCCAAGTTACAAAACTATTACAGGACCTTCTGTGGGTCTGAGATTGGTAGACCTTCTCTGAATGCACAGATAGATGTATCTCCTGGCAAGACTGTGCTTGGGCAAGAATGCTCTCAAAACACAATTGAGAGGGTCTATGGCTGAGTTACAGGACTGCTTCAGAGTTCACTGCCCAGGCTGAGGTCAGCGAGCCCATCACCAGAGGGAGCAGTGCCCGTGACTCCACCCCAGTCCTTTGGCAGATGACTGTGGTAGCAGGATCAAGGCCAAACAGGCTTATAGCCGAGCCCACAAGGAGATGAGGCTGATTCCAGACCTATTGCCTGCACCAACAGTCAGCAAGCCTGCCACCTAGATGCAGGCCTCCCCTTTCCTCAACCTCCTAGGTTTTAAGCCAGACCAGGGTTTCACAACCTCCCACCTGGATCCCAAAGGCTCTTTTGTCTAAATAAATCTCTCAATGTATTTAAATATTCTTTGATTCCTGTCATCAGAGTTTAGTAGTTTCCTGCATATAGATTTTGTACATATTATGTTAGCTGTTTACCTAAGAATGTCATTTTTGGTGCCATTGTAAATGTTTTTGTGAGTATAATTTTGAATTTCAAATGTCCATAGTTGGTGTATGGAAAACAAATGACTGTTGAATATTGGCCTTTTATCCTGTGATCTTGCTGTAATCACATCAATACCAGGACTTTGTTTTGACCATTTCTTAGGATTTTATACATAAATAATCATGTCATCTGTGTATGCAATAGACTGAATAATAATTACCAAAGCTAACCAAGTCCTAATATTTGGAACCAGTGAATATTATGTTACGTGGCAAAAGGGATATTGCACATGTGGTTAAAAGATGGGGAGATTGTCTGAGATTGTCCAGAGTGCCTGAAATATAATTGCAAGTGTCCTTATAAAAGGGATGCAGAAGTAGCTTTGATTATGGGTAGGAGAAGGCAATGTGATGAGAGAAATGGTGATTGGAGTGATGCGGCCACACTTCAGGGGATGCAAGCAGCCACCAGAAGCAGAAAGAAGCAAGGAACAGACTCCACTCTGCAAGTGACCAACCCCAATAACACCTTGATTTTAGTCCTATGTCTTAGTCTGTTTTGGGTTGCTATAACAAAATACCACAAACTGAGTAATTTATAAAGAAAAGAAATTATATTTCTCACAGTTCTGGAGACTTGGAAGTACAATATCAAGGTGACAGTATCTGGTAAGGGCCTTCTGGCTATGTCACCCATGGCAGAAGGCAAAAGGTGAGAGATGGTGAGAGAGCTAAGAGGGAAGCCAAACTCATCATTTCATCAGGAACCCACTCCCACAATAACTAACCCACTGCCACAATAATGGCACTAATTCATTCATAAGGGAAGAACCCTCATGACCTAATCACCTCCTAAAGTTCCCACCTCAGCATTGTTGCATTGGGGAATAAGTTTCCAACACATGAACTTTGGGGTACACATTCAAGTCATGACACCCTATATGACTAATTTTGGACTTTTAGCCTCCAGAAATGTAATAGAATAAGGATGTATCATTTTAAACCATGGACTTTGTCATAATTTGCTACATCAGCAATAAGAAACTAACACAATCAATAAAGACAGATTTATTTCTTCCCTCTGTACCTACACAATTTTTACTTCCTTTCTTGTCTTATTGTATTAGCTATGACTTATAGTATAATGTTAAATGGGAGTGGAGGGAAAAGATCTCCCTGCCTTGTCCCTGAACTTAGGGGGAAAGCTTCCAGTTTCTTACCACGAAGTAGTATGATGTTAGCTGTAGGTTTTTTGCAGATGTTCCTTGTCAAGTTGAAGCTGTTATCCTCTATTCCTATTTGCTGAAAGTTTATATCAAGGATGGGTACTGGACTTTGTCTAGTGCTTTTTCTGCATCAATAGATATTGTATTAGTTCATTCACACACTGCTATAAAGAACTACCTTAGACTGGGTAATTTATGAAGAAAAGAGATTTCGTTGACTCACAGTTCTGCAGACCTAACAGAAAGCATGGCTGGGAGGCCTCAGGAAACTTAAAAACATGGCAGAAGGAGAAGGGGAAGCAGGCACGTCTTACCAGGGCGACCCCATGATCCCATCACCATCAGGCCCCTCCTCCAATTCGACATGAGATTTGGGCAGGGACACAAATCCAAACCCTATTATTCTGCCCCTGGCCCCTCCCAAATCTCATGTCCTTTTCACATTTCAAAATACAATTATCCCTTCTCAACAGTCCCCCAGTATTAACTCATTTCAACATTAACTCAAAAGTCCAAAGTCCAAAGTCTCATCTGAGACAAGGTAAGTCCTTTCCACCTATGAGCCTGTAAAAATAAAATAAAATAATTAGTTACTTCCAAGATACAATGAGGGTACAGGCATTGGGTAAATGCTCCCATTCCAAATGGGAGATATTGGCCAAAACAAAGGGGCTACAGGCCTTATGCAAGTCCAAAACCCAGCAGGGCAGTCATTAAATCTTGAAACTCCAAAATAATCTCCTTGGACTCCATGTCTCACATCCAGGGTACACTGACGTAAGGGGTGGGTTCTCCAAGCCTTGGGCAGTTCCACCCCTGGGGAGGAGCTGTGCAGGGTACAGCCTCTGTGGCTGCTTTCATGGGCTGGTGTTGAGGGCCTTTGGTTTTTATAGGTGCACAGTGCAAGCTGTTGGTAGAGCTATCATTCTGGGATCTGGAGGATGGTGGCCCTATTCTCACAACTCCACTAGGCAGTGCCTCAGTGGGGACTTTGTGTAAGGGCTCCAACCCCACATTTCCCCTCTGCACTGCCCCAGTGGAGATTCTCCATGAGGGCTCCACCCCTGCAGCAGAATTCTGCCTGCACACCAGGTGTTTCCATACGTCCTCTGAAATCGAGGCAGATGTTCTCAGACCTCAATTCTTGTCTTTGGCACACATGCAGGCTCAACACCATATGGAAGCTGCCAAGGCTTGGGGTTTGCACCTTCTGAAGCCACTGCCTGAGTTGCGCCTTGGCCCCTTTTAGGCATGGCTGGTGCTGGAGTGGCTGGGATGCAGGGTTCCATGTCCCAAGGCTGCACAGAGAAGCTAGGCTCTGGGCCTGGCCCACTACATCATTTTTCCCTTCTAGGCCTCCAGGCCTGTGATGGGAGGGGGTGCTGTAAAGGTCTCTGAAATGCCTTGGAGACTCCATTCTTGGCTATTAACATTTGGCTCCTCTTTACATATGCAAATTTCTGCAGCAGGCTTGAATTTCTCCCCAGAAAATGGGTTTTTCTTTTCTATCACATGGTCAGTCTGCAAATTTTACAAACTTTTGTGCTGTTTCCCTTTTAAATGTAAGTTCCAGTTTCAAATAATCTCTTTGTTCATGCATATGACTGTACATGTTTAGAAACAGCCAGGTCACCTCTTGAATGCTTTGCTGCTTAGAAATTTCTTCCACCAGATACCCTAAATCATCTCTCTCAAGTTCAAAGTTCCACAGGTCTCTAGGGAAGGGGCAAAATACCACCAGTCTCTTTGCTAAAGCATAGCAACAGTGACCTTTACTCCAATTCCCAACAAGTTCTTCATCTCCATGTGAGACCACCTCCACCTGGACTTCGTTGTTCATATCATTATCAGCATTTTGGTCAAAACCATTCAACAAGTCTCTAGGAAGTTCCAAACCTTCCCACGTCTTCCTTTCTTCTTCTGAGCCCTTCAAACTGTTCCAACCTCTGCTCTTTACCCAGTTCCAAAGCCGCTTCCACATTTTCAGGTATCTTTATAGCAATGCCCCACTCCCGTACCAATTTTCTGTATTAGTCTGTTCTCACACTGCTATAAAGAACTACCTGAGACTGGGTAATTTATGAAGAAAAGAAGTTTAATTGACTCACAGTTCTGCAGGCTTAACAGGAAGCATGGTAGGGAGGCCTCAGGAAACTTATAATCATAGCAGAAGGCAAAGGGGAAGAAAGCACATCTTACTGTGGTGACGGGAGAGAGAGAGCAAAGGGGAAAGTGCCACATACCCGTAGACCATCAGATCTCATGAGAACTCACTCTGACAACAAAAAAAGCATGGGGGAAATCTTCCCCCATGATCCAATCACCTCCCACCAGGCCCCTCCTCAAATTTGACATGTGATTTGAGTAGGGACACAAATCCAAACCATATCAGATATGGTCATATAAATTTTATTTTTTTACCTGTTGATGTGGTAGATAGCATTGTTTTCCAGTGTTGAACCAGCTTTGCATATCTGAAATAAATTGGTTGTGGAATACAATTCTTTTATACCTTGTTGGATTCAAGTTACAAATATTTTTTGAGGATTTGTGTATTTGTCCCTGAGAGATATTAGTCTATAGTTTTTCTTACTCTTACTAATAATGATTTATCTGATTTTAGTATCAGAGAAGTGCTGGCCTCATAGAATGCATTAGAAAGTGTTCCCTCTGCTTCTATTTTCCAGAAGAGATTGTAGAGAATTATTGTATTTTCTGTCTTAAATGTGTGATACAATGCACCAGTGAAACTATCTGATCCTTCTGCTGACATTCTTGGAAGGTTATTAACTCCTGATTTATTTTTTATACATATTGACTTGTAATGATTATCTATTTCGTCTTTGATGAGTTTGGTAGTTTGCATTTTGCAAGTAATTGGCCCATTTCATATAAGTTATCAAATTCGGGGTCACGGAGTTATTCATCATATTATTTTACTATCTTTTCACATTGAAGGGATTCCTGCTGATGACATATCTTAAATTTCTGATATTAATAATTTTGGTCTTCTCTGTATTTTTCTCAGTCTGACTAGAAGTTTATCAATTATATTGATCTCTTTAAAGAACTAGCTTCTGATTTTATTTTCTCTTATTTTCCATTTTTTATGTTCATCAACTTCTGCTCTAATTTTGCTTATTTGTTTGCTTTAGGCTTAAATTTTTTTTTCTATTCATAATTCCCAAATGTGGAAGCTTAGATTATTGATTTTAAATCTTCTTCCTTTGTAATATATGCATTTAATGCTATAAATTTTTCTCTAAGTATTATTTTCATTGCATTCTACATATTTTGATAATTTGAATTCTCATTTTCAGTTAGGTCAAAATATTTTGTAAAAATTTTTCTTGAGGCTCCTTCTTGACCCATGTGTTATTTGAGGTTAATTTATAAGCATTTTAGGATTTTTGTGGTATATTTCTGTTGTTAATTTCTATTTTAATTCTATTGTCATCTGAGTTTATATTTTATATTTAATTTTTATTTAAACAAATACGTTAAATATGTTAAGGTGTGTTTTATGGCCAAACATGTGGCCTTTGTGAGTGTTTCAATGTGAGCTTGAGAAGAATGTATATTCTGCTGTCGTTCAATGAATTATTCTATAAAAGTTAATTAGATTCAGTTGATTGATGTTTCAGTTCAGTTCAACTTACATCTTGTTGGAGAATTAGCCTCATCAATCTTTGTGTAAGTCTCTGCTTTATCCCTGCTATTTTTTTTTCTTTGGAAGCCTGCTTTGTCTTAAGTTAATAGCTGCCCTGAGAGCATCCTGAAAGTTGGAATGGGTATGTGGGGCAAGACTCTGATGAAGCTGGGATCGTTAAGCCCCTACATTCTGATGAATCTTCTTTGCCAGTAGAAACAACTCTCCAGCCCAGTAGGAATGGCTGCTCTGAACCTATTTGGGGCAATTAACACTGTATAGCCTGAGGTGACTGCAATGGGCCCCCTGAGGTAGTTGCCATGCAAAACACAGCTGATTTTTTTCAGGACCCACCCCATAACTACACTCACATCACAACAGGACTCTAAAGGCGAGGTAGAAAGTGTGACCCATGAAGAGGCGTGACACACTCCAAGGGAATTAGTTGTGTTTTCTTATTTATACAGACAAAAATCCAGGCTATATGTGCAGAAATGAATAGTAAGTGTGTGGGCTAATGAGAGAAAGTTAGATCAGGGTAAGTTTATTGATATGGGCCCACTAAGCAGAGACTCTGCATTTAATATTGTAGCTTGGGGAGTCAGAAAGGACTCTAACAGTTTGGTTGGTGGACCCAAAAAGGGATCAAAAGGTGGCCCACAGCAAGGGAGTTCAAATATAAATGCCAGGTGTGCCTTGGTTTAATGCCGAAGAAGGGATTAAAGGCTTAAAGACATTGGGATGTTAGAGTGGATTTTCCATTTAAGACCTACTTATATGCCCTGGGAGGCTTCAAAAGACATACCTTTCACCAAAATGGTGAGAAATAAATTTTTGAGGAGAGCCTCAGCATCCTTGATGTGTTTGTTCTCTATAGGCAAGATTTTTAGTGGAAACTAGAGTCACTGAATTGGGAAAACTAAATGTAATGGGAGTAACTGGATCCCAGGTTGGCAGGAGCCAAGTACCGGCATTCAGCCACCAAAATCCAGGTGGGCCTAGCTGACACAGTGGACAGCAATGTCACAGCAGCCACTAGAATAGTCTCACTCGTGGAGACCTATGGCATTGGCTAGTTGATCATGGTGCTCCTAGAAGTGAAATAGATAGGAAGCCAACTAAATTCTTACTTGATCTGTATAAGCAGAAAAAGTTGTAGGTCAAGTGAATAAAAGTCTAACTCTAATACTGAAAAACAGAGAATCATGATCCCTCAATCAATTATCAGAGGCAAAGTAAGGCCTTTATTCTTCCTGTAAGGGATAAAAGCCAAGTCCCCTTGAGGAAGAAACCCATGACACTGCCAAAAATTTATAATGTTAATCTCTTTCTCAGCCTTCCCCAGAGGAGCTTATGGCCTTTTAACAAGATGACTAAGCATTAGGGAAAAGTAAATAATCAGACATTTTGGTGACTGCTGGACACTGGCTCTGAATTGACACTAATTCCTGGTGGCACTGAACACCACTGTGACTCAACAGTCAGAGTAGGGGTTATGCAGATCAGGTGATCAGTGGAGTTTTAGCTCATCTTATAGTAGATTCAGGTAATCTCTGAACCCATCCTGTGGTTATTTCCCAGTTCCAGAGTGCATAATTGGAATGGACATATTCAGCAACTATCAGAATCCCCACATTGGTTCTCTGACCTGTGGAGTGAGGGCCGTTATCATAGGAACTGCCTGTACCTAAACAATGTAAACCAAAAGCCATACTGCATTCTTGGAGAGATTACAGAGATTAGTGCTACTCTCAAGGACTTTGAAAGATGCAGGCGTGGCAGTTGCTACCATATCCACATTCAATTGTGCTATTTGGACTGTGCAGAAGACAGATGGACCTTAGAGAATGACAGTGGATTCATGAGCTTAATCAAGTATTAACTTTAATTGTAGCTGCTTTAGCAGATGTGGTTTCATTACTTAAGCAAATTAACACATCCCCTGGTACCTGGTATCTGAGATCTGGCAAATGCCTTTTTTTTTCTGTATCTGTTTCGAAAGGCCATTAGAAGCAGTTTGCTTTCAACCTGCAAGGCCAACAATACAAATTGAGTGTCCTATCCCAAGGGTATATCAGCTCTCCAGCCCTGTGTCATAAATTCAGTTCATACAGAACTTGAGGCCTTTTCCTTCCACCAGATACCACGCTGGTCCATTATCTTAATGACATTATACTGATTTAACCTAGTGAGTGTGAAGTAGCAACCACTCTGAACTTATTGGTAAGACATTTGCATGTCAGAGGGTAGGAAATAAATCCAACTAAAATGCAAGGGCATTCTACCTCAGTGAAGTTTCTAGGGGCCTAGTGCTGTGGGGTGTGTCAAAATATCCCTTGTAAGGTGAAAGAGAGTTGCAACATCCCGTCCCTCCTATAACCAAGAAAGAGGCTCAAGGCCTAGAGGCCTCTTAGTATTTTGGAGGCAACGTATTCCTCATTCAGGTCCAACCCATTTACAAAGTGAACTAAAAAGCTGCGAGTTTTGAGTGGAGCCTAGAAAAGAGAAGGTTCTGCAAAAGGCCTACATTACTGTGCAGCTGCTGTGCCCCTTGAGCCACATGAGCCATCAGATCCAATGGTACTTGAAGTGTCAGTGGCAGGGAGAAGTGCTGTGTGGAGCCTTTGGCAGGCCCTTTTAAGTGAATCGCAGTGCAGACATAGGACTCTGGAGAAAGGATCTGCCATCCCCTGTGAATAACTACTGTCTTTCTGAGGAACAGCTTTTGGCCTATTCCTGGGCCCTTTTAGAGCCTGAACACCTAATCCTGGTCCATCAAATTACCATGCAAGCTGAGTTGGCCATTATGAGCTGGGTATTTTCTTACCCACCAACTCAAGAGGTAGATGTGCACAGTAACAATCTATCATCAAATGGAAGTAGTATATGTAAGATTGAGCTTGAGCAGGCCCTAATGGCACAGTTAAGTTACATGAAGAAATGACACAAATGTCCATGCCTTCCGTAGAAGCCTGAACCTATGGCCTCATGGAGAGTTCCCTATGATCAATTGTAGAGGAAAAGAATCTCAAGCCTGGTTTACAGATAGTTCTGCAGCATATGCAGACACTACCGAAAAGTGGACAGCTGCAGCACTGCGACCCTCTCTGGATCATTCCTGAAGAACACTGATAAAGAAAAAATCCTCTCCATGGGCAAAACTTCAAGCAGCACACCTGGTTGTTCACTTTATTTACAATGAGAAATGGCCAGCAATGAGATTCTATACTGATTTATGAGCTGTGGCAAATGGTTTGGCTTAATGGTCATGTCCTTAGAAGGAACAATATAGGAGTATTGGTGAAAACGAAGTATGGAGAAGAGGTATGAGAGTAGACCTCTTTGAATGGGAGAAAAACATGAAGATATCTGTGTCCCATGTGAATGCTTACCAAGATTTTAGTAATAAAATGGATAGAATGACTCATTCTGTGGATACAGTCAGTTTCTTTCCCCATCCACATTTGTCATAGTCCAATGGGCTCTTTGCCATTGTGGCAAAGATGGGGATTATGCATGGGCTTAGCAACACGGACTTCCACTCACCAAGGTTGACCTGACTATGGCCACTGTTGAATGCTCAATCAGTCAGCAGAAGAAACAGCACTGATTACTTGATACAGGATCATTCTTCGAGATGATCAGTCAGTAACCTGGGGCGGGTTGATTACATTCTATTGCTTCCATTATGGGAAAAGCAGGGTTTTGTTTCTACTAGACAAGGCACTTACCCTGAATATGTATTTTCCTTCCTTGCATGCAATGCTTCTACTAAGACTACAATCTGTGGACTTACAGAATGCATTAGTCACTGTTATGTTATTCCACACAGCATTGTTGCTGATCAAGGAACTCACTTCACAACAAACAAAGTGCAGCAACGGGCTCATGCTCATGGAATTCATTGGCCTTTCTATGTTCCCCACCATGCTACAAAAGCAGGCTTGGTAAGATAGTGGAATGGCTCTTTGAAGACTCAGTCACAGAGTCAGCTAGATGGCAATACCTTGCATGGCTGGGACAAAGTTCTCCAAAAGGCTGAATATGCTTTAAATCAGTGTCTAATATATGGTTCTGTTTCTCCCATGGCCAAATGCATAGGTCCAAGAATCAAGGGGTAGATATGGGAGTGACACAACTCACCATTACCCCTGGTGACCACTAGCGGAATGTTTGCTTCCTGTTCCCATGACTTTATACTCTGCTGGGCTAGGGGTCTTAGTTCCAAAGGGAGGAATACTTCCACCAGGAAACAAAATGATTCCATTGAACCTGAAGTTAAGAGTGCCACCCAGTCATCTGGGGCTCCTCATGCCTCTAAATTAACTGCCAAAGAAAGTTATCATGCTGGCTGGAATGATTGATACTGGTCTGGCTGGATTATCAAGGAGAAATTAGACTGCTACTCCACAATGGAGGTAAGGAAAAGTATATCTAGAATTCAGAAGATCCCTTAGGGAATCTCTTAGTATTACCATGCCCTGTGATTAAAATCAGAAGAAAACTACAACCCAATCTAATGTTTCAGATGACTCTCCAGGAATGAATGTTTGAGTCATCCCCCCCAAAAAAGAGCTACAACCAGTTGAGGTGCTTGCTGAAGGCAAAGTAATACAGAATGGGTAGTGGAGGAAGGTAGCTATAAACACCAGCTACGACCACATGACCAGTTATAGAAACAAGGACTGTAAGGACTGTAATTGTCATGAGTATTTCTTTTCTTCTTCTTTCTTTCTTTTTTTTTTTTTTTTGAGACAGAGTCCCGCTCTGTAGCTCAGGCTGGAGTGCAGTGGCACGATCTAGGCTCACTGCAACATCTGCCTCCCAGGTTCAAGCAGTTCTCCTGCCTCAGCCTCCTGAGTAGCTGGGATTACAGGTGTGCACTGCCATGCCCGGCTAATTTTTGTACTTTTAGTAGAGAGGGAGTTCCACCATGTTGGCCAGGCTGGTCTTGAACTCCTGACGTCAGGTGATCCACCCGCCTGGGTCTTCCAAAGTGCTGGGATTACAGGCATAAACCACCATGCCTGACTGAGTATTTCTTTCTTAATTTGTTATTTATATGTCTGTGTGTGTCTCTGTGTGTAAGTGTATATATATCTTTTGTTCTCTCTCTTATTCCCTTATTATGTAACATAACAAGTATTGACTTTTTTTTTTTTTTTTTTGAGATGGAGTCTTGCTCTGTCACCCAGGCTGGAGTGCAGTGGTGTGATCTCCGTTCACTGCAAGCTCCGCCTCCTGGGTTCATGGCATTCTCCTGCCTCGGCCTCCCGAGTAGCTGGGACTACAGGCACCCACCACCACGCCCGGCTAATTTTTTGTATTTTTAGTAGAGATGGGGTTTCACCATGTTAGCCAGGATGGTCTCGATCTCCTGACCTCGTGATCTGCCTGCCTCAGCCTCCCAAGGTGCTGGGATTACAAGCATGAACCACCACGCCTGGCTGACTTTCTTTCATAGTAGTTAAATATTGTCATTTTACAACATGATATTTAAGTTTTGGGATATAAACGAAAAATATAAACATCATCCAATTATTTTGCTTATTTTTCTGGGGAAATATTTCATGTGTTTTTGGTTGTACACAGGATGTTTGCACCATGTTAGGCAGAAGAATGACCTTGTTATTATCTCTTCAAGATGTGCATGGTTGTCAGGTTGACAAGGGATGCTTATGATGATTAATTTTGTATCAACTTAACTGGGCCATAGGGTGCCCAGATATTTGGTTAAACATTATTCTGGGTGTTTCTATGAGGGTGTTTGGAGATGACACTTAACATTTCAATTGGTAAAGTGTATTGCCCTCCATAATGTAGTTGGGCCTCATCGAATCATTTGAATTCCTGAACAGAACAAAAGGCAAACCATACCTTGAGTAATGGAAAATTTTCCAAAAGAGTGCTTTTGGGCTTCATCTGTACCATCCGTTCTCCTGGATCTTACTTCAGATTTGAACTTTGAACTTGCCAGTTTCCAAAATTGTGCAAGCCAAATCCTTATTACATATAACATATGTAATATATTGTATATTATATACACACACACACATATATGTGTGTGTATTTTATGTGTATTTCTCTCTCTCTCTCTATATATATATATAGCAAACAACAACAAACATCGAAAGGCATACAAAGGAGGAAAGTATGGGCTATTCACACACAGAAAAGAAAAAACAGAAACCATCAAATATATATATATATATATATATATATATACAGAAAGAGAGGGAGAGAGAAAGAGAGAGAAAGACAGAGAGACAGAGAGAGCGACAGAGAGACAGAGAGATGTGTGTAATACTCTCAGGAGAACTGTGACTAATACAAGTGGCCTAATGCTAAGTCCAAAGAAGCAACTCTCCTGGGCTTTTAGTGGTGCAGGCTGTCTTTGGGTGTCATTTCTAGACATTAAATCCAGCTGTCTCACTCCTGTCATGGATTAAGCAATTTAATGCCTTGTGCAAAGTCCTTCTCTGCTTAAATTAGTTAGTCAGGAGCCTTTTATCTGTGAATACATTTTCACTGACACACAGAGGGATTATCATGAAGTCATTACAAATATTGTGATTGGTTCATGTCCTTCAACACATAGTAAGTGGCAAAAAATGGGCTGCAAAAACATTACATATACAATGATAAGAATAAAGGGAAAAATAAAATTAAAATTACATATTATAAGAATGTGTTTGTGTATGTGTGTGTATATATCTCTCTCTATATATCTATATATATCTCCAATCCTCCCTCTGACCTATGTACTATTTTTATACACTACAATTTTACATATGCTTTAGACACAAAATCTGTTATTATTTTTGCTTTAAATAGTAAGACTTTAGAGAAATCAAAAATGAGAAAGCCAGTAAATTTTATGTTACCTTTGTTCATTTCTACTGCTCTTCATTTTAAAAGATTAGGAGTGTGGTTACATGATAGGACTAGTTAAGTAGGGAGCTCCAAGAATTGGTTCCTCCACTGAAGCCACCATTAATCTTAGAAAAACTGGCAGAATCCACTTTTACTAAAACTCTGCAATCTAATTCAACACTTACAATAATCAGAGAATATCTATTGAAAAAAGAGAAAGCTGAATTTTAGTAAGAAAAAACTGTGGCTTTTTTCTGACCCACAGACAATTCTTGATTCCCTAGATCACCAGTGGTCCTGGGAATCACAACATGAATTTATGATGTGGCTTGCTGGTGCCACTGCCTGGGTGGTAGGTGGCAGAATATAGACCTTGTTCTGAAAATAAATTGTATTTGTAGGTTTTGACTTATGTGGCAGTTCCCTGAGAGACCAGCACAGAGGCTGACCATTGTTTCATCTCTTTCTGCTGGAGGAGCCTTTTAGGTATCATCTCATGAAAGTGTTTGGAGTGCTACCCATAGCCACCTAAGACAAGTGATGGAGGACGGAGCAGATACCAGATGGTCCTAAAGGTCTGGGAATGAGGTGGCTACTGAGGTAGACTCTTGAGGAAGTAAAGGCACTGCACATAATGAGTAATCTGGAGTGTAAAGTCTACACCCAAAGATAAATACATTCTCATAAAAAGAACTGACAGTGCCCTAGACTTGCAACTCTGGGTATCTTTGGGCATGGAGCTTCATGAAAGCTAAGGCTGAGTTATAGGTGGGCTGTCTAAACAATAAAGTATTGTACCAGCTCAGGGCCAATATGAAAAGACCAAAATCTTTTTTTTGTTGTTTTTTGTTTTGGCTCCAGGCATTTAAGGAAATCTCTATCAGGTCACAGGTCAAATGAGGAAATAATGAAACAGATTGCAAGACTATGTACAATAAAGAATGCGGTCTTCATAAAAATACTTTGCAAAAATAAAAAAACAGAATGCAGTTCTTTACTATCACCATCAACAAACCGTGGGGAGGGGGAAGGATCTGATTATCATAGTTACAATATTATAATATTCACAGCGTCAAGTTTTCAACATCAACAACAAACATCAAAGGCATACAAAAGAGGAAAGTATGGCCTATTCACACACAACAAAGAAAAAACAGACAGAAACCGTCAATGATAAAGCCCTAACATCGGATTCATTAAACAAAGAAATTAAATTAACTATCTAAAATATGCTCAAAGAGCTAAAGTAAATCGTGAACAAAGGAAACTGTGAACAGGAGAATTACATATGAAAAAATAGAGAATAGCAACAAAGCAATAGATATTATAAAAAATGAATGAAGTAGACATTCTGAGCCTGAAAAGCATGATAACTGAAACAAATAATTAACCTAGAGAGGTTCACTAGTAGATTTGAGCAGGCATGAGAGAATCAGTGAATTTGAAGCTAGGACAATTGAAATTATCCAGTCTGGAGAGCAGAAAGAAAAAATAATAAAGAAAAATTTATAGAACCTAAGGGATAAGAAATTGTGGGGGGCAAAATGCAGTGGGATGACATATTTAAAGAGCTTAAAATAAAATAAAACTGTCAACCAAGAATTCTATGTCCAGCAAGCTATCATTCTCAATGAAATGAGAAATTAATACTTTCCCACATAAACAAAAGCTGAGGAAGTGTATCACTAGGAGGCCTGACCTCTAAGAAATGCTGAATAGAATCCTTCAGGCTGAAATAAAAGGAAACTAGACAGGAATTTGAACACATATGAAGAAATAAGAGCTCTGGTAAAGGTAACTATACAGGTAAATACATAAGCCAGTATTATTAAATTTTTGATGTATAACTCCTCTTTTTATATCCTATTTTATTTTAAAAACAAATGCATAAATAGTACTTTTAACTTTGTGTTAATAATCATGCAATGTATAAAAATGTTATTTGTGACAACATAAAGGGGGATACTGAACTGTACAAGAACAGAGTTTTTATATGCTCTTGAAGCTAATTTGATATCAATTCACACTAGATTATTTTAAATTTCAGATTTAAATGTAATCCCCATGGTAAGCACTAAGAAAATATCTAAAAATATACATAAAAGGAAATGAGGTGGGAATTAAAATGACAAACTAGAAAAAAAATCAATCTAACACAAAAGAAAGCAGTATTGGAGGTTATCAGTGAGCAAAGAGATAAAAGACATGCAAGAACTAAATTAAAAAATCACCAGTAGTCACTTTAAAGGCAAACGATTGAACTCACTAGTTAAAAGACAGAGACTGGCAGAATAGATTTTGTTTAAATGGTCCAACTATATGCTGTCTAAAAGAGACTCATTTTAAAGCCAAAGACACAAATATTATAGGTTGAAAATGAAAGGATATAAGAAGATAGTCCATGCAAATAGAGCTAGAGTGGCTACACTAATATTTGATAAAATAGACTTTGATTCAAAAATTGTTGCAAGAGACAAAAAAGGTATTAAATATTGATTTAAAAGATCAATTCACCAAGGAGATATAACAATTGTAAATACATATGTACCAAACAATAGAGCCCCAAAAGATATGAAACAAATATTGACAGAATTAAGGGAAGAAATAGATAGTTCTACTACAAAAATGGTTGGAGACTTTGTACTAGTTTTCTAGGGCTGCTATGACAAGCTGTCTTGAATTGAGTGGCTTAAAACAAAATAAATTTATTATCTCTGAGTTCTAAAGATGAGAAGTCTGAAATCAAATTGTTGGCAGGTCCATGCTCCCTCTGAAGTTCCTAGGGAAGAATTATTTCTTGCCTCCTCCAATTCTTGATGGTTGAAAGCCATCCTTAACATTCCCTGCTTTGTAGCACCATGACTCCAATCTGCCTCCATGTTTACATGGCCTTCTTTCCTGTTTATGTCTTCAGATTTCTCTCATCTTATAAGAACAAAAGTTTTTGGATTTAGGGATTTAGGATTTAGATTTTAATACAATAAAAACTCATCTTAGTTTAATTATATCGAGTTATGGCTTCAACATATTTTTGGCGGGACACAATTCAACCAACAACTGTGGTAATAGACATGTAAAATATGGTGAATGCATGATACTGACAAGGTGTGCACACAGCAACAAGGATATCTTAAAAACACTTATCTGAGGGAAAAAGGAAGAAGCAAAATTGCATTTACGTAATTTAAAATGTATGCATACAAAACAGGTCTACACATTTTATGATGTCATCTACAAGGAAAGAATGCATGCCAACTATTACATTAAATTAAATTAAAATGAAACCTGTGCTCAGGGGTAGAATGAAGCAGGAGATGGGGACTGATAAGGTTTGGATCTGTGTCTCTGCCCAAACCTCATGTCGAACTGTAATTCCCAATGTTGGAGGTGAGGCCTGCGGGAACGTGATTGGATCATGGGGGTGGTTGCTCATGAATGGTTTAGCACTCTCCCCTTGGTGCTGTCCCTATGACAGTGAGTGAGTACTTGCAAGATCTGGTTGTTGAAAAGTGTATGGCACCTCCCCCTTCACTCTCTCTCTCTTCTTCCTGCTCTGGTCATGTGATGTGCCTGCTCCCCCTTCTCCTCCTGCCATGATTTTAAGTTGTCTTAGGCTCCCCTGGAAGCTGAGCAGATGCTCAGCTATGTACTCAGCATCATGCCTTCTGCACAGCCTGCAGAACGGTGAGCCAATTAAACCACTTTTCTTTGTAAATTACCCAGCCTCAGGTATTTCTTCATAGCAATGGGAGAACAGAATAATACAGGAACAAAACATAAAATGAAAGAGAGGCTGTTCTCAAGTTAATAAGGAGCCTTGATCTGAGTGGTATGCTTGATGTCCTGTGCACCTGAGGTCCAAAAAAGAATTGATAATAAAATAAACACATAGAAATAATTGTCAACACTTATTTAGCACTTACCATGTGTCAGGTACTGTGCTAGCTCTTACAGACATACAAAGTAGGTGCTAGAAATACCTCCAGTTTACAAATGAGGAAACTGAGGCTCAAAATGGGAAGGCAAGTCATCCTAGGCAAGGCCACACAGCTGGTGGAGCCAGGAATTGAATTTAAAAATCTGGCTCCAGAGCCCTGTTCTCAGCCATGCATGAGAAAGTTGTCACGCATGCTATATGTCTGTATGTTTATATACAGTCCTGCATTATTTAATGATGAGGAGACATTCTGATAAATGCAACGTTAGGCAATTTTGTCATTGTGTGAATGTCATAGAGTGTACTTACACAAACCTAGATGATGTATATGCATATTATTATATGTATATTATATATATTTATAATATTATATACTTATATATTTATAATATTATATACTTATTTTATATATATTTTTTACATGGAAAACCAAATGTCCCAGCATCATTACTAAATATCAGTCATTTCCCCTACTTGATCTGCAATGCCAATAACAAGTGCCATAAGTTAGGTTTCTATATATGCTCCATTATAATATTATGGGACCACCATCATATATGTGGTCCATTGTTGGTTGAAATGTTGTTATGTGGTACATGACTATATATTCTACCTGTCTATCTATCTTATCAATGTCTAACTAACACAGTAAAAGTATTCTTAACAACTTTATTTCTTGTTTGAGCTCTTAAATGGCATTTTGAAATGTTGTAATATCAATCAATATAAACTTATAGAAATATTAATCATTGAGATTAAACCAAACCAAATCTCTAGGCCAAATCCCTATCAATCTCTTTAAGAAGAGTATCGGATGGTAGTTTGTTCTGTATTTGTGATTATCTTAAAATAGTATGTAATGTAATATAGGAGAGAAAAATCATGAGTATTGAGTTTTCCTTTTGTTTGGAAAATGGCTAAATTGTATCTTATTGAAACTTGATACTATAGATTGATTCCCTTTTCAAATTCCCTTGGATATGGATTTTGTTTGATCTTGATTCCACATTCTCAATACTGAAAGTTTTCTTTGATGCCAGACATCTGGGGGTCACTTAACAAATGAAACAGCAGGGACTCATTTAAGTACCCAAATCTACCTTAGGTCCTAGAGATTGCAGCTGCCCCAGATGTGTACAAATCTGAAGTCACAGAATAAGGACTACAAGATTATCAACAAAAGAATTAAAGTAGGTATGGATTTTACTCACTGCCATTTGACTTCCTTAGAGAGAGATGGCTTGTAGAAGATGTGGCATTTTCTATCTCTCCCCAGAGACACAGTGGGGACTCTGTTTAGTCCTCGAAGGGCACTGTTTATAATATGAAAATGTGCTTCTGGGAAGATTTCCTATGGCTACCACTTTCTCAGATGACCTGGTGCCATATTAATAAAATGTTAAACCCACAAACTCCTGATGAGTCAATAAATAATGTAGGCTGAAATCACTAAATATTATGCCTCTGGGGGCTGTTCCATCGAAATGTACTGATTCAACACTTTTCCGAGAAAGTTCTGCCTCATTCAGCATTCCTGCTGTGGAGTTTGCCAATCTGAATACCAAGGCCCTGGAAGGCTGCTGTCACCTTTCTCAGCACACAAATGATGGGGATGTAAGGCTGGTGCTCATGGAATTGCAATTGCCTCTTGTCTTTAAAGGCAGTTAATTTCTACCCAGTTTCTGAGACTGTGGAAGGAAAGCAGACAAGGTCTCTGCTTGACTAGTAGATTTTGCTCTTCCCCACCCTCACCATAAAGTTCAAAGGCACAAACTGAAAAGATTTTGAAAGCTGGCTCAAAGCCTTTTTCTTCTGTTAACAAAAAGTTAGAGTATTTTGCTTGGGAGGATCAGTTTCATAATTGTATCAGTGCTCCTATTCTAGAATTTCTAGAGCCAATTCTTCAGTAATGGGCATCTCAAGCAAGCACATGCAAGTTGTATGTTTATTAACAATTTTTTTTTAAACTGGCAACGCTTCTCATGTTCCCTTACAGAGGGAGGAAGACATATCTGGAGAGACTGTGGAAAGAGCAGAAGAAAACATAAACTGATTACACCCACAGAACAATTGCTGATGGAACATGAAGGATGCTTTAGGGAAAGCACCCTGATGTTTCACATTCAAATTGCCTCATCATGTGTTTTTAAGGTGCTGCCTGTCTCCAGGCACAGAGGTGCCTGGAACTAAAACCTCAGTGTTTGTCCTCTCTGTATTATCCTTGGCTCCAGAGCAAGGAGAGAGTTCCAGGACAGGTGTGTACAGTGTTTGCAGGTGAATCTGCATGTTGGTCTGTGCACTCGTTTCTCCTTTCCACCCCAGCAGTCAGTGGTGATTTATAAGCATCCTTCTGCATGCCCTTGTGATGTGAGGGAAAGAGCAGAAACATTTGGTTTAGAAAATAAATGGAGTCTAAGTAAGACCTTGAGCCTTTAGTGGGTTAGTTGTCAGCTTTTGGACAGATCCCTTTACCTTCTTACCCTTAGCTTTCTCCCCTATGAAACGGGGCCATGATCTTGTAAAAGGATGAAAATGACATGAGTAATTGCAAATAATTATAAACATCAGGGAAAATTCAATCTACATCTACTACGCCTTCCATTCCTTTTCAACTATGTTATACATTTCTTTTAACTTTAGCTATTCATGGTGCAAGGGATCTTCCAGATCTCTAGAAAGCTAATTCAAAGACTGACATTAGAAAACTTTACAGAAAAAAAAAGATTAAAGAGTTGCAGGCATGGGTGCAAAGAGCAACATAGCTGCTAAAGGAAGCTTGAAATCTTTGTCTAGTCCTGGGGACCCAGCTGGAGTTGTCAGGAATCAGCAGAGCAGGTGTTCAGCTGAGGTTTGGAAGAATTCTTAGCCCATTGAAATACTTTATGGGCCGGGCATGATGGCTCACACCTGTAATCCCAGCACTTTGGGAGGCCAAGGTGGGTGGATCACGAGGTCAGGATGTTGAGACCATCCTGGCTAACACGATGAAACCCTGTCGCTACTAAAAAATACAAAAAAATTAGCTGGGCATGGTGGCAGGCACCTGCAGTCCCAGCTACTTGGAAGGCTGAGGCAGGAGAATGGCGTGAACCTGGGAGGCAGAGCTTGCCATGAGCCGAGATCGTGCCACTGCACTCCAGCCTGGGTGACAGAGCGAGAGTCCGTCTCAAAAAAACAAAACAAAACAAAAAAACTTTATAAAGTCCTGATGCGGTGGCTTATGCCTGTAATCCCAGCATTTTGGGAGGCCGAGGTGGGCAGATCACTTGAGGTCAGGAGTTCAAGACCAGCCTGGCCAACATGGCAAGACCCTGTCTCTACTAAAAATACAAAAGTTAGCCGGGCGTGGTGGTGGGCACCTGTAATCCCAGCTACTTGGGAAGCTGAGGCAGGAGAATCGGGTGAGCCTGGGAGGTGAAGGTGGCAGTGAGCTGAGATCACACCACTGCCCTCCAGCCTGAGCAATAAAGTGAAACTCTGTCTCGAAAAAAAAAAAAAAAAAAAAAAAAACTTCATAAAAATGCTAAAATATTTATCCAGAATGCTCATTTATTTCTAGGATGAGGTTTATGCATTTCATCATGCAAAAAGTTCTGTTCAGGTCAGGACTAGAACAAATATTAATATATATTTACAAATGTTTGCAATGTACAAAAGGCTCTGTTAGTGATCTGCTGTAAAGAAAAAGAAAGGCTGCATCAGCCTTTGAAGTTTTGTTTGCCTTTGAAGCTGGAGGAAGTCATATTGCCTGAGTGCTGCTCTTCACATTAAGAAGGTAGGGCCACTTGAGGGACACCATCTGACAGGCTGCAATCTAGGAGAGACCTACAGGGTTCCAAAGGCTCAGTGTGCTAATTTCTGAAACAGGATAGAACCTCCCATCACCTCAGAGCGATGGGACGGCAGGCAGGCCTTGGCGAGCCTCACTTCATCTCCACCCTCTTCATGAAGCCCCTGACTTTTAGTTCTCTGCCTAACAGTCCAGAAGGGACTGGCCATTTCCAGCTAAAGGTCAGGCTGTCTTAGGCATAGTTGAAGTAACAGAATCATCCTTATTGCTGGTTGCTTTTTTCACTTTTATTTCTTTATTTCCTCTTCTCTTGAGGCTTTCAGAGGCACATTTTGGTGAGAGAAAATAAGTCTAAACATTTATGAATTAGAAATATTGGCTTCTGGCATCCTTGTGCCAGTTGTGTGGGAATCTATTTCTTAATAAGATCATAATTAAGAGCACGGTTGCAGATTGTGACTGTGTTTACAGGGGCCACTGAACTTGGCCTGTAAATAACAAACAAAGTCATAAAAACTATCCAGAGAATAAAAGGTGCGTCCTACAGTGAAGCCCTAAGAGACGGTAGTCCCCAGGCTGGCTGGAGAGCAGCACAGTAGCCACTCTGCTGCAGCGGGAAGGGATTGAGGAGATGTCACGGAGTCTGAGTGGCAGAGCCAGGGCCAGATCCAGCCCATGAGGTCACAGGCTGAGGAGTTTCTGAGTTTCAGAGCCACAGGCACAGCCCAACCCCAGGACTGAAAGATGCCAGTTACTCATCCAGTCCCCAAGGAGTTCCTGCCGCTGACCTTTGAGAGAGAAGACCCCAGGGAACAAGCCTTTCACCAGAAGGGGGAAACTGGAGCTTGAGTAGCTGACATTAAATACTCATGTTGTCTTTGGTTATAGATTTAATCTCCCTGACTCTGTTTATTTTTCGTTTTTGTCTTTCATCATGAGTATGTGGTCCTAAAGCAGTGAATCTCAAACTATGTTTCTAAAGCATCTGAACCTGCTGGGAAATGAAAAGTTACCCACTATTTAATATAAATATACATGCATATACACATACACATACAAATGCATATACAAATACATATGCAAATACATGCACAAGTGCATATACATGAGCATGTATCCACGCATATCATATACATGTACACATACACATACATACATATACACATATAGACATATGCATATACATAGACAAAAGTATAGCTGTTTTGGCTGAAGCTCCGGTCTCACTCACTCAACTCACACTCACCCTCTCCCTCGTCTGGCCTTCATAGTGACACCTAAGCACCCTCACAAAAAGCCTAGGCTCTGCCCAACTCCACTTTAAAACCACTGAGCTTTGATTCAGTCAAAAGCTTGTCCTCACCAACCAGCTTGCCAGTGAATCTGAAAATGTGGACCTTTGCGTGAGTCAGTGCTTTCTGACATCAAAATCTCTTGAAGGAAAGAGGATCGTTCCCCTATTTTAAAGATTGAATTTGGCAAAAAATTTAAAAAAAAGAAGTAAGAATTTCAAGCCAGATGGAAAAAATCTTTAGGGCTAAACAAAATCTCATAAAATGAATGAGGAGGAACTAAGCATAAACTATGTGATATTAATGGGTTAGAGATGTGCAGAAGTTTAGGGAAGATATTATACATGAGCAGAGCATTTAGAGATTGATGGGTTTCTGGATAAGTGGAGGGAAGCAGTGTAGGAGGAAAAAGCCATGGGTAAAATAAAAGTTCCTGATGATCACAGATGTCACAGGACTGGAGGAGTTTGTGCTATAAAAGGGAGAGGGATCGTAGTTGAGATAATGAGAAGATGAGAGAGACTCGTAGGAGCCTCATTATGGAATCTACGGAGGGCTGATAAGGGCAGGGCTGATCCTGTCACTCAGATAGGATGTAGAACGCTATCTCTGAGTGGGACAAGAACTCTGCCAGGCTGGTTCAGGACCGGGCGAGTGAGGGTGAGGTCTTGCTCAGCATTTTCAATGAGTGGGCCAATCAGTGGCTCTATGAAAATGGCAGAGATTCCTTCCTTGGTCCCTGTTGGATAGTCACCTCGTAAAATTGATCCTAATTTCTGACAACTACTCATGAAATATGCCTGCATTTTCCCATGCCAAACATTTGCAAACCATCTATTTGAAAAATTTAAATGGATATTGTTAACTGAAAAAAAAAAATCCACAATTTTTAAATTTAGAAACGGAAAGGAGACTTTTTTCTTATAAAGGGCTACATCCTGCAAGGTGGCCAACCTGCAGGCTGGGAAGCATGCCTCTGGCTGAAGCCCGGAGACAGGCACTTTGAAGGAGAAGGGGTTGAGTTGTAGAAGCTTCATTCTGAATAGGTTGACTAAACACACATATTCAACAAGTTACAGGAGGAGCTGTGAATATTCATGAAGGTGGTCCTGACACATGCCTAGTGAACAAACATGCATGTAACATACAACCCATATTCACCTTGGGGTGGAGAGTTACCATTTAAATTTGTTACAGTTTAGCCCTATATGTCAACAGGTTTTATCAGGAGACAAAGGCACTTAAGTGTGCAACCTCTGTAAACCAGCCAGAACCAGTCCATGATTGGTGGGCTCTTATCAGGAGAAAGTTACTGAAATCAGTCTCTTGTCTGATCGAAGCTGTAACTATGGCTGGCGGAACAGGAGTTTAGTGAGTGAGTGTCTGTCTGTGAGCTGGATGGATTGTGATTGTTTTAATATTGCTTACGTTGAGGCTGGGGCTTGTTTAGCTGCTAGAGAAAAAGAAAAAGCTGTGAGAACATAGTTTATCCTTTCAGTGTAGGGGTGTGTGACTTACCTCTTGCTTGGCATGGTAGGTCCTGTTTATAATTTGGTATCTTATGGCCACAAAGAGTCTGTTCTGTCATTCTTACAGTCTCTATTTTAACATTAATGCTGGCTGTTGTGACTAAACCATAAAAGGGAAGGGGCATAACAAGGCATGTCTGATGTCCCATCCTGTCATGGCCAGGAACTCAGTTTTCAGGTTTCTCTGGGCTCTCCTTGGCCACAATGGGGTCTGTTCAATAGGTGGGAGAGTCTGGATTTTATATTTGTTTATTTAGACAGAGTTTCGCTCTGTCACCTAGGCTGGAGTGCAGTGGCATGATCTCGGCTCACTGCAACCTTCACCTCCCCAGTTCAAGCAATCCTCATGCCTCAGCCTCCCAAGTTGCTGGGACTACAGGTGTGAGCCACAACACCTAGCTTTTTTTTTTTTTTTTTTTTTTTTTTTTTTTTTTTTTTTTTAGTACTTTTTAGTATTTTTAGTAGAAATGAGATTTCCCCATGTTGGTTAGGCTGGTCTCAAACTCCTGACCTCAGGTGATCCACCTGCCTCGGCCTCCCAAAGTGTTGGGATTACAGGTGCGAGCCACTGTGCCCAGCTTGGATTTTATTTTTAGTTTACAACATGCATGCCCACACTTGCACATATATGCACACATGTGTGCACACACATATTTATAAGAAGAAAATATGGACAGCTGCTACAGTCTTCATTTCTGGCCACAGTATCGTAGCTAATATTTAACTCAACTAGTTGGGGATCCTTTTTCTTGTCGGGTGACCCAAACCTTAATTCCCAAAGGGTGTGAGTCCTTAGCAGTCCTGCCTTTGTGAGGTTGCTATTATTGTCCATTTCTATTTCCAAAGGCTGACAAAATAAATTACCACAAACTGAGTGGTGGCTCAAAAAACAAATTGATTTTGTCACAGTTCTAGAGGCTGGAAGTCCAAAATCAAGATGTCAGCAGAATGCATTCCTTCTGGAGGTTCTGAAAGAAAAGCCTCCCTAGGCCCCTCTCCTAGCTCTGATGCTGCTGGCACGTCCTGGTAATTTTTTGGCTTGTTGCTTCATCATTCCAGTATCTGCCTCCATTGTCACATGGCACTCTTTCTGTGTGTGTCTGTGTCTCTTCTCTGTTTCCTTTTTTTTTTTTTTTTTTTAAGACGGAGTCTCACTGTCTCCCAGGGTGGAGTGCAGTGGTGCGATCTTGGCTCACTTCAAGCTCTGCCTCCTGGGTCCACACCATTCTTCTGCCTCAGCCTCCCGAGTAGCTGGGACTACAGGTGCCCGCCACCATGCCTGGCTAATTTTTTGTATTTTTAATAGAGACGGGGTTTCACCGTGTTAGCCAGGATGGTCTCGATCTCCTGACCTCGTGATCCGCCCGCCTCGGTATCCCAAAGTGCTGGGATTACAGGCGTGAGCCACCGCGCCCGGCCTTCTCTGTTTCTTATAAGGACGATAGTCACATGGACTAGAGCCCACCCTTATCCAGCTCATCTACCCTTGATATCATTTGCAAAGACTGTACTCCCAAATAACATCACGTTCACAGGTATTGGGGGTTAGGATTTTAGCATAGCTTTTTCGGGGGACACAATCTAGCCCACAAAATTGTCCACTAACATTTTCTATTATGTGTGGCAGAGCCAAGAAGCACTCAAGAGCATCCCCTGGGTTTTTAGGGGGACATGGTTCTTCCTACCTCCCTTGTGAGCAGAAACCCAATTTCTGCTTAGGGATCAGCCAGGACAGTTACTCTATTCTTTATAGTGGAATAAGAAGCCTCAAATGACAGAATAAAGCCTCAGTATCCCATTCAACAGATACAGCCTTATTTTCTCCAGCAGAAGCACTTCTGTCTTAGGAACTAGAATCTCCAAACCAGCAAAGCACAAGATTCTGGAGGGAGAAGCAAAAATCCTGCAGAAGAAATATGAGAAGAGCCATTTCCAATTATGCCTCTTTGATTTCCAGACTCCTGTATTCTGTTGATTGATTGCTGCTTCAAAGCATATACTACTTCCAGAATGCTGTCACTTTATGGGCGCTGTAACTGAGTATTCTCAGGCCATTGTGCCATTATATCAGGACAAGGCAGAAATTGGTGGAGGTCAGTGTTACAATCTGCTTGCCCTATCATGTGGCTGAGTGGTTCCCCCGGGAAGTTAATGCTGCTGAACCCTTGAGTGGCTTCTATCACCACTTCCTTAGCCACTTTATACCCAGACCCATTGAGCAAACACCCCGGAGCCTTCCAGCACACCCACTGAATGTGTCATCACATCCCCCTGATTCCTGAAAGTCTCCTGTGTAGCAGATGACCTTCAGGGAACATTCACGTGGGACACAGGTATGCCCCACCCTGTGTCCCTTCTGAGAAGTCCATTTACACATCTCTTCTTCAGTCTGTCACTAGTTATCCAATGCCATTCTTTCCCAGTCTCTGACCATCTACTCAGAGAACCACACATGAATTTGTGTAGATCTGTACTTCTGGCCATCTGTTACGCAGATAAAATGAAAAACTAAATTTTACTGCTACAAGTTTTGTCCACTGGGAAGCTATCCTTTTCCCTTTGTTCTTCAGCACTATCCTTGAGTGAGACAGTAGCATTGGCAGCGATCCACTTATGGCTGGTGCCAGCATAACAGAACCATCTGCAAACCAGCTGCCGTAGGCAACTCCCAATGAGGTCCTAAGTGTAAATTATGGGAAGAAAAGATGGAGAAGAAGGAAAAGATGGAATCGGAGTCCTTAGCAGTCACCTGCTCATGAAACCTGTTTCTGGACTTGCCGAATCTTATTCTCCTCCCACCTTATGGCCTAGTGTGTCGGTGCATAGCCAATTCATGATGAACAGTGGTCATGAAGTTCTCATTTTGTCTTGACAAAGCTCAATAGCATAGCAAGATAAGAGTTGATTCTTAAAATAATAATTATATGCAGAGTAGAACATGGCTTTTCTCCAAAGCCCTATATATTTGCATTGCGATTCTCATTTGGGCTTGCCAGAAGCTCCTGAAAACAGATATTCAATTATGCTTTTATTTATTTATTTATTTATTTATTTATTTATTTATTTTGAGACGGAGTCTCGCTCTGTCACCCAAGCTGGAATGCAGTGGTGAGATCTCAGCTCACTGCAACCTCTGCCTCTTGTGTTCAAGCAATTCTCCTGCCTCAGCCTCCCGAGTAGCTGGGACTACAGGTGCCCGCCATCAGGCCCGATTAATTTGTGTATTTTTACTAGAGATGGGGTTTCACTATATTGGCCAGACTGGTCTCGAACTCCTGACCTTGTGATCCGCCTGCCTCGGCCTCCCAAAGTGCTGGGATTACAGTTGTAAGCCACCACACCTGGCCTTCAATTATACTTTTATGTGTGTCCATATGGCCCCAGTCACTTACCTTGGAGCTTTGTTGGTTACTCAATAAATGGGTTGGGACAGCACTCTCAAATGTGGTATTTGTTGCCTCCAAAGACATTTTCTCAACACCGTGCCCATTTTTTAGGGGTAGGTAATAGATGAAATAACAACTTCTGTTTCACTTTGGAAGAAATGCCCAAACATGCTTCAGACCACAGGGCCATGAGAAACCTCCCCAAGGCATGGGCCTCGAGATTTCATGGGGTTTATTGTTCACTCTTTGCCACACATGTGTCTCATTAAGACATTTAGGGTTCTTGCTGTGCTTGCTCACCAGATTCAACCAAGATGGTGTCCTGGGTATGGTGGAAGAAGATGTTCTCTGGGATGCAGACATTTCCCTGAACAAGTCCATCACAGAGAGCAGGAGAGTCTGGCCTCTTCAGATGTGAGCCATCATTAAGTTCAAATTCACTCCACCATCCATGCAAACTGTGAGAGCTGCTCCATGGTGCCCAAATCAGCACATTCAGCTAGAATCTCTGTAAGTGCTCTCACATGGATGGGGTCAGCCTTATTCAGTGTTGAATTCTGTGCTCTGTGGTGTAATGTTCTTAGGATTCATGCACTACATTTACCCATGTTTCTGGTACTTTGAATTGGTGAGTATTGCCCTTTTTATCATTTTTCTTCCCTCTCTCTTTTTTTTCTCTCTCTCCTATAAACCATGTCCTTCTGGATTGGACTTTGCTTTTCTCCCTGTGGAACATACTTGACATTTGTGACCCTAATTATGGGTCTCATGCACTAATGGGTGATGGGAGTGAGCCCTGAGAGTTTTAGATATCACCTTACCAGGGAGCTCAAGCATGTGAAGTTATTAAAAGGTCTTCAAATAAGGGAAGATTCTACAGGCAGGGAGAGGAGGCTGCTTCCTTCAGCAAGGATGGCTTAGAGAGACTTGGGGTGTAAATTTCCCAGCTTTTCTTGAATCCACACAGATAACCCAATTCCAAGTCTTGGAGAGCCCCCTGCTACAATCAAAGCCTAACTTTTACACAAATGTATTGGCGAGTCTGAGGATTGAACTTACGCTGTAATTTTGTACCTACTCCATTAAATTCTGCATCTATTTTATACAGCTCTATCTGCCTTGCTGCTTGTAAGTAAAACAAAGATGTTTTGTTTTGGTTTTAGTGTCACTGGAGAAGCTGTCTGATTCTCTGAACATGACGCAAGCCTTGCTGTCACCACCACCGTGAAGGTCAGATACAGCACCCAAGGTACTTGCTGCAATAGGCCTTTCTTCCCCTGCAACTGAGGTGATAATTGAATCATAATACCACTGCACGCCTTGGGTTATAGGAATCCCGTTTCCCACTCAGCATTGCATTCAAGACAAAGGACATACCAAGTCAACCCTAACATCTCACATCAGATGTTCATAAACGGCTCACATTTTCTGTACTTTATGCATATTTTTTTACTCATAAAAGAGTCAAGGGGAAACAGCTTTGAAGAAGGAGCCCAAATGATATTAGCGTTCATACTTATTTTTAGACTTCAAAAAGATAGGTATCTAAACACTACTTACTGGATAAATGTAAGGGTGTATTTTAGCCATTGTAGATTTCCTAACAGTAATTATTAACTATACAACCATACGAACTCATTATTAAGTACTTAGTGTGCTTTTGACATCAGCTCCATCTCGATTTCTTTGAATTGCATGAGCTGTTTTGTAGGACAGTACACATCTGTCCTGGAAGTGTCCCAGAGAGCCAGCAAACCCCTCACCTGCTGGACTGTGGCTGTGTTGGGAACCTGTCTACGTTTAAAACTCCAATGCTTTGACTGAGTGGTATTGGCTGGATAAAATCTGTGGTCTTTGTGAGCTCTACAAGGGCAAAGCTGGTTAACTTGTTCATTTCAAAGGAGTAATCTTAATATTGTTAATGTGGCTTGTGGCATCAAGGTTATTAGAATTTAAGGACTTAATAGATTTCTCCATCTACTACATCAATGGTAATTGTAGAAATTAGCTAAAATGCACTACTGCTTAAATGCAATGGAAAAATATTTCTTTCTTCCTTTCAAGACTTTAAGAGGTCTGAAATGTTTCTGTCCAGGCCCTTGCGCCTCTGCCACCGCTGTGAGAAGTACATATCCTGGCCAGCCTGCTGACTCAGGAGGTTGAGAATCAGGTGCAGCAGACCAGAGCACTGCTTCAGTGTCAGGGTAGAGCTGCTCCATGACCCAGAGATTCATACGAGTAAGTTATTTTCCTCAAGACCAGTGAGTTTGTTACACAACAGAATTGTGGCCATACCCAACCAATACAGCATGAATCTTTTCCATTACGTTACTATACAATTACACAATTGATCGTTCTATATGCATTGTTTTGTTAAACTGCATGTCTTAGGGATCCTCCAAGGTTAGTACCTATAAGCCAAACTTATTCTTTTTAATGGCTGCAGAGTATTCTGCAGTATGGTTATAGCAAAACTTATTTATTCATTCCCCTGTCGATGAATATCTAACTTCCCAATCTCTCCTTAAATCAACAATGCTGAAATGAACATTTTTATGTATATATGCCTTTTCACACTTGGGCATCATATTTAAGATAGATTCCTGCTGTAAAGTTTATGAATCAAAATATGTACATATTTAAATTTTGAGAATTACTGCCACTTTTTCTGAAAGGCTACACATTTGCACTCCCACCAATGATGAATGAGAACATTGATTACCCTGCCTCTTCTAAATTAATCCCAGCCTAATAGATGAGGAAAAAGTCTCATGGTTGTAACATACTATTTCTTGATTTTTGAGTAAGTTTAACACATTTTCATATGCTTACTATGTTTGACTCTTCCGAGAGAGTATGTTCATGGTCTAAATTTTTCTATTAAAATGTTTTTCTTTCTTATCAATTTTAGGATCTCTTTATATATTCTTGATATTCATCCGTATTGATTAAATATGTTACAAATATTATCTACCAATCTACCACTTGCCCATTGACTTTACAGTGTTTTGCTTTTTCACTAAAGAAGATTTTAGGTTTTTATGAAGACAAACGTTTCATTAGATTTATGTAGGACTTTTGATTTTTGCACATTGCCTAGAAATACTTGTACTTCACTTCAATATAATGAAACCACTCCGTATATTTTCTTTTACTAAATTTACAATCTTAACTTTTATCTGGCATTTATACCATTGCACTATTATGAAAACACTCTATAATGTTTTCTCCTAATAAGTTTACAGTACCATTTTATATCTGAACATTTTTTATAATGTAAGAAAAAATTTTTCCTATAGATATCTAATTATCTCCAAATTATTTATTGAATGAGCTATTCATTTACTATTGACTTTAAACACCATTATCTTTGTCATAAGCTACTATCTCATTAACAGAAGAGTATATTAATTTTTAAAGAGTTTTAAAAATTTTATAGCAAAAACACATAAAAATTTACATCTTAATTGTTTTTAATGTACCGTTTAGTAGTATTAAGTACATTCACATTGTTGTGCAATCGTGACCACCATCTATCTCTAGAAATTCTTTAATTTGCAAAACTGAACATGTACCCATTAAAAAATAACTCATCATTTCACCCTCAAAAGGGTGAAAATCCTGGAAAGCCTGGAAACTGCCAGTGTACTTTCTGTCTCCATGAATTTGACTACTCTATGTATCTCATATAAGTAAAATCATGCAGCATTCTTTTTATGACCAGCTCTTTCACTTAGCCTAGTGGCTTCAAGATTCATCCATGTTGTAGCACGTGACAGGATTTCCTTCCTTTTTTAAGGATGAGTAATATTAAGGATATATTTCTAAAACCTCGAGCCTGTTTATCTGTTTTATTTTTCTACTTTGGTACAATACTACAATGTTTTAAATACAACAGATCAATAGTGATAAGAAAAAGCTGGTATAGTTGGATATTTGTCCCCTCCAGATCTCACGCTGAATTTGATCTCCAGCGTTGGAGGTGGAGGCTAGTGGAAGGTGCTTGGGTCACGAGGGCAGATCCCTCGTAAATGGCTTGGTGATATCTGCTTGGCAGTGAGTGAGATCTTTTTCTAATAGTTCATGAGAGAGTTGGTTGATTAAAAGAGCCTGAGCTCCCCTTCCCTCTCTCACCCTCTCTCTCGCCCTCTCTCTCACCCTCTCTCTCGCTCTCTCTCTCACCCTCTCTCGCTCTCTCTCTCACCACAACATAAACCTGCTCCCCTTCACCTTCCACTGGTGGTGGAAGCAGCCTGAAGCCCTCACCAGAAGCAAATGCTGACACCATGCTTCTTGTACAGCCTACAGAACCATGAGCCAAAGAAACTGCTTTTCTTTATAAATTACCCAGCCCTAGGTATTCCTTTATGGGAACACAAAATGGAATGAAATACAAGTAAATTTGCCATCTTATCGTTCTCTTTGTAAAAATGAATTAGACATTCTCCACTGCTGTGGTCTGAATATGTCCCCCAAAATTCATATGTTGTAAACGTAATGCCCAATACAACAGTGTTGGGACATGGGGCATTTTGAGAGATGTTTAGGTTTCTTCAAATTGATATCATTATAAAAGGGCTTGAAGGAGAAAGTCTGGCCCCATTTCACCCTTCCTTCCTGATATGGTTTGGCTGTGTCCCCACCTGAATCTCATCTCGAATTCCCATATATTGTGAAAGGGAACCGGTGGAGGTAATTGACTCATGGAGGCAGATCTTTTCCGTGCTGTTCTCGTGATAGTGAATAAGTCTCACGAGATCTGATGGTTTTAAAAATGGGAGTCTCCCTGCAAAAGCTCTCTTCTCTTGTCTGCTGCCATGTGAGACATGCATTTCACTTTCTGCTGTAATTGTGAGGCCTCCCCAGCCATGTGAAACTGTAAGTCGAATAACCCCCTTTCTTTTGTAAATTGCCCAGTCTCGGATATGCCTTTGTCAGCAGCATGAAAACGGACTAATAATACACTTTTCTTCTGCTATGTGAGGACACAGCATTTGTCCCTTCTGGAAGATGCAGCATCCAAGGCACCACCTTGGAAGCAGAGAATAGCCGTTACCCGATAGTTAAGCCAGCCAGCACCTCAGTTGGACTTAGGCTGTAGAACGGTCAGAGATAAATTTCTGTTCTGCATTAATTACCTAGTCTCAGATATTCAGTTATAGCAGCACAAAACTGACTAAAACATCTGCCATATGAATTTTAAAAACCTTTTATCAAGTTCATAAAACTTTCAGTTAAATTGAAAATTTTCTTTTTTTGGGGGGGTTTATTATTATTTTTATTTTTTATTATACTTTACGTTTTAGGGTACATGTGTACAATGTGCAGGTTAGTTACACATGTATACATGTGCCATGTTGGTGTGCTGCACCCAGTAACTCGTCATTTAACATTAGGTATACCTCCAAATGCTATCCCTCCCCCCTACCCCTACCCCACAACAGGCCCCGGTGTGTGATGTTCCCCTTCCTGTGTCCATGTGTTCTCATTGTTCAATTCCCACCTGTGAGTGAGAACATGTGGTGTTTGGTTTTTTGTCCTTGTAATAGTTTGCTGAGAATGATAGTTTCCAGCTTCATCCATGTCCCTACAAAGGACATGAAATCATCATTTTTTATGGCTGCGTAGTATTCCCTGGTGTATATGTGCCACATTTTCTTAATCCAGTCTATCATTGTTGGACATTTGGATTGGTTCCAAGTCTTTGCTATTGTGAATAGTGCTGCAATAAACATATGTGTGCATGTGTCTTTATAGCAGCATGATTTATAATCCTTTGGGTATATACCCAGTAATGGGATGGCTGGGTCAAATGGTATTTCTAGTTCTAGATCTCTGAGGAATCGCCACACTGACTTCCACAATGGTTGAACTGGTTTACAGTCCCACCAACAGTGTAAAAGTGTTCCTATTTCTCCACAGCCTCTCCAGCCCTGTTGTTTCCTGACTTTTTAATGATCGCCATTCTAACTGGTGTGAGATGGTACCTCATTGTGGTTTTGATTTGCATTTCTCTGATGGCCAGTGATGGTGAGCATTTTTTCATGTGTCTTTTGGCTGCATAAATGTCTTCTTTTGAGAAGTGTCTGTTCATATCCTTTGCCCACTTTTTGATGGGGTGGTTTGTTTGTTTTTTTTTTGTAAATTTGTTGGAGTTCATTGTAGATTCTGGATATTAGCCCTTTGTCAGATGAGGAGATTGCAAAAATTTTCTCCCATTCTGTAGGTTGCGTATTCGCTCTGACGGTACTTTCTTTCGCTGTGCAGAAGCTCTTTAGTTTAATTAGATCCCATTTGTCAATTTTGGCTTTTGTTGCCATTGCTTTTGGTGTTTTAGACATGAAGTCCTTGCCCATGCCTATGTCCTGAATGGTATTGCCTAGGTTTTCTTCTAGGGTTTTTATGGTTTTAGGTCTGACATTTAAGTCTTTAATCCATCTTGAATTAATTTTTGTATAAGGGGTAAGGAAGGGATCCAGTTTTTCATGAGATGTATAGATTAACCTGGAGATAATTTACATTTTCCATGACTGTATCTTTCAGTGTAGGTATAGGGTATGTCTCCTCTTATTTTTTTTTTTTTAACATTCTTCAACAAAGTTTACAATTTTATTCACATCAGACTTGTATACTCTTTGTCAGGTTTATGGTAGAATTTGCTGGCAACTCTTCAAAATTTAATCAACCCTTTTCTTTGTGCAAGCAGTTAGATTCCCTTCCCAGCTTCCCTTGCAATTAGTTGGGGTCATATGACTGAGGTTGTAGTTAGTGGAATTTGAGCAGAAGTGATGGATGTTACTTCCAAGCCAGGACCTTAAAACCATCCCACACTTTCTCTAAGCTCTCTTTCCTTCCTGCCTTGGATGACAACTCCCAGGGTGATCTTGGGAGAAACCTGTGGAAGGTGACAGAACCCCTGTGTCCCTGAATGATGCAGTGGAGCAGAGTCCCAACCTCCCCCTCTGGACTGCTGCCCTGGGCTTTTGGATGAGTGAAACATGAACTGCTCTTGGATGGAGTTGTTACACGTTTGAGTCTGTTACTACAGCTGATTCTACCCTAATCAGTATCAAACCAGTGACCTTAAGAAGGTGTGATGCCACAGATGAGCCCTGAAATACATGAATGCCACTTCCAGGCCACCCCATAACAACCTTACATACACACTCTTCCATGCTTTCCTCCTCTCTGGCTAACCAGGATTGCAACTCCATGATAGCCTTGGAAGCAGGGTATAAAAGATGGCAGAGTCGCTGCTCACCTGTGCACCCAGAGCCTCCACACCTGCCTGGAACCACCTGGAACGTCACGTTGCTAAGGGAGTTGTTAGATATTGGGGTCTCTGTAATGCTAGAAGAGGTTCCATTTAGATAATAAAAGTTCTTCTTTGGGGTTTTGTGTGCATTTAAACAATTGGTAATGGCATTTGTTTCTTTCTATCATGTTTTCTAATTGGTTATTGTTAGTAAGTATTTTTAAATGTTTATTTTATATCAGACCACCTTACTAGTTAATATAGTTTATCAGTTAATTCTGTGAAATTTTGGGGTAGATTATCAGATAAAACTTTTTAAAATGGCAGTTTTGTCTTTTCTTCATGCTGTCTGTACAATGTTTCTGTATTTACTGCTAAGATTTCTTATTCACTGTTTGCATAAAAGTGGTGCTAGTAGGTGTCCTTTTCTTGTGTATAATTTTAACATGAATATTTATGATATTTTGCCATTAGCTATTATGTTTGCTCCAGTTTTCTAGATCTCTCTTATACAAAATTAAGAAAGTTTTCTTTTATTTCTAACTTCACTGTTTTGCTTTGTTTACATTTTTATCAGAAATGTAATCAGGATGTTGGTTTTAGCAAATGCTTTCTTGATATTGATTGAGATGATCTTGTTTTCCTCTTTTAATCTGAAGACATACAGAATTGAATTAATAGATTTTGAAACTATTGAATCATGTTTGCATATCTAAGTCTTGATTTTACAAGACACACACATTTTTAAAAATCATTATTCTGTGAAATTCGCTAAGATTTTTTGGGGTTTAATTTCTGCAGCTCTCTGTGTTAGTGAGATTGGCTGATCTCATTTAGTTTTGTGTCAGCTTTGTCTAGTTGTGGTGTTAGTTTTATACTAGCCTCACAGAATAAGGTAGCAGCCTTCCCATATTGTTTGATGCTACAGCAAAGTCTGTATCACACAGGGATAATCTAATCTATGAGCTAAAGTTTCATAAAATTTATTAACTCAAGAAAATCCCTGAACTTGGTTTCATTATTATGGATAGATTTTTTTCTTTTTATTATCTTTTAAATTTGGTTTAGATGCTTTTGACTGTTTGAATTTTGTTTCTTATTAAGTTAAAAATGATAATTTATAGTGTTCTCAAAAACTGTCCATTTAATCTAGACATTGAAATATATTAATTTAATATCTTATATTTTAAATATATTTATATATTTATACCAGCTTGCTTTTAAAATTATATTTGTATTTATATTATATTACAAAATATTTTTAAATGCTCTTTTCATTGCAAAGAACTGTCTTTTTATTTTAGTGATGAAATCTGTGAATTTTAGCTGCTAAATCATTTTGTTTAAATCTTATTATATTGCTTCTACTTTCTTTAGGTTGTTTTTTCTTTGATTTGATTACATTTTTCAATTATGGAAAATTTTCAGCTGTTAGCTCCAAATACCTCCTCTCCATTCTTTCTCTCCTAGAACTCTTACAGATTGTGCATTCTATCATTAATTCCTCCTAAATGATCATTCCCAGTCGCCATTTTTTATATATCTGCTGTAATCTGAGTGATTTCTCAGTGCTAATGTCTACCTCACTGATTCTCTCTGTTGCTATTTCTATGTAATCTGTTGAAAACTGCATCTATTGATAAATTATTTTCTTTTTTGCTATCCTTTCATTCTTTATTTTTAGTTTATTTGTTTTATGGAAGGAAATATGGCTTGTATCATTTTTGCTTTTAGGAATGTGCATAGCTTTTCTTTGCAGCCAGACACATCATCTATTTTTGTGCCTATCTGGGTAGGGAGGATTTCAAAAACACCTGGAGGCAAGAATAGGGAACATTAACTGCCTTAAAACCAGGATCAGTCCTGGCTCCCCAGGGGCTCAGCTCATTGGCTCCAGACAAGAGTTCTGATCTGAACATCTGAGTTAAGAAAAAAGACCTCATGTGTCTTCCTGTGCCATCCTGCTGGAGCAAGAGCCAGGAGACCTACAGGAGCGCTGCTTCCTCCTCCCTTTTATGCGCTTGTCTCAAGTCTGTTTTGGAGGCCATTGCAAAGGTGCTGCCTGCAGGAGCCAGCCCTCTGGGCGTGTGGAGGGAAGGGCACACTGACTAAGCTGCCCACAGGAGGGAAGCGGGACCAAGGACGTGGGAGGAAGCTCACATGGTAACTATGGGGCATAAGGCATTTTGAGAAAAGCAAGACTTTGAGGAGGAATTTTTAGGACTAAAGAATAGCATGAGTGTCTGGAAATCCTAGGGTAAAGAGCAACTCATAAGGAGAAAGAGAAAGGTGGGAGAGCTCAGAGGCAAAAGTCTATTCTTACCTGTGCCCTGGACTGGCCCTTCCCTACCCCATTTCCTAGACACCGAGATAGAATTTCATGCTGCTCACAGTGTCCGGACTGCAACACACCATTTCTGTGTTTCCTGTAGTTAGGTGGAGTTGATAATTTAAGTAACAGACAAAACTAAGAGACCCCTTGGCCAGTCTCAGGCAGCAAGCACAGTGTGTGCCCTTTATTATTTTATTTTATTTATTTATATTTTTTGAGACAGAGTCTCACTGTGTCGCCCAGGCTGGAGTGCGATGGCGGGATCTCGGCTCACTGCAAGCTCTGCCTCCCGGGTTCACGCCATTCTCCTGCCTCAGCCTCTTGAGTAGCTAGGACTACAGGCGCCTGCCACCATGCCGGGCTAATTTTTTTTTTTTTTTTTTTTTTTTTTTTTTTTTTAGTAGAGACAGAGTTTCACCGTGTTAGCCAGGATGGTCTCGATCTCCTGATCCCCCCTCCTCAGCCTCCAAAAGTGCTGGGATTACAGGCGTGAGCCACCACGCCTGGCCGTGTGTGCCCTTTATACTAGTAATAGGCACATGTGAATTTTGTCCACACTTATGCAGAAATGGAGAAAGAAGCACTGCAGTAAACACCTAAGAAACAGCAATCAGAAAGGTTGTGGGCAAAGCTCGATATTCAGATGTGTCCTGGACTCCCCTCCAGTATCATTTTAATTACAAATCATCCATATGGAAACCTGGAGACTGTTTTAACTTTCCTTTTCAGTTTTTAGTTATATCTTACATCTTATATCACTTTCTAAAATTGAATAACCTGGAGATTAATTTATTTGCTTGTCACTTTTCCATTAGAAGCTTGAATTCATTTCTGTTTTCATTACCAGTACACAGTGGCTTGTCCCAAATTATCTTCACCCAAATCCTACCTGGATGAACTTACAGCATTTTAATAAAAATGGTTATTTGCTCTGGGAGAAAATTGTAATGGGCAAAATAAATCTCCTTATCTTTGAAGTAGTTTGAATGTGAGATCACAGTATGTCCTTTCTGTTAATACTTGGCTGCAGGATAATCCATGATTCCTTCTTTAAAAAAGTTCAGTACTAAAGTTGTTATGCAACATTTTATTAGAAGATAAAGTGCTCCCATTCTTCATATATACTCCATAAACTGCTGAGATGTCAAAGTGCTCCATAAATAATACAAGCTTCTTGCCCATCATTAACAAAAGACGCTGCTAAGTGGACAGAAAATTCAGTAATTCCCTTTTATGGAGATCACAGTACATACACTTAGTCCAATTTGCTGACCCTGCCATCAAAAATTACTGTCTGCAGAAACCCTGGCCTGGATTTTTTCACACTGAAAAATGGAGAGCTGGGGATTTTAATGGAAGACGCTGAACACTGGTTAAAATTCTGCCTTCACTTGAGAACTGGTCCACTGAGAAAAAATTATAACTATTGCTTCCCTTCCATTGAGAACACACTCTTCTATCAAAGGCATTCTGAGCCAGGAATCTGAGCTCTTTCAAGAAATCAGCTTATAGTAAGGCCAAATGAACTGCTAAGTCAGATCCCAGTGTGATGATATGCATATTCCCATTTATGATATGTCATCAATCATGGCTCATGCCTCTTGATTGCACTATGATAAATATGCCACTCAAGCAGGTTCATCGTACATCAGAGCCAGGGAAGGCAGCTTGGGAAATGCACAGGGTAATGGGCAACTTGGAAAGTGTGCAAATCCAGACAAGGCAGGTGCCTGCAGGACAAATCAGCCAAAGCCAACCAGATGTCTGGGCACCTGGTGTGGACATGCTTTCCCTCAGCCCAGATTTAGTTTCAGTGCATCACGTCTCTGTGTTCCAAGCAGCAGTTAACCTCAAGGCCGCACTAACATCTCTGGTGAGTTTACGGCCTCTGGTTCCTATCTACTCTCTGATTTAGGATATTCTTCAGCAGCAGATTGATCCTACATTCTGGCAAGTGCAGTTACATGGATCGTAATGTGCAAGTTCCCATGACCCCTCAGTCTTTCTTTCCAGCTGATGCACAAGTTAGACTCTAGTCCTCTCCAGATGTTTCATCTCACAATGTGAAATCCACCTTTCACTGGTATCTCTCACACAAATCAGAGCCAGATTGCCAAACTTCTTCACCTGACCTAATCGGCCAAAAACCAGAAAGCAGTATTTGCTGTTTTCCAATGATGTGGCCCACCGTGATTAACTTCCATAACACACAAACATGTTCCTCAAAAAGAAAGGCTAATGCTACATTCTAGAGAAAATGTATTACCCCTTGATATGGTTTGACTCTGTGTCCTCACCCAAATCTCATCTCAAATCGTAATCCCCACGTGTCGAGGGAGGGAGGTGATTGGATCACTTCCAATGCTGTTCTTGTGATAGTGAGTGAGTTCTCATGAGATCTGATTTTAAAAATGGCAGTTTCCCCTGTGCTCTCTCTCTCTTGCTGCCTTGTGAAGAAGGTGCTTACTTCCCCTTTGCCTTCTGCATAATTGTAAGTTTCCTGAGGCCTCCCCAGCCATGTGGAACGGTGAGTCAATTAAACCCCTTTCGTTTATAAATTACCCAGTCTCAGGTAATATGTTTACAGCAGTGTGAGAAAGGACAAATGCACCCCTCTCACCCTTTCTTTCCTGTTAAATTGTTTCAAAACTAGCTTTGGGGCATGTTAAAAATGTAGATGCGCCAGGCGGATAACTCATACCTGTAATCCCAGCACTTTGGGAGGGTGAATCACGAGGTCAGGAGATCGAGACCATCCTGGCTAACACAGTGAAACCCCGTCTGTATTAAAAATACAAAAAGTTAGCCGGGTATGGTAGCATGCACCTGTACAGTCCCAGCTACTCGGGGGGCTGAGGTGGGAGAATCACTTGAACCTAGAGGCAGAGGTTTCAGTGAGCTGAGATCGCACCACTGTACTCCAGCCTGGGCAATGGAGCAAGATTCCATCTCAAAAAAAAAAAAACAAAAAACAAAAAACAAACAAACAAACAAACAAAAAAAACCTGCCTGGGCCTCAAGTGCAGACCTATTAAATTAAAATTTCTGGGAATGGGGCTTACAGACTCTTGTTTTTTTATAAGCAGCCAGATAGTTCTGTGCATTGAAGTTTGAGAAGTTATTTGGGGTAGGTTTTCTCTGAGATGCCTTTCTGCCCTGATATTTTGTGGTTCTAGAAGCATTCAAAGAAAACTGTCAATGCACACCCCAAAGGCACACCCATGGGTCTCCTGCAGCACTGGCCACCATTCTCAGACCATTGCAGGACTGTGCAGAGGGAGTGATGGACAGGGGAAAATGGGACAGGGAAGAGCTAAGGGGTGGAAATCACAGGTCTGCTTTAAACTTCAGTGCCTTTACTTCTGGCTCTGCTGTCTTAGAGCAATTACATGACCTCACTAATTTCAGGTTTTCTAATTTCCAAGACCTGCAGTGTTAGATCAGTTACATGACCTCACTATTTCAGGTTTTCTACTTTCAAAATAGGAGTAAAAACAGATACTTCCCAGATGGCAGGAGGGTCAAATGAAGCAATAATGGGGCTGTATATAGCAGTGTTTAACTAAAATTTGAATTATTTAACTCTGTAAATGTTAGTTTTCTTCCCAGTTTCCCATTTGTAAATGATCCCTGGTTCGTGGGTTATTTTGAAGATCACCTTAGATGTATATGAGAGAGACTCTCTATGGATGACGTCGTGAAGAGCAGAGACCCTGAATCCCTTTACCTGTCGGGGAAGAGGGACAGACAAGGCCACCAGTTCAATCTGAGAAAAGGGCAGTGTGGTCCACTGAATAGTGTCCCCCCAGGACCTCCACCATCTGGTCCCTGGAACCTGTGATATGGTGACTTGGAAGGCAAAAGGGATTCTGCAGATGTGATTAAGAACTTTGAGTTGGGGAGATTATCTTGGGCCATCCAGGCGGGCCCTAAATGTAATCATAAATTTTCCTATAAGAGAAAGGCACAGGGGACTTGATGACAGTAGGGAAAGGCAGTGTGATGACACAGTCGGGGGGAAGGTGATGTGATGCAAGGAAGGGGCCAGGAGCCACGGGACGCAGGCGGCTCTGGAAGCTGAAAAGGCAAGGAAGCGATTCTCCCTAGAGCCTCAGTTAGAACCAGCCCTGCCCTGCAGACACCTCGGTTTTGTTCCCATAAGACTCAGTTTAGACTTCTGACCACCAGAACTATACATTCCCACTGTTTGAAGCCACCGAGTTCGTGGTAACTTTTACAGTAGCCACAGGAGAGGAATGCACGTATATGTAAAAGCAACACTATTGCTAAGAAAGTAAGGAGCACGTTTTCATAATTTACAGATGACAAGTATCTGAAATTTCAAGGGTAGTTTGAACTCACATATTTCCCCCACCAGCACTTTCAGGGCACTCACTCAGTGCCTGGCCTTGTGCAGCTCCGTATCACTCTGACAACCTAAAGTTTAGGCTGCTGCAGCCACTTTGCCCCACCTGAAGCATCTCAGGGGTGGGGGCTTGGGATGCTAAATTCTTCTCCATGCTGCAGGCCCAGGGTGCACTCAAGCTGGCACCGTGTTCCCCAGAGCTGGTCTCAGTATCTCCAGAGTGGGCGTCCTGGAATCCTCTCAGCCTGGGAGGTTCTCAGGGTGGCTCGAGCAGCCCTGTCCTCCCAGAGCCTGCTCAGGTCAGGAGACCCATGGAGGGAAGGGTAGGGACTTTCCTCCCAATCCCTAGAAGTCACTCCACCCACTATCCCAACCTTGCTTCCTTTTGGCCCCATTTGTCCTCTTGTCCTCACTTTGTCTGCCAGAATCATACTTCCGACCTATTGTAAAGGGTGGTTTTGCAGTAAAAATGAAGCTGATGCAACCAGTTCAATGCACAGAGGCCCCTGAGCTAAGAATAGGATGAGTGTGTAATTTCTCATCCACACCAGGACACTGCTGGGCTTGGCAAGCTCCCACTAAAGACAGCACAGTCACGAACCACAGGACTCAGGCCAGGGCAGGGAAAGTAAGAGGAGGCAGGCCCCTCTGTCAACCTCCATCTTCCCTTATCCGCAACTGGTGCTGCAGGCCTGCAGCTGCAGTAGGCTTCCAGGAGAGCCCTTCAGAAGACCTAAGGGCTGAGCAGAGTCCTCCGGGTGGAGAAGCAGGACACAGGCCTTTTATTTCCCTTTTCTTCCAGAACACCACCTGGATTAGAGAGAGCCACCTTTCCCAGGTGGGGCATTTGCCTCCTTTGACTGGCCCAGACTCATGATTATTCAAGGCTCTTGCCTGTAACTAGATCTTCCTAAGGAATCAGTGACTCTCTAGAACCCATCAGCAGAGGATCTTCTGCCATGTACACTGTTATCATGTCTCTTTTAGCCATCCATGAAGTTTCTATTTTCCAAGAGAGATGCCCAAAGCCTCCAAGCCACTTGCAGGGCAGTCAGGAATCACACACTTTGGATCCTATTACAGAGCAAGCCTTCCTTAATGCAGAACACCCCTTTCCCCTGCCCAGCTTTTCGGGTTCTTTTGTGATGACCTTCCCACTCTACCTCCTCTCAGGTGGGCAGATAACACTGGATACGCAGTGACAATTTTGAATTTCAAATAAACAACTTAAGTTTTTTAGTTTCTTTCTTTTTAAAAAATACCTATTGCCCTACCTTTTCCCAAGCCCCTCCACCAAATCTGAAGAACACAGTTTCCAGAACCCTATCACAATTTTATCATATCAAAAATACACACTTAAAGGCTTTTTAAATTTATTGACGTGTGAAGTAGTTAAAGTGGCAATTATATAATTACACAATAATTTGGTGGAGATGATATTTCAAATTATAAGATGCATAAAGGAAAGGTAATAAAAGGGTCTTAGGCTAAAGGCCTTCAAATTTGTGATATACAAAGAGCACAGACCACAACCATGAAGTCCAGGAGGGCCGGGTCTTGCACTTGTAGAAAGTGCACAATCAGGCTGGGCGTGGTGGCTCACACCTTTGGGAGACTGAGGTGGGCAGATCACCTGAGGTCAGGAGTTTGAGACCAGCCTGGCCAACATGGTGAAACCCCATCTGTACTAAAAGTACAAAAAATTTGCTGGGCGTGGTGGTGGGCACCTGAAATCCCAGCTACTCAGGAGGCTGAGGCAGGAGAATCATTTGAACCTGGGAGGCAGAGGTTGCAGTGAGCCGAGATCACGCCACTATGCTCCAGCCTGGGTGACAGAGTGAGACTCTGTCTCAAAAAGAAAGAAAGAAAGGAAGTGCACGTTCAGATGATGTCTCCTCCCGGCCTCACACTCTCAGGAAGGAAAAACAGAACAGCTGCGTAGATCCCACGGTCTCTTCCTGAAGCTTCCCTAACTCTAGCACCAGTTCCAGATGGGACAGCCCGTAGGCTGCTCAGGCAGTGTGTCAAAGGCTCACCTGATGTGCCAAGGCTTTCTGGCTTGGAAGCCCCTTTCCGTGCCATTTTGTTAAAAATCTGTAAACAGAAATTTAAAGTAAATTTTACCTATTTATTATTTTGTTTTATGCTAATATGCATGTGAAGTTAACAATTTTGGGGCCGTTCTATGAACATACCAGTGGTAAATACCCATTATAATGTCTCTTTCTGTTTTCTGAAAAATGTTCTTTCAATGCAGATAAATAGTCATTGAAAATCAGTAGAATGTGTGTCTTTTGGTCAAACAGCAGGAGAGCTGGGAAGGGAAGTTGAAAGGCCTGGGTAATTTTCATTTGTCAGTAGTGAAATCATCAGATTAATGAATGAAGAATGCATGATTTCCACCTTCATGAAGTCACTGCTAGTCTTAACCAGACACCATAAAAAAATGCAAGGATGTCCTGAGCTGGAAAGTTAAAATCCTGAGTGTTCCAGAATCATAGACTTTAAATCCTAAGGTTTAATCCTGACATTATGCCATCAGGAGCCTGGTGGCCAGGTAAGGTGGAAAATGTAAACTATTTTACCAATTTCAAAAGAGCTCTGGAAATTAGCCTATGAATCCTATAAGTGAAAACGTCCTCCAGCCAAAGACCTCAGGATCAGGCCTATAGTTGAACGAGTTGGATTTACTATTTGTTGGAGGGAGAGAGACTACACGCAGGGCACACCAGCGGGAACTGTGGGGTGTCTCAGGCAGAGGGGGTTTGCCAGGACTCATTACAGAACTGGGGCATGTTGGGTGATCTGGGGAGAGCGTTCAAGGAAGTGGGGCTTTGCTCCAGATTTGGTTGGTGTTTGGAAGAAGGGGATGCTATGCGATGCGTGGGTTAATCTTACCTGGAAGAAGGCAGACCAGAGCCAGGCAGCAGGCTTTTAACTATAAAGCAGCAGCACTCACTAGCATGAGCTGGGAGAGGGGGATATTAAGTCACTTTTATGGTTTGAACCATGTTCTTGCCTTGTCTGTGTTCAGACCTAATGACATAATGGTCTTGTTCTTTTTTTTTTTTTTTTTTTTGAGACAGAGTCTCGCTCTGTCACCCAAGCTGGAGTGCAGTAGCATGATCTCGGCTCACTGCAAGCTCCACCTCCCAGGTTCACGCCATTCTCCTGCCTCAGCCTCCCAAGTAGCTGGGACTACAGGCACCCGCCACCGCGCCCGACTAATTTTTTTGTAATTTTAGTAGAGACGGGGTTTCACCATGTTAGCTAGGATGGTCTCGATCGCCTGACCTTGTGATCCACCCGCCTCGGCCTCCCAAAGTGCTGGGATTACAGGTGTGAACCATCGCGCCTGGCCAGTCTTGTTCTTGTCTTATTCCGTCACACTCACCAAGTGGCTTCCCTGACCGTTCCTGTTCAGTGAACTGTTTATGTTCATCAGGAGAGACCAAGGCCCAGCTGTGGGCACCGGGCCAGCTCCTGCATATTAGGGGCCACCTTTGTCTTCTTAGAGCAATAATAACTGATGAACACCAGGACTAAGTTAGCACTGTGTGTTCTTGTTTACTGTGGGATTTTACTGAATAATATTTCATTACATTTCTTTCTCCAGAAATGCTGGGAAGGAATAATTTGGTGGAGACAATAGTTCAAATTATAGGATGCATAAAGGAAAGGTAATAAAAGGGTCTTGGGCTAAAGGCATTCAGGTCTCGCCGTATTCAAGTGTGCAATGATGTGTTGTAGCCACTGAGCCAAATCCTGGGAGACCACAAGAGGCTGATTGTGTCTGTCCCCATCAGTATCCAGGAAACTCACTTTCCCCAAACACACCTACAGCGAGGTAGTTCCCTAAGTTAGGCAGCCTCTATCCACAAGCCGCACCTGCATCTCTCCAGTACCTGAACACTTCCTTCATTCCACAAGCATTTCCAGACAGCCCACCTTCCCCTCACACTGCATCCTTCTCCTCAGGGACACAGAAACCCCCTCTCACTGCTGGTCCCAATTAGATGGGCAGGCCCCTCCCTGCTGCTCAAAGCACAACCAGAAACCAGGCTCAGAGGCAACCAGAACTCCGAAAGGTGTTCAGAGGAAGGCGGGCTGGTTTTGGGACCCCAGGGGGAGAAGGAAGGCACAGCAACAGGGTGCTTTATGGCCCCAAGACCAACAGAAGGTGACCCCAGCCTAGCACCCATGGCAGCCAGCTAGGCTTGCTCCCGCTCTGATGGAACAGGGCCCTCTGGCAATACCAGGCCAGCCTGACGCCACCTGACGGAGGAGGGACCTGAAGCCCTGTCCGCATAAGTGGCCCCAGGGTGGCTCCCCTCCTTGTGTACTGACAGCCCCTCCTCCCCACCCAGAAATATCTGGTTGGTGGGCACCTGCAGGGGATCCAAGCCTCTTCTTCAGACAGCCTGAGCCTTGGGCCCCACTGGGAGACACTCAGGGCAGAGCCTGGGGAAACTCCGTCTGCCCCTCAGCCTGCATCAGGAGGGATCCTGAGAGCCACAAGGACCCCCGAGAAACCAAGCAGGAGAGAACAACACAGCAGCGACTCTGGAAATTAGATGCCAGTAGAACCACAGCCTGCAAGATGGGCCAGGACCCATGTGCCAAACCTAAACAGGTCACTGCCTTCTAAAGCAAAAGAGTCACAGGGGACCCAGGTCACCTAACATGACAGGCAGAACGTCCACCAAACAACTGAAAACTCACCATCCTTCCAAGAGTGCAGAGATCACCACCAGCATGAGCACCACGATCAGCTGCTGCCAAGACCCAACTATCAGATGTTGGAATTATCTGACAAGGGCTCTAAAGTATCTGCCATTAAAAATGCTTCAGCAATGACAGGTTCTCTCGAAATAAATCAAACAATGGAAAATCTCAGCCCTTTCCTCACTGCCCCAGGGCTGGCAATCACTTGACATGGTTGCCTGTTACACCTGATAGCCCTCTTTGACTTCTTTTTTTTTTTTTTTTTATACTTTAAGTTTTAGGGTACATGTGACAATGTGCAGGTTAGTTACATATGTATACACGTGACATGCTGGTGCGCTGCACCCACTAACTCGTCATCTAGCATTAGGTATATCTCCCAATGCTATCCCTCCCCCCCTTCCCCCACCCCACAACAGTCCCCAGAGTGTGATGTTCCCCTTCCTGTGTCCATGTGTTCTCATTGTTCAATTCCCACCTATGAGTGAGAATACGCAGTGTTTGGTTTTTTGTTCTTGTGATAGTTTACTGAGAATGATGATTTCCAGTTTCATCCATGTCTCTACAAAGGACGTGAACTCATCATTTTTTATGGCTGCATAGTATTCCATGGTGTATATGTGCCACATTTTCTTAATCCAGTCTATCATTGTTGGACATTTGGCTTGGTTCCAAGTCTTTGCTATTGTGAATAGTGCCACAATAAACATATGTGTGCGAGTGTCTTTATAGCAGCATGATTTATAGTCCTTTGGGTATATACCCAGTAATGGGATTGCTGGGTCAAATGGTATTTCTAGTTCTAGATCTCTGAGGAATCACCACACTGACTTCCACAATGGCTGAACTGGTTTACAGTCCCACCAACAGTGTAAAAGTGTTCCTATTTCTCCACATCCTCTCCAGCACCTGTTGTTTCCTGACTTTTTAATGATTGCCATTCTAACTGGTGTGAGATGGTATCTCATTGTGGTTTTGATTTGCATTTCTCTGATGGCCAGTGATGGTGAGCATTTTTTCATGTGTTTTTTGGCTGCATAAATGTCTTCTTTTGAGACTGTCTGTTCATGTCCTTTGCCCACTTTTTGATGGGGTTGTTTTTTTCTTGTAAATTTGTTGGAGTTCATTGTAGATTCTGGATATTAGCCCTTTGTCAGATGAGTAGGTTGCGAAAATTTTCTCCCATATTGTGGGTTGCCTGTTCACTCTGATGGTAGTTTCTTTTGCTGTGCAGAAGCTCTTTAGTTTAATTAGATCCCATTTGTCTATTTTGGCTTTTGTTGCCATTGCTTTTGGTGTTTTAGACATGAAGTCCTTGCCCGTGCCTATGTCCTGAATGGTAATGCCTAGGTTTTCTTCTAGGGTTTTTATGGTTTTAGGTCTAACGTTTAAGTCTTTAATGCATCTTGAATTGATTTTTGTATAAGGTGTAAGGAAGGGATCTAGTTTCAGCTTTCTACATATAGCTAGCCAGTTTTCCCAGCACCATTTATTAAATAGGGAATCCTTTCCCCATTGCTTGTTTTTCTCAGGTTTGTCAAAGATCAGATAGTTGTAGATATGCGGCGTTATTTCTGAGGGCTCTGTTCTGTTCCATTGATCTATATCTCTGTTTTGGTACCAGTACCATGCTGTTTTGGTTACTGTAGCCTTGTAGTATAGTTTGAAGTCAGGTAGCGTGATGCCTCCAGCTTTGTTCTTTTGGCTTAGGATTGACTTGGCGATGCAGGCTCTTTTTTGGTTCCATATGAACTTTAAAGTAGTTTTTTCCAATTCTCTGAAGAAAGTCATTGGTAGCTTGATGGGGATGGCATTGAATCTATAAATTACCTTGGGCAGTGTGGCCATTTTCACGATATTGATTCTTCCTACCCAGGAGCATGGAATGTTCTTCCATTTGTTTGTATCCTCTTTCATTTCATTGAGCAGTGGTTTGTAGTTCTCCTTGAAGAGGTCCTTCACGTCCCTTGTAAGGTGGATTCCTAGGTATTTTATTCTGTTTGAAGCAATTGCGAATGGGAGTTCACTCATGATTTGGCTCTCTGTTTGTCTGTTATTGGTGTATAAGAATGCTTGTGATTTTTGTACATTGATTTTGTATCCTGAGACTTTGTTGAAGTTGCTTATCAGCTTAAGGAGATTTTTGGCTGAGACAATGGGGTTATCTAGATATACAATCATGTCGTCTGCAAACAGGGACAATTTGACTTCCTCTTTTCCTAATTGAATACCCTTTATTTCCTTCTCCTGCCTAACTGCCCTGGCCAGAACTTCCAACACTATGTTGAATAGGAGTGGTGAGAGAGGGCATCCCTGTCTTGTGCCAGTTTTCAAAGGGAATGCTTCCAGTTTTTGCCCATTCAGTATGATATTGGCTGTGGGTTTGTCATAGATAGCTCTTATTATTTTGAGATATGTCCCATCAATACCTAATTTATTGAGAGTTTTTAGCATGAAGGGTTGTTGAATTTTGTCAAAGGCCTTTTCTGCATCTATTGAGATAATCTTGTGGTTTTTGTCTTTGGTTCTGTTTATATGCTGGATTACATTTATTGATTTGTGTATATTGAACCAGCCTTGCATCCCAGGGATGAAGCCCACTTGATCATGGTGGATAAGCTTTTTGATGTGCTGCTGGATTCCGTTTGCCAGTATTTTATTGAGGATTTTTGCATCGATGTTCATCAGGGATATTGGTCTAAAATTCTCTTTTTTGGTTGTGTCTCTGCCCGGCTTTGGTATCAGGATGATGCTGGCCTCATAAAATGAGTTAGGGAGGATTCCCTCTTTTTCTATTGATTGGAATAGTTTCAGAAGGAATGGTATCAGTTCATCCTTGTACCTCTGGTAGAATTCGGCTGTGAATCCATCTGGTCCTGGACTCTTTTTGGTTGGTAAGCTATTGATTATTGCCACAATTTCAGCTCCTGTTATTGGTCTATTCAGAGATTCAACTTCTTCCTGGTTTAGTCTTGGGAGAGTGTATGTGTCGAGGAATTTATCCATTTCTTCTAGATTTTCTAGTTTAATTGCGTAGAGGTGCTTGTAGTATTCTCTGATGGTAGTTTGTATTTCTGTGGGATCGGTGGTGATATCCCCTTTATCATTTTTTATTGCGTCTATTTGATTCTCTCTTTTTTTCTTTATTAGTCTTGCTAGCGGTCTATCAATTTTGTTGATTCTTTCAAAAAACCAGCTCCTGGATTCATTAATGTTTTGAAGGGTTTTTTGTGTCTCTATTTCCTTCAGTTCTGCTCTGATTTTAGTTATTTCTTGCCTTCTGCTAGCTTTTGAATGTGTTTGCTCTTGCTTATCTAGTTCTTTTAATTGTGATGTTAGGGTGTCCATTTTGGATCTTTCCTGCTTTCTCTTGTGGGCATTTAGTGCTATAAATTTCCCTGTACATACTGCTTTGAATGCATCCCAGAGATTCTGGTATGTTGTGTCTTTGTTCTCGTTGGTTTCAAAGAACATCTTTATTTCTGCCTTCATTTCGTTATGTACCCAGTAGTCATTCAGGAGCAGGTTGTTCAGTTTCCATGTAGTTGAGCGGTTTTGAGTGAGATTCTTAATCCTGAGTTCTAGTTTGATTGCACTGTGGTCTGAGAGACAGTTTGTTATAATTTCTGTTCTTTTACATTTGCTGAAGAGAGCTTTACTTCCAAATATGTGGTCAATTTTGGAATAGGTGTGGTGTGGTGCTGAAAAAAATGTATATTCTGTTGATTTGGGGTGGAGAGTTTTGTAGATGTCTATTAGGTCTGCTTGGTGGAGAGCTGAGTTCAATTCCTGGGTATCCTTGTTGACTTTCTGTCTCGTTGATCTGTCTAATGTTGACAGTGGGGTGTTAAAGTCTCCCATTATTAATGTGTGGGAGTCTAAGTCTCTTTGTACGTCACTCAGGACTTGCTTTATGAATCTGGGTGCTCCTGTATTGGGTGCATATATATTTAGGATAGTTAGCTCTTCTTGTTGAATTGATCCCTTTACCATTGTGTAATGGCCTTCTTTGTCTCTTTTGATCTTTGTTGGTTTAAAGTCTGTTTTATCAGAGACTAGGATTGCAACCCCTGCCTTTTTTTGTTTTCCACTTGCTTGGTAGATCTTCCTCCATCCTTTTATTTTGAGCCTATGTGTGTCTCTGCATGTGAGGTGGGTTTCCTGAATACAACACACTGATGGATCTTGACTCTTTATCCAATTTGCCAGTCTGTGTCTTTTAATTGGAGCATTTAGTCCATTTACATTTAAAGTTAATATTGTTATGTGTGAATTTGATCCTCTCATTATGATGTTAGCTGGTTATTTTGCTCGTTAGTTGATGCAGTTTCTTCCTAGTCTGGATGGTCTTTACATTTTGGCATGATTTTGCAGCGGCTGGTAACAGTTGTTCCTTTCCATGTTTAGTGCTTCCTTCAGGAGCTCTTTTAGGGCAGGCCTGGTGGTGACAAAATCTCTCAGCATTTGCTTGTCTGTAAAGTATTTTATTTCTCCTTCACTTATGAAGCTTAGTTTGGCTGGATATGAAATTCTGGGTTGAAAATTCTTTTCTTTGAGAATGTTGAATATTGGCCCGCACTCTCTTCTGGCTTGCAGTTTCTGCCGAGAGATCCGCTGTTAGTCTGATGGGCTTCGCTTTGTGGGTAACCCGACCTTTCTCTCTGGCTGCCCTTAACATTTTTTCCTTCATTTCAACTTTGGTGAATCTGACAATTATGTGTCTTGGAGGTGCTCTTCTCGAGGAGTATCTTTGTGGTGTTCTCTGTATTTCCTGAATCTGAACGTTGGCCTGCCTTGCTAGATTGGGGAAGTTCTCCTGGATAATATCCTGCAGAGTGTTTTCCAACTTGGTTCCATTCTCCCCGTCACTTTCAGGTACACCAATCAGACGTAGATTTGGTCTTTTCACATAGTCCCATATTTCTTGGAGGCTTTGTTCATTTCTTTTTATTCTTTTTTCTCTAAACTTCCCTTCTCGCTTCATTTCATTCATTTCATCTTCCATCGCTGATACCCTTTCTTCCAGTTGATTGCATCGGCTCCTGAGGCTTCTGCATTCTTCACGTAATTCTCGAGTCTTGGCTTTCAGCTCCATCTGCTCCTTTAAGCACTTGTCTGTATTGGTTATTCTAGTTATACATTCGTCTAAATTTTTTTCAAAGTTTTTAACTTCTTTGCCTTCGGTTTGAATTTCCTCCTGTAGCTCGTAGTTTGATCGTCTGAAGCTTTCTTCTCTCAACTCGTCAAAGTCATTCTCTGTCCAGCTTTGTTCCATTGCTGGTGAGGAACTGCGATCCTTTGGAGGAGGAGAGGTGCTCTGCTTTTTAGAGTTTCCCGTTTTTCTGCTCTGTTTTTTCCCCATCTTTGTGGTTTTATCTACTTTTGGTCTTTGATGATGGTGATGTACAGATGGGTTTTGGTGTGGATGTCCTTTCTGTTTGTTAGCTTTCCTTCTAACAGACAGGACCCTCAGCTGCAGGTCTGTTGGAGTTTGCTAGAGGTCCACTCCAGACCCTGTTTGCCTGGGTATCAGCAGCGGTGTCTGCAGAACAGTGGTTTTCGTGAACCGCGAATGCTGCTGTCTGATCGTTCCTCTGGAAGTTTTGTCTCAGAGGAGTACCCGGCCGTGTGAGGTGTCAGTCTGCCCCTGCTGGGGGGTGCCTCCCAGTTAGGCTGCTCGGGGGTCAGGGGTCAGGGACCCACTTGAGGAGGCAGTCTGCCCGTTCTCAGATCTCCAGCTGTGTGCTGGGAGAACCACTGCTGTCCTCAAAGCTGTCAGACAGGGACATTTAAGTCTGCAGAGGTTACTGCTGTCTTTTTGTTTGTCTGTGCCCTGCCCCCAGAGGTGTAGCCTACAGAGGCAGGCAGGCAGGCCTCCTTGAGCTGTGGTGGGCTCCACCCAATTGGAGCTTCCTGGCTGCTTTGTTTACCTAAGCGAGCCTGGGCAATGGCGGGCGCCCCTCCCCTAGCCTCACTGCCGCCTTGCAGTTTGATCTCAGACTGCTGTGCTAGCAATCAGCGAGACTCTGTGGGCGTAGGACCCTCCAAGCCAGGTGCAGGATATAATCTCCTGGTGCGCCGTTTTTTAAGCCCGTCGGAAAAGCGCAGTATTTGGGTGGGAGTGACCCGATATTCCAGGTGCTGTCTGTCACCCCTTTCTTTGACTAGGAAAGGGAACTCCTTGACCCCTTGTGCTTCCTGAGTGAGGCAATGCCTCGCCCTGCTTCGGCTCGCGCACGGCGCACTGCACCCACTGTCCTGCGCCCACTGTCTGGCACTCCCTAGTGAGATGAACCCGGTACCTCAGATGGAAATGCAGAAATCACCTGTCTTCTGCGTCGCTCACGCTGGGAGCTGTAGACCGGAGCTGTTCCTATTCGGCCATCTTGGTTCCAGACAAAAAGTCTTTGACTTCTTTTAGGGGCGGGTGCCTTTGCCTGTGTAACCACTGTTCATAGGAAAGTGTCCCCATTCACATGACTCCAGTGGTTTCTGCCACCCGTCTGCACCGATTGAGTGACTGAGGGGCTCTGCAGCGCTAGCAAACATTCACCTGGGGAGATAGAGAAGATGCTTTAGATCATACTCTCCTGGAAAATGCCTTGAAACCCTCTTTCAACATTTCTTCCTCCTAGTCCTTCTGTCCCAGGCTTTGAGCAGGTTATTCCCTCATCAGCCACGTCCTGTCGGCTGCCATTTTCCATCTCATATCTGACCTATAAATCACATCCTACATCTCACCTTAAGACTGGAGGGAGATCCAGCTCCCACTGCCACACCTGGTCAGCCTCCCAGCATATGGGACTCAACAAAGTTTAGGGCAGAAGTGGAAAGAATATGCTGTAGCTCCCAGTTCTTTTTCCAGAATCTAAAAACAACTGAATTATACCACTCTCTGGCCCAGAGCCTTCAGTCGCCCCTACTGCTCTTAGGGAAAGCACTAGGGAATCCCGAAGACCCCCATCTCCCATCCCAGACAGTGCCTTCTCCCACCCTCACTCCTCCTGCCCACCGCCACCCTGCCCACCCTGGCCCTCTCTGGTGTTCCTCTCATGCATACCTCTCAAGGTGCACCAGGCGGCTGCCTCTGGGTACTTGCCCAGCCCTGTCCCCTCTGCTCCCCTCTCGCAGGCCATCCCACCACACTCGTCCCACCTGGCTTGTGTCAATGTTCCATTACTGTTCACCGGCTGCCCACGCACCTCCAGCTCCACATCGTGAGTATTTCTCCCCCTTCTCATCTCATGTCCTAAAAGCATTCAACAAATATGTACTCAGTAAACGGTCTCTGCTGCTTTCCATGTGTAATGACCCCTCCCTAATGACCTCACCAGATGCCTCCTGGACCCACTGCCAAAGCCCCTGTATTTATTTATTTATTTTTTGAGACATGGTCTCGCTCTGTTGCCCAGGCTGGAGTGCAATGGCACAATCTTGGCTCACAGCAACCTCCGCCTCTTGGGTTCAAGTGATTCTCCTGCCTCAGCCTCCCAAGTAGCTGGGATTACAGGGATGCACCACAATGCCTGGCTAATTTTTGTATTTTTAGTAGAGATGGGGTTTTTCTGTGTTGTCCAGGCTGGTCTCGGACTCCTGACCTCAGGTGATCTGCCCGCCTCAGCCTCCCAAAGTGATGGGATTACAGGCGTGAGCCACTGTGCCCGGCCTAGCCCCTGTGTTTCTGAGCTGTGCTTTTTGGTATTTGGGTCCTGGTAAATATCACTTAGGAAGAGACAACTGACAATGTCTTTCTAAACTTTCCTTTTTCTCACCAGAGAATGTGTTGCTAGACGTCATTGTCATGGTGGCAGGAGGAATTTGTTAAACTTCAAAGGAATGCCTGTTTGTCATAAAGCCTTTAAAACAAGAAGATGGCATCTCCTATGTGGGAGGAGTGAGGTTTGATCCTGCGGAAAATAAACTTAGCTGACATTTTCGAGTGCGTCTTGTGTTCTGGGCTGTCCTTGCGACAGTGTCTTGGCAGGTAGTACTATAGTCACTCCTTTAACGTGGGGACACCCGAGTTTGGATAACGTGAGCAGTGTGCTGGAGGTCAGTCGGCAGGGGGCAGAGTTGGATTTGAAGGTGAGGTCGTGTTTGTGGGGCCACTGTTTTTAATCACGGTACTAGAGGCACCACAGAGAGTGTAGAGAAAACAGAACCGCAAGGCCTGAGTGCCTTAAAGAGAGGTTTTCAGAATCAGGACCCAGCATGCTTATTCTTGCTGCAGTGCCTTAACACGCTAAACAGCGCTTAACCGCGCTAAAACATCCCATGGGAAACTGTGACTGCAAGGCCCGGGGGATGTTCCTTCTCAGCCCATGCCCTGCCCATGCCCCAAGTAAAAGCAGTTTTAGGGACCACTAGTGTCCCAGGAATCATGGTATTAAAGAGTTGTTGGGTGTGGTGGCTCATGCCTGTAATCCCAGCTGCTTTGGAGGCTGAGGCAGGAGAATCGCTGGAACCCAGGAGGCAGAGGCTGCAGTGAGCCGAGATCGCGCCATTGCACTCCAGCCTGGACAACAAGAGCCAAACTCCAATTCAAAAAAAAAAAAAGTTAACCTTTCAAAGCAAGATGGTTTTAGCCATAAATTTTCATAGCAACAGAGGACAGCACATACCAGTGACGGAACCGATACTTTGAATCAAGCCAGCCAGAGGGGTCTACACCCCCTTCCACTGCAGACACCAAAACACAGGGTGCCATTCTCCATTCCCTGCCATTTACAAAGAAGAATGGACAAAGTAAGTTTGAGGTTAACGAAAGCAGCCTCAGGATGTTGAGTTCCTAGTCTCAGTTCAAACAGCTATTTGTGTGAGGCTGGGCAAGTCGCTGGGGTGGGCCTCAATCCCCTCATCTGATTTTACCTGAGGCGCCACCAACTCTAGGAAGTCTCCCATGATTGTCTAAGGCTGGGATCCCTCCCTGTGTGGCCCTTACTCTCTTTTTACCTAATTCCCTTCCTAAGAACGAGCTCCTTCCAGCTAAGATAAGCTTTCTCATGACTGCACCCCCTGTGTCTGGCAGAGGGGACAGCACCTGACAGATGCCTGCCTTGGAGGCTGGGGCTGCCACAACAAAGAACCACAGCCTGGGGGCTTAAACACAGACGTGCATTTCCTCACAGTGCTGGAGGCTGGAAGTCCAAGATCAAGGTGGGCAAGGCTGGCTTCTCCTGCAGCCTCTCTCTTCGGCTTGTAGATGGCTGTCTTCCCTGTGCCTCAGACGATCACCCCTCTGACTGTGTCTGTATCCTAACCTCATCTTCTTATAAGGACACCAGTCAGAATGGATTAAGGTTCACCCTCATGGCCTGATTTTAACTCAATTACCTCTTTAAAGGCCCTCTCCAAATAAGATCACAGTCTGAGGTACGGTGGTTGGGCTTCAACATATAAATTTGAAGAATCTTAATTCAGACCACAACGGGGTCTCACATGTCTCAGGTGAATGGACTGAATCTCAGCCTGCAGTTCAATGGGATCACATCCATGTGAATCTGAATTGCAGCTGTGGGTTGACCTCAGCCAGTTGGCTTTGGCTCTCCTCTGCCCAGTTATTTCCAGGAGTCTGGAAGAATCTCAGGAGAGCTCAGGGAACCTGGAACAAACACCTACTGCTGGCCCCCACTGCTGCCACTCCTGCTCCCTCCTGATGGCAGGGTCCCTGTCTCCCCCAGTCACAGACACGCGGATGAGCCCCCATCTGCCTGGCTGACCCACTGCCTCCTGAGCCCAAGTCTCTTTGGCTGAGGCCCCAGTACACACCAACACCATTTTCAAAATGACTCCTTCACAATTTCTCTTTAAGGCCAGACACCAAAGTCCCCCAGACCTGTCTCTGGAACAAATACTCTTATCTTTTGTACTTGAACTAACCTTTAAAAAAAAAAAAGCTTGGAACCTGATGCCATAGACGAGCTCTGAGCTTCTGTATATTTGGAAATTCTGAATCTAATTGAATAGCATGAACTTGTCTTTTCCACAAAGGATTTGAGGCACTGTGTTTTTAAGTGACTAAGCCCACGTCCCTCTCCAGACACCACCTGGGGCTTGGCAATGAGGATGCTGGCGGGGGTTTAATATGGTCACACGGGAGCCAGAGAACCAACAAGGTTGACCAGGGCACAGGGGGCATGCTGAAGTATGGCTGGGACTGCAGCAAATTCTAATTCCAAGTGGATGGTAATTTCTTGAGCATTATGATGTTTGAAAAGTACAACAGAAGTCTATATTGTAATGTAGTGCCTTCTTATCCACAGGGATATGTTCCAAGACCCACAGTAGATGCTTGAAACCTTGGGTAGTAGTGAACCCTACATATGTTTTTTCTCTGATATATACATACCTATGATAAAATTTAATGTATAAATTAGGCACAGTAAGAAACTAACAGCACTTACTAGCAATAAAATAGGACAATCATAACCATATGCTGTAATGAAAGTTATGTGAATGTGGTCTCTGTCACAAAACATCTTATTGTCTTCGCCTATTTTCTGACTGTGGTTGACCACAGATAACTGAAGCCACAGAAAGAAACACCACAGGACATGTGTGGTGGCTCACGCCTGTAATCCCAGCACTTTGGGAGGCTGAGCTGGGCAGATCATCTGAGGTCAGGAGTTCGAGACCAGCCTGGCCAACATGGTGAAACCCCAGCTCTACTAAAAATATAAAAATTAGCTGGGCGTGGTAGCAGGCGCCTGTAGTCCCAGCTACTTGGGAGGCTGAGGCAGGAGAATGGCGTGAACTTGGGAGGCAGAGCTTGCAGTGAGCCGAGATCGCGCCACTGCACTCCAGCCTGGGTGACGGAGCAAGACTCTGTCTAAAAAAAAAGAAAAGAAAGTAACGCCACAGATGGGGGTGACTGTATGGTAATTACCAAAATGTGTAGGAGAAAAACATACTCACTTTAACCCTGACATATTGATTTCACCAAGACTATCTTTATCTTAAATGACAGCTTAAAATAATGTGTTTGAAAAACAATTACACTATTCATATTAATACAAAGATACTAAATGGCGAATTCTTGGCCGTTTTCATTTACCACAGAAAGAAAAGGGGGCAAATATAGTTGGAAAAAGATTAAACTCTGTAGCTTCATAAGGTCCTTCAATGTAAAGATGAATAGCTTCAACATGAAGTGAAAAGCATCTGCCACAATCTTCTAAAATTACTGGGAATATAATTTACCAGCAGCCTTGGTGCTGAGACATAACACACTCTCTCTCCATTGTTACCCATTGCCCTGAATATGTGGTCAGTGACTATCAACGCGTTGCGAGTGGAGGAAGGCAGGATCAGAGATATCGCTGCCCAAAAAAGCAACAATAGCAAACAGCAGCAGCAACACAGAATGATGGAGCCTCCTGCCACACTCTTCAAAGCGCTGCAGCCAGGAGGACACAGAGAAGAAGGTGGTGTGGGCCTGCAAAGGACAGACTCTGAATCAGTGCGACCCACCCCGCGTGTCCCTCCAACCCAAATAGCGGATCCCTCTCCCCACCCTACGCTGCCAGTCTCGAGTGAGGCTCATTGAGAAGGGAAGTTGTAAGTTGGAGGGAAAAAGTTTTAAGAGAGCCCATGAGTGCAGAAGTCCCGCCTCCCACCAAGGATCTCAGCAGATGCAGGAAAGTCACAGGCAGGAGGTCTTCAGGTGTCTTCCCTATGGGCAGGAAGGAAAGGGGATGTGACTATAACCAAATTCCTGCTCCCACCAGCCCTCCAACTACCAGCCCTAACAGCCAAATCCATGGACATTTTATCTGTCCTGACTGGAGGTTGAAGGGTGTAAGGAGAGAGGTTGGGAAATTTCACCGGGAGTACGCGGCTAACTGAGAAAGCTGAATAAGAGTTCACTCACCCCAAAGACCCAGAATTTCATGAATTAGAGCAATAAATAATGATATAGATCTCCTTCCAGGGTAATGCCTAAGATGTATTGGAGCACCAACAGACCAACATCAACAGCAACAAAGTAAAGACAAAAACGCCCAGGCTGTCCATCCTAGGGGCTGGCCTTCCTCTCAGAACCCCAGGCCAGGAAAGCAGGAAGAAGGGGGAGCACAGAGTCTGAAAGGGGCTGAGACCTGCTTTTTCAGAGGAATTTAAAGATCCACATGGAGCTGCCCAAATTAAGCAAAAGTAAGAGTGAAATAAATGGCAAGGCATTCCTGCAAATGCACTGCAGGGGAACAGTGAACACAGGGTGGACCATGGTCTGTAAAGAAAGACAAAGATTTCATTCTGCAGCAAAATATATAACTGAATCCATGCAAGAAAGTTCTCCAAAATGTTGTGTAAGAAGTTAGTAAGAAATCGATTTCAATAAAAAAGAGCTAAAAGATAGAAAAGCAAAATGAAAGGTAAATTGCAGAGTTTTGGAAACAAATTGAAGAGCAAAAACTCATTTCAGAACGGGAAGAAAAAAAAAAAAACCTACCCGAACTGTAAATAGCAGGAAACAGAATAGACAATGCCAAAAATAACAAAGCTACCATCATAGAGGAAGAATTTCAGATCTCCAAAGGGAATAAGAGGAATAAAACACATCATTGCATATTCAAGCCAAAATGAGGAAAAAGAAGGAAAATTCATTTTGCATAAATAAATATACCATGTATGTGATGGTAGGAAATTAATTTCAGAAAGTAAATGTTATAACTCATGAATTTGTAAAAATAACAAAGATAATTGCACTATGAAAATTAGGTAAAAGGGAAGATTACCACAAAATGAATGAATTGCCCATCCTATTAAACATCTTTCAATTTTCTCTCAATAGTAGTCAACAGATACTCTTCTGAATTGATAAATATTAAAGCATATCACAGAGTGTTGTATAAGGAACCTGCAGAAAACCTAAAAACAAAAAGATAACTAATAATATATTGGGGTTTGAAGTGAGAAGTGGAGAATTAATAGAAACTGTCAGGTTGATAAATCATGAACTATAGGTTGAATTATGTAAAATTATATAGGTAACCACTTAAACACATAAAAGCAATAAATCTTTCATTTTAACAAAAGGATTGCACATAATCAGAAGGAGGGGGAAATAAAAAAATCCAAAAGGGAATGCAAAAGAAATATTAATTACAGATATTGAAAAAAATATTAAACCAAATATATCAGCAATATGTATTAAAAATATAAGTGCAGATCCAAGATAAATAAACCTAAAACAAAGTGCCTCAAAAAGGTTAAACATAAAATTGAGTATAAAATAATAAGAAATACATATTGGTCTGTGTCTCCAGTTTCTGACACAGAGCTCCTAATACCCTTGTAATTTCCTGAGTGATGGGGGTACTGGGAGCATCTTTTGTTCTAATATTGGTTGGGAGCATCTTTGACTGGGTTCCTGGTACAGAGCTTCCAATCCCTTGGAATTTCCTGGGTGATAGGAGCATCTTTTGTTCTAATGAACGACTCTTGGTGGAATCCTAGATGAGGGCTGGTCACCAGAAAGACCAAGCCATGGTTAGAAGCTTGGAACTTTCAGCCCCACACCCCATCCTCTAGGGAGGAAAGAGGAGTTGGAGATTGAATCAATAATCAATCATGCCTACATGATGAAGCCTCCTTAAAAATTCCTAAGTACAGGTGCGGGAGCTTCAGGGTTGGGGAACACGTGGTGGTGCTCCTGGAGAGGCCATGGCAGCTCCATACCCACCCCCACCATATCTTTTCCTGTATTTCTCTCCCATTTGGCTGTATTCTTTATAATAAGTGGATAAACATAGTAGTGTTGCCCTGGGTTCTCTGCGCTGTTCCACCAAATGACTGGACCTAAGAAGGGGGGCGTGGGAACCTCCGATTTATAGCCAAGTTGGACAGAAGCTGTGGGTGACCTGCAGACCCACCACTTACAACTGGCATCTGGAGCAGGGCAGTCCTGGGAATTGAGCCCCTCCCCTGTGGGGCTGGCTCTAACTCCAGTTAGTGTCAGAGTTGAGCTGAACGGTAGGACACCCAGCTGGTGCTGGAGAATGGGTGGGATTTTTCCCCACACATGTGGAGACGGGAGGTGTTGTGTGAGTGTAAGAATGAACGAGAGAGGCATCTCAGCATAAGAAATCAGTGGGGCTGATTTTAAAAGCAGACAAATGTGAATTCAAGGTTAAGTATTGAAAATAGAATGAAAATCCGGTAAATCGTTAAACATCCTGTGGTAAATGGAAGGATGATTGAAAGAGGAATGCTGCTGACAGGGAGCGTGGCCCCAGCCAGGCCAGTGAGCAAAGCCAGGGGTGGAACTCCCACAGACCCGCCCAGGTCATTCTCAGAGAGGGACCCATTCACAGGCACTGATCATACAAACCCCTCAGAAACACCTCAGCACATTATAAATATTAGAAATAGAACAAAAGGCATTTTGCTTAAAGCATAAGGTAATGTAACTAGAAATTAATTTTTAAGTTAAAAAATGTGGAAATTTTAAAACACTCAACAAAGCTCAGTTCGGGCTGGTCTGAGTGCAGTGGGGTGTACAAGGAATTGATTACAAGCAGTTACAGGTTTCTTTGCTCCTTTTCCATTTCCACTGCTGCTTCACTTCACTAGCCTTTATTTAAAAAGTCAGCTTGAAGAAGGTACAACAATTCAACTTATAGAATATCCAGAAAATACAAATGAAAACATTGCATATTAAGACGTATGGACTGCTGTTAAAGCTTTGATCAGAATAAAATGCAGAGCCAAAAATACTTATCTGATTAAATAAGAATAATTGGAAACACATGAATTAGGCATCTATTGAATAACTTAGAACAACAACAACAAAATAAAAGTAGAAGAGAACTGGCTGGGCGCGGTGGCTCACGCTGGTAGTCCCAGCACTTTGGGAGGCTGAGGCGGGTAGATCAACTGAGGTCAGGAGTTTGAGACCAGCCTGGCCAACATGGTGCAACCTCTACTAAAAATACAAAAAAAAAAAAAAAAAAAAAAAAATTAACCGGGAGTGGTAGTGGGTGCCTGTAATCCCAGCTACTCAGGAGGCTAAGGCAGGAGAATTGCTTGAACTCGGGAGGTGGAGGTTGCAGTGAGCCAAGATGACGCCATTGCACTCCAGCCTGGGCGACAGTGCGAGACTTCCTCTCAAAAAAAAAAAAAAAAAAAAAAAGTAAAAGGATCATGGCTGAATCCTGAGGATATCTTATTTCATGTAATGTGAAATAAGTCAGTCACAAAAGGACAAATACTATATGAATCCACTTGTATCAGGTACCTAGCCAAATTTATAAAGACCAAAAGGAGGCCAGGTGTGGTGGCTCACGCCTGTAATTCCAGCACTTTGGGAGGAGGAGGCAGGCAGATCACTTGAGGCCAGGAGTTCGAGACCAGCCTGGCCAACATGGTGAAACCCCATCTCTACTAAAAATATAAAAAATTAGCTGGGATTGGTGGTGTGCTCTGGTAATCCCAGCAACTCTGGAGGCCGAGGCATGAGAATCGCTTGAACCCAGGAGGCAGAGGTTGCAGTGAGCAGAGATTGCACCACTGCACTCTAGCCTGGGTGATAAAATGAGACTCTGTCTCAAAAAAAGAAAAAAAAAAAAAAAGGACCAAAACAAGAGTGGTTGATGTTTGATAGAGACAGGGTTTCAATTTGGGAAGATGAAAAGAGTTCTGGGAATATGTGGTTGTGAAGACTGTACAACAATGTGACTGTATTTAATGACACTGAATGGTACACTTAAAACTGGTTAAAATGATAAATTTTATGTTATGTATATTTTACGAAAATTTAAAAATATACAATAATTTTTAAAAAGTAAAATAGAATGAAAATATTAAAGATAAAAGCAGAAAACTAAAAATTAGAAAACATACCTGCAGAATTTGTTGATGGGAAGTATTTATCAAAGGTGAACACACAGAACTCTAACACAGCAGCAGAGGAAATGGTAGGAAGGCCATTGGCAGAAAAAAAGGAAATTTAGAAAGCAGTGCAAAATGTTACACGTGACGGTGGAGAGAAGACAAGAAAGAGTGTGGAACTGCAGCGCTGCAGAAAGGTGGCATTCCCGAAGCGGGCTGTGTGCAAACACAGGGGGCGTCTCGTCACAAAGAGTTTGAGAAAGATAGAATCTGTGGGCCGCATCCCCAGGGGCCATAACTTTGAGACCCCTTCCCCAACTCAGGACAAGCTATGGCATTAGAAGGTCAAACGCATATGAAGTAAACAGTAATTACAAAAGGAGCTATCCATGGTGAGGTCAGAAACACTGATAGACGGAAGGTCTAGGGAGGTTGGGAAGGGTTTGTACCACATAAAAAATGAAGGAATGAGAAAAAGTTAAATTATGTAAGAGTTCCTTCCTGAGGCGTACACCTCCAGGGGGCTCTGCTTAAAGCTTCTGTCAGTCTTTTCTCCAACTCACTGGGGTCCCCGTGAGTGCAATGACCAGCTACATCTAACCCACCATGCTGCCCCGACTAGTTTGTCCCACAGGCTCCCAGGGCCCAGAGGAAGGGCTGAACCGTGTGTTGGGCCCAGCACTGGCTGGAGAAGCACCTGCAACAACTGTGGCTTCTGCTGTGCTGGCCCACTGCTGTCACCTGGGAGGGCTGGGTCAACGCAGGGACCCCCAAGACCCTGCAGACAGGTCCTCGGACTGCAAAGTCTAAGGGTCCGATGTCTTAAAAATATAAACCGGTAAAACTCATGGCAAGCTAAATCAATAGGCACGGGAGAAAGGAGAAATGCACACAATTACAAACGGAAAAAGGAGAAAAAGCCACAAATACAGAGGAAAGAAAACACCTGAAGTGCATATATTACAAAACTACGCAACTATGTTGAAAAGTGGATGGAATTAATTTTATTTTTAAAAGTGTCATTAAAATGGACTCTAGAAGGGCTCGAGGACCTAACTTGCCTGATGAGCAAAATCCAGAAATATACCACGGCAGGCCCAGACAGCCCCAGCTAGTTCTTCTACACTTAAGCAGAAAATAATCCAAAACCAATAGATGATTGTAGAATATAGAGGTTTTTGTTTTATAATATTTCTTCCTTTAAGTCAGCATAAAGTTAAATCTGGACAAAAAACACATAAAAGCAAGATGTAGAATGATGAATCTTAATTATAAATATTGATAACCAAAGTCATGATACTAATAAGTAAAGAACATCTCAGGAATACACTAATGATTTGGTCTTAAGTATTCTATTAATATAATTAAACATACTACTAGAGCAAAGGAAAAGACCTTCTGATAATCCCTCTGGACACTGAGAAGGCTTTGACAAAAATCTAACATCTACATTTTCCCCAGAGAGTCTTAATAGTTTGAGAACACACAGATACTTTTTTATTATGGCAAGGAAAATACATGTCTTCATACAAGTTAAACGCTGAGACATTAAAACGTCCCACTGATGTCACGAACAAGATAAGCATGCCACCTGAATCACTGTGACTCAACACTGATCTCAAATCAACTAGATACAAGAAAGAAATAAGAGACACATTGGAAAGGAGAAGTCAAAAGTATACCTTAGAAACAAGTAGGAATCACAATTTGTGGTTGATTATAACATTCATACATAAAAACCAACTACTTTCTTATACAATGGGATAAAATAGAAAATAAAGTGGAATAAATCATTCTATTGAAAATGATAGCCAAATGATAAAACATCTAGAAATAAACTATAAATTCAAAGCACCTTAGTGAACAAAATCATAAAACACTACTAAGTTACATAAAATTAGACTTAAACACAAGATTTCATGCTTTTGAATAGGAAGACTCAATCTGTAAATTCATTGTGACTCTAATTGAAAAAAGATTCATATGAGAGAGAGATTCAGAGTTGATGGGAGTGTTGACTTGAAAATACTGATATTAGTATGAATAATGCTTTAGAAATGAAAGGCATTCATAGAGATAAATAGAACAGAAACAGAACCAAACACTTAAAGAAATTTAGTTTACAAATAAGGCTGCATTTTGAACAACTGGGGAAAACACTATGACTGTATTTTAGAAATGCATTATTACATATTTATTGATACTGCTGACCACCATTTCGAGGAAAAAGTATGGATTTTTCCCTCATGTCCTGCAACAAATGAATTCCAGGGAGTCTGAAGATGTGAAGGTAAACCAATAAAACCATAAAGTTTCAGAAGAAAATGCGAGTAAGTCTATTTATAATCTCAGAATGAGGAAGGCTTTTAAAAACTGGAAACAAATCCCACGATCGACAAAGAAAAATACTCACAAATTGACAACATAAAAATTTAAACTCTATGCCAATAAATAAGGAAATCAATAAATAACATCGAAAGACAAATGATAAAAATATTTTAAAGACATAAGACAAAAATGTCCCAAAGTGCATGAGCAAATTAAGAAAAAGCCAAATAACCCAATTAGGAACTGGGTAAAATATATAAATGTATCAAAATTAAAACTACAAAAAAATTTTAAAAGATGTCCCATTTTATACACAAAATAAACCAAAATCAGAATAATATTCGTAAATATCATGTTTCACCAATTATATTGGGAAAAACATTAAGTTTGAAAATACCCAGTGCTATTATAGAAAGCTGAGAAATTGGGCCTTTTATTGTACTCTTGATGGAGTTACATCCTTCGATCAGTTTCTAGAAGATAATCTGGCAATAGCTATCAAAATTTTAAATACATGTAGCCTTAAACCCAGCAATTCCATTTCTAAGTTGGAATTTATACCGTTTTAGTCACAAAACTATGTCAAGATGTATGTACAAGTATGCCAATTATAGATTTGTATATAAAAATAAAAACTGGAAGTATCCATATGTTCACCAATAAAAGGCTATTCAAATAAATGATAGTCCGCTGAGATAATGGAATGCTAAGCAGCTACTAGGAGGAATGAGGTAGATCTTTATATGTTATTATGGGACGACCTCTAAGACAAAACACCACATGAAGAATGCAAGGTGCAGCGCCCTTCACAGAGCGTTAGTGCTGGAAAGGGAAGGTCTCTCTCCATAACCCCCGTCCCTCCTTCTTTGGCCTCTTATCTTCTTTTCTTCCTTTCTAGAAATGCCCTTAGAAGCTCATTAGTGGTCCCCTCTGAGAGAGAAAACAGGCAGTATGGGAGACTGTTGTTTTTAACCACTCATACTTTTCTAACTATGTGCACATCTATTCCTTATTATTACTTTATTAAAGGACAGAGAAGTTATTTGAGAGTCCAAAATATGCACAACTTGTTTGCATTTTGTGTTCCTGTATAAAATACAAAACCAAAAAGGTTTCTTTTTAAAGCAAAAATGTGGGAGGGATCAATTTTGGGATAATGATAAGAAATGAAGCATTCCTTTTATATATCAAAACACTTCTACTTGTTTCTAAAGACACTGTAACAGAAAAAAAAAAAAAAACCGAAAATCTTGTGCATGGTTCATCCATAGCATGTGGAAGGAATGCCTGCTGAGGAATGATCCTGCTCCAAGCCGCCTGAGGCTGGAATGTCCTGATCCACCAACTTTCTCGTAAGTGAGGTCTCTTGTCACACACAAGGTACCTCACACTTACACACACACACACACCGCACACACGCAAGCTTCCATCTTCCTCCAGTGCAAACAAAGTCATGTGCATTACCCAGAAATGAGTGAGCCAGATGGCTGGAAAAGCACATACAATTTATTTAACTCTGAAAATCAAATCTTCCCTCATGATGTTCCCACCTCAGGGATTAGAAGCAAATTAAAAATCTCTAGGGGCTCAGAAGCCTTCTATAATTTTGAGCTCTGAGCAGTTGTTGGATGACACAATGGAACAGGAGAGGTCTTTCTTGGTGAATTACCCTCTGATCTCATTAAAGAATAAGAATGAGACCATCCTGGCTAACATGATGAAACCCTATCTCTACTAAAAATACAAAAAATTAGCCAGGCATGGTGGCGGGCGCCTGTATTCCCAGTTACTCGGGGGGAGGCTGAGGCAGGAGAATGGCATGAACCCAGGAGGTGGAGCTTGCAGTGAGCTGAGATCATGCCACTGCACTCCAGCCTGGGCGATAATCTAAGGGAAGAGCTGTATCATCACTTAGGTTTAAAAATTAAAGTTTCTCTTGTTTTAAGTTGCCCATCTCCAGTGAATCCACCCAAGGACTTTGAGCCAGCTTTTGGGGCTGCAGCTGGGGTGGACTGGCTTGGAGCAGGCAGACTCCCAAAGGCCAGAACTCAGAATTGCTGGCTTGTCAGTCACTGAGGGTCGGCCAGCTCCTCCCTGCTGCCTGCCACTGGCCAGGTATCCAGAGAAGGGATGGGCCACACCATCCCCTCCCTGGCGCCTGCCATACTGGGGACCAGAAGAGTTCCCAGCCTCTACTTCCTGGCCCTGACACAGGCAGAAAGGGCCTAGGAATATGTTCACTTTATGTTGTGCATTTGTATGGATGCACACATTTCTAAGACTAATTAACTCCAGTGCATGTGAATCAGCTAACACATTATTTTTTTAAAGCCCACGTAAGTGGCTTCACTTAGCTGTAGCTATTCTTTTGGGCTGTTAATTCTAGTAGAACTCTTATTTGTCCTGTGGGTTCTGCAGAATAGAACAGATTTGCTCAACTCCTCAGTGTCTGAGAGCAGCACCTAGGAGTTATCTGGGATCCACCAAAGACACTCCGCGGGGCCTGGCCCTTGTTCAGAATAAACAGAAACCTGCGTCCCTTTGATCTCCTTGACAGGGTAGGTTTGCAGAAGTCAGGCAGGCTGGTAAAAACATCCTTAGTAAGACCAACAGTCTGTCTTTTTTTTTTTTTTTTAATGTAGAAACAGCATCAAGCTGTTTCTCTCTACCGTCTTTGATAGAAATAAAAATAAAAATAAAAAGTTGAATTGCAGAAAAGCTAAGAGGTTTTTAGTTTTTGTTTTTTGTTTTCCTTCCACCAGTCAATTATTGGAAAGGATTTAGTGAGTCTGGTTTATTTTAGCTTCAATCTGGGTTTGTACACAAGCAAAAAGCAAATGTTGAATTTTCAGGTAGACCTTCATGCAGACATGCAAAACCAACTGTCTCGGTGGTGAGGAGCCATGGGGAGCTCTCCGAAGGGCTTTCCAGGCAGTGGGCTAATGGGCAAAATGACTACTCAGTGGCCCTGCTGACCGATGGTACGGATGTGCCAAGGATATCTATCAGCCCATCTGAGAATATGAAACAAAGTGCTGAGATTCTACTACCTAAAGTAACAAAGAAACCGTAAGCAACACGACTGACAGCCAGAAGGGAACACTGGAGTTGTGGCGTGTAATGCTGTCCTGGATTAGCACCCCCAAATCTCGCCAAGCCAAAGGCCTTGCCCATCTGTGAGTTTTCCACATGTACAGAACCAGGCGTGGTTACGCAAAGTCTTTGGACACGGCCTCCACGAAGTTGGGAGCCGACATCAGGATGCCGATGGTGCAGATGATGGTGAAGACCGAGAAGGCCATGAGGCACAGGCGGTCCACCACACAGGCGGCGAACTTCCACTCGCTGCAGACCGCCTCGCTTTCGTCCTGGCAGCGGAAGCGGTTGGCAATGTAGCGGACCTCCTCCAGGATCTTGGCCAAGTCCGGGTCCCCCTCGGGGGGTTGCCCGCCGTGCAGGAGGTGCTCATCGTGCGTGGGGGAGCAGGCCATGCGGCCACACACTACCCCAGAGTCGGGGGTCGGGACACAGTGCACGCCGTCCAGGCCGCGGAAGCCGATGTACAGCAGGTTCCCGTTGCTGGCGGGCGGCGGCGCCACGGCGCTCATCTCCACACTGGCCAGGCTGCAGCGCCGCTGCTTGTGCTGGCAGGCCGGGCGCACCTTGTCCTCCCCGGGCCTCTTCATTCGCAGGAACCACGCGCACCAGTTCAGAAGGATGACTCTGGTCTGGGGAGACAACAGAACGTTAAGAGCAGCCCTGAGGCGGACACGGGCTGATCCCAACAGCAGTAAGATCCTACAATACAAGCCCTGCTTCATTGGTCCTGGGGGTAGCAGCCTCCACTGCCTCCCAGATGATTTTAGCAGGCAAGCAGTGCTTGCGTATGACAAGCAGTCGAGTTCAACGTGAGGCAAGACTAAAACTGATGCACCCTGGGAACAAGCTAAATTGTTCTCCGGGGCAGGCACACTGCAATCTCAGGGAGGACAGCTTCGTGGAAGGGGAAGGCTATCTGAGCTGTGTAAAGAGGGAAAGTCAATTTCCCTCTCTGATCCTTCCTCATCTGTAACCCGGGGACCTTCAGATCTAACTCTGGCTCCCACACTACCTGTTAGGTGCCCTGGAAGGCCACTGCAAATTCGCAAAGAGTGCCTGGGGGAGGTTGTACATTTTCAAATGCAATCCCAGGATATCCATGAGACACCAGGTAAACTTGAAGCTTGAAGCACTTCAGGCTTCCAACATCAGATTACCACATCTCTTGTGATGACGTGACCACTTTGCAAAGCTGTTTTTCAAAGTACCCTGATAAAAAGCAAACACCAAGGAACTTCATGTGAAACAGAAACTAGGTTAGTGGTCTCCAATCTGATCCCAAGATTTGAGAGGCGGTGCCGTGCCCCATAGGTGCTACATTGTTAAGGCATAAATACTTATTAAAGTGTTTTGATCTATTTAAAAAGAGAGCCTTGGGTATTATTTCTTTTGGCCAGGGGCTCTGTGAAAAATTTCCTGAGATACTAACGTGCTGTGAACCAAGGCAGTTTCGGAACCTCTAACCTAACTCAGTAGGCTTCAATGAAGACCGAATAAGATGATGTCTGGGAGAGTACTTTGAAAAGTTGAAGGCAGAAGTTGGCAAACTTTCTGTAAAGGGCCAGGCAACTACTCACTTCTGCTGATGTAGCACACATTGAAGGCGTCAAATGGATGGGCATGTTTTCTAAAATAACTTATTTACAAAAACACTTGGTGGACTGGATTTGGCCACCTAGGCCATAATTTGCTAACTTCTGGTCTAAAGTGTGTCCTAGAGTGCATGAAAGAAGCTGGAGAAAAATCACCATGGAGTTTATCCTGGTTTTGCCTCTCATGGAAAGAAGAGAGACAACTGAAGCCTCAATCCAGGTAAAGAAGCATTCTTGCAAGCCCATCCATGTAAAGTGTATGAAAAGTGGGCCTTTTCCCTGAAATTATCCAGATCCTGATTTCATTTACATTTTGTTTTATGATTTTGGGGAAATTCCATCAGTAACCTAACAGGTTTATTTCCTATCTTTAGGAAATAAATATACAGATAGTAAATTGTGCAGTTCGTATCTGCAGAGCTTTCATTCTTGGTCATCTTTTTATAACATCTTATCAAAGATAACTGCAACAAACAGGTCTGGGGACAAGAACAGGGAAGCACAAGACCAGTTTCATTGCAGCTATAAAAATAACCCTTTGTTTCCCATTGTACTTTACAAGCAGGCGGCACTCTGCGTGTCCTGGAAAGGTTGGGTCTGCTGACCTTGGAGGGTTTTTTATGATCAGTAAGGAGCAGGGACATATGGCCCCAGGTGAAACCTTGGGTGAGTTGGGCCGTCCATACAAGGCTCATGAGACAAGTCATCTCACTTGGGCCTTTCAGGGTCCGGTGAAATGAGTATAATCCCCTCACTTTACAGACCAACAAACTGAGGTTCAAAGAGGCTAATAAACTGGCCCAACGATGTACAATGAGTAAGTAAGTGGTTATGTCACTTCACATGTTTAGCCTTTCCCAGTCTCATCTGTCAAAGGGTCTGTAAGATTCTCTTCAAAACTCGCACAACCCCACCCCTCTGGGAAGGCACCAGAAAGCCTGAGCCAGCTCTCCTGGGAGGCTGCAGGGCAGTGAGTGTGCCTGCATCCAGTGGCAGCAGTGCACACAGGGAGCGAGCAGCACCAGGCACTTCTCCCTCCATGGCAGGGTCTACACGTCCCCCAGTGCACATCTCAAGCTCATACGATACACTCTGCCAAGTCCATTTTGAATTCCATGGCCTGAATCATTAACTTTCAAAGCCAAAGCATTTAAAAGATAAAATTATCCTCTTGGCACTCCTCAAACTGTGCTCTTGACCTCTTCTGTTAGGCTACAGTTTTGTTTCTGGCTGTGCAAATGTCACATAATGCCACTGCACCCGGCAGTATCTTCTTCATAGCAACAGATCATAATAAAAGTCCCTCGGAGGCTGTTTGTGTTTCACATACACATGGAATGAAAGAAAAATGCAGTGTGCTATATAAAGCGAGAGAAATGCATAAGCTTCATCTTTCATTTGCAGCCAATTGGTTTTAATAAGCTTTTATGCTGAGAGGTGAATAATTAGCATATGTTCTTAATTAAGATTGTTCTAGAGCAGTAGAGTGCTCCAGGTCGTTAAAAATGGTTTTGTGTCTCAATGTCTTAATTCTCTTATCTTCTCATCAGTCAAAATACTTACAAGAAATGAGAATGTTTAGATTTTTGTATTTGCATAAATAAATACTAGAAGGAAAAATAAGGAATTCATTAAAACGGTTATCAGTATTGACGGTAGATGCAGGGTAAAGGGGAAGGAATGGGAGCAGGATTTCCTTATGTATAATTTTAATTTTATTTTGACTTTAGAAACAGGTAAATGTATTACCTGCTTCAAACTGATGGATGGACAGACAGAAAGAGCAGCAAACCAACAAGCCTCCAGCTCTCAGGCCTCTCACCTCTGGCCTTGCATTTTCTTAAGTGTGGGTCAGCGTTATAAGGAAATCAGACAAAAATACAGGTGAATGTGTGCAAATGTACCCCAGTGTTTTAAGGGGGGGCCTTCACAAAACAAGCCTCAGGGAATGTAGTGATGTGGTCTGTGTGTGAGACATCACCATGTAGGCTGAGCTCACATTACTGCTTGTGTAATGAGCTACAAGTCAGTCTTTTTTTTTTTTTTTTTTTTTTTTTTTTTTTAGGAGATGGAGTTTTGCTCTGTCACCCAGGCTGGAGGGCAATGACACCACCATAGCTCACTGGAGCCTGGAGCTCCTGGGCTCACATGATCCTCCCACCTCAGCCTCCCAGGTAGCTGGGACTACAGCCACACACCACTGTGGTGGGCTCACAGGTAAGTCTTTACTAAATAGTGTATAAGGGGAATGGGCCATGTGGGTGAAACTCTGAGAAGAAACAGTAATTTTGTAAAGCATTTCTTAAGAAGCAGTCTTTGCTAAGTGAGCATTCAGGTAACAACTCCACAATGACTGTTTCAGGAGGCCCAGCAATCCCCTATTCCTGGAGGGTGCCTGACAGCATCTCACCCCCTACAGCTGCATTTAGCTTGTTGGTGATTCCTAGATTCCCTTCTGAACTGGGACACAAGTGCTCTCCAAAGACAGACAACTTTTGGAATGTGAGGGCCTTTTTAGCTCCCCAAATCCTTAGGCCAGGCTCTCTAGACAGGAGGACGGGGAAGCTTTACAAAGCTCACATGAAGAGGGGAAGAAGCTCAGGCCCTCCCTAGGCCCTCATCAAGGTTTCCTGACTGCCAGGCAAGGGTGGATGCAGAGCTCTGGACACCGTGCAGGAGAGGATCCCTGGGTGGGTGAGCATCCGCAGATGTGGCCGGGCACGGTGCCAGCAGCTGGGGCAGGAGTGGTATGGCCCAGGCTAAGCTGACAGGCTGTGGGATGCCATCCTTTCTGTTTTCATCCGTTTCCTTTTATCCCTTCCCCCTTCTGCACTGGTGACAATTAGTCTTTGTTTCATAGACTTCTGGTTGGATGATATCCCTAGATGTACTGAACGTACATATTTGTACACAGCTCATTCCGTTTCTTACTCTTTGCTCCTCATTCTGTTGTGAAGCCTCAACCATGTTGCTACGCATCTGTCTCATCTGTTGCTTCCAACTGCAGCACAGTGCTTCACGGCATGCATCAAAAAACAAACTAGCTTCTCAAAACACCGTGCTGATTGATAGAACACACAGGGCAGCCAGTTTGAGAGCCTTACTCTACTCTGCAGTTAGATTAGACAGCAGTGCCACGGGGCATCCGGGAACACGTGCACCATGACTGCACACTACACAAAGACACGTCAATAGGTGACGAAATACAGAAACAAAGCTATTTCTGGCTGGGAACAATGGCTCACACCTGTAATCCCAGCACTTTGGGAGGCTGAGGTGGGCAGATCACGAGGTCAGGAGTTCGACATCAGCCTGGCCAACATAGTGAAACCCCATCTCTACTAAAAATACAAAAAAAAATTGGCCAGGTGTGGTGGCAGGCACCTGTAGTCCCAGCTACTTAGGAGGCTGAGGCAGGAGAATTGCTTGAATCCAGGAGGTGGAGGTTGCAGTGAGCCAAGATTACACCACTGCACTCCAGCCTGGGTGACATAGTGAGACTCCGTCTCAAAAAAACAAACAAAAAACCCAAAGCTATTTCTTTAGGAATGCCCATTTTTTGTGTGATTTTAAAAATAAACCCTAGGAGGAGCCTCCTTTACAGGGGGGCTCCGACTCCATCGGGGGTGGGAGGAACGTACCCACTTGGGCATCTTGCCCCCGTCGGGGTCGTGGTGGTGGTACTGCAGCACGATCACTGTCACCACCACCGAGAGGCCCACGATGATCATGGTGCTGGCGAAGTACTGGGCTGTGGAGAGAACAGATGCAGGGTGAGACCCGGGGATCCTGTGGCACTGCACGTCACAGGACAGGCACACCCTGATCAGGTTCTCTGACCGTCAGGGCCTCAGGGTGCAGTGATGCCCATGTGTCCAGGCCTGCAGCCCACATTCTGGGTGGGCAAAACCAGCCAGTGTGGTCTGACTTCCCGCCCACGGAGTGACCTTCCCTCACTTCATTGCACTTCCATGCACTCTGGCCGACTTGTCAGTCAATAAGAGCTAGCATCGCCTGGCAGGATGGTGATAAGCTTGTTCCTGTGGGTAAATACTGGATGTGAGGGCATGGGAACCATCCAGTGTTCATGATGCAGGCCTCTACTGTGCTCCAGGGGCACAATGAGGGCAAACCTGCACACCACCTGGCTGCCAGCTGTCCAGCCTGAGGAAGGGGTCAGTGGCAGGGACTTTTCAGGACGAGAACTTCAGTCTCAGCTTTGGTTCTAATGGGTCATGGGTGTCCTTCCACCTGGGCCCAGGTGAGGGGCAGCATGGAGCATCTGAGTGCTTCCATCCTGGTCCACTAGCTACTGGCTGTGAGTTTGGAGTGGATGCTCAGCCTCTTCGGGCCTCAGCTCTCCAATGGGGGTGGTACAAAGGATGACGTTTGTGTCCCCACGAAGTTCATGGGTTAAAACCCTAGTCCTAACTGGGATGGTATCTGGAGGTGGGGCTTTGGGAGGTATGAGATTGTGATTTATAATAAGAAATATGTATTTAGTCTTCCTCCCATTTCCTGGCACACAGCTCCTAAAACCTTTGAATCTCTGAAGTCATCAGTGTCTTTTTATATGCTAATGAAATGATTTATGGCTGAGGTTCCTGGATACCCTCAGGATGGGGTTTGGTTGCCAGGGGAACCAGCCAAGTAATTAGAGAGTTGGAACCTTCAAGCTCTGTCCCCTCTCCCAACCCTTGACCCCTGGGGAGGAAAGAGGTACTGACGGTTGAGTGGATCGCCAGTGGCCAATGATGTAATCAATCATGCCTATGTAGTGAAGCCTCCATAAAAACCCAAAAGGATGGAGTTCTGTGGAGACCTTCCCAGTGCTGAACACGGGGAGGTGTTTGGAGGGCAGAGAGGGCATGGCAGTTCCATGCCCCTTCCCAAATACCTTGCCCTATGCATTTCTTTCATCTGACTATTCATCTGTGCTTTATAATTAATGAATAAATATCAGTAAAATGTTTCCCTGAGTTTACTAGAGTGAGTCACTCTAGTAAATGGCTGAACTCAAAGATGTGCTTTTGGGAACTCCCCGATTTATAGACACTTGGTCAGAAGCATGGGAAGCCGGAACTTCTAACTGGCATCTCAAGTAGAAATGGTCTTGTGAGCCTTAATCTGTGAGTGCTGTGCTAACTCCAGGTGGTGTCAGGACTGAAGTGAACTCACTGTAGGACGCCCAGCTGGTTTCCAAGAATTGGTCGATGTGGGAGAAACGCCCCGCTTTGGTGTCAGAAGTGTTGTGTAAGTAGAGAAATGGTGAGTGATTTTCTCAGGGGCCTTCAACAGGTCCTGAGGGTGCAGCCCTCATGAATGGGATTAGAGTCCTTCATAAAAAGAGGCTAAAGAGCTAATTCACTCTCTTTTTGCCACGTGAGGCCACAGCGAGAAGAGGGCCAGCTGTAAACCAGGGAGTGGCCCCTCACCAGAGCCCTGCTGCCACCCTTATCGAGGACGTGCAGCCTTGCAGAACTCTGAGAAATAAATGTCTGTTGCTTAGGCCCCCAGACTACAGCAATTTGTTACGGTAGCCTCCATTAAAATAGGAACTTCTTCCTTGCAGGATTTGTGCAATGATGAGCAATTACACAGGCCAAGATGTCTAGGAGAAAGGAGGGGGCATTCTTTAGTGGGCAGCTCTAATTATTAAACCTTTGGTGTGGCTGTCCACTCAAGGGGCTGAACTCTAAGCGGAAAGCATCAGGGTACAGGGCGCTAAGCATTCAGCTAGCCCTCACAGGCCCTCACGCCAGGAAGGAACTCACTGCCTTCCTACAAAGACCAAGAGGTACCTGGGAGGAGCTCTGCCAGAGCTGGAAGTTTGAGACCTAAAGTTAGCATCAGGGCCCCTGAGAAAAGGAAGGAGACTGGAGCAAACCGTGACCCTTATGAGCTGAATTATGCTTCCCCCTAGAATTCATATGTTGAAGCCCCAACCCCTAGTACCCTAGAATGTGACTGTACTTGGAGATAGGGTCTTTAAGGAGGTAATTAAGTACAATTAGGTCATCAGGGTAAGCCCTAATCCAATCTGACTGGTGTTCTTTTAATGAAGAAGAGAAAATTTGGACACACAGAGAGACACCAGGGATGCAGGTGCACAGAGGAACTACCAGGGGAGGACAAAGCATTGTGAAAGTGGTTGTCTGCAAGCCAGGGGGAGAGGTCTCAGGTTAAACCATCCCTAATGGCCCCTTGGTCTTGGACTTTCAGCAGTGCAACTGTGAGAAAATAAATTTCTGTTAGTTATTTAAGCCCCTAAGTCCATAGTATTTTGTCACGGCAGCCTGAGCAGACCAACCACCTCTGGAGAGATGGGGGTCAAAGGATTGCCCAGACTGAATTTCCATCAACAGAGGGCAGCAAAGCTGATGTCCCTGGGGCCATCAACATCCCATCCTTCGAGATGTGGGCTATGCACCAACCAAGCCTTTCCCAGCGGGTCATCAGTCCAGAGAGAGAAGGCCTGACAACTGCCCCCGGAAGGGAGGCTGCAAATCTCTACTGAAAGCAGTGTGCTGGAAGGTAGAAAGAATGGAGTCAGAATCAGGTGGAAAGGTGGTTCTTCCCTGTCTGGATGGTACCAAGAGAAAAATGATACCCACAAAGGCTTTTCATACCAACAGTTTCTCTGGCCAAAATACTGCACATACAGGGAGTTCCACAAAGAAGGGCCTTTGCTGCTTGGTTCCTAAAGCCTGGGGGTATCCAGGTAGGGCTCTCCCTCTAGCCCACCCCCAGGTAGACACAGCATAGGTCCTCAAACAGCAGGGGCCAGCAGGTGTAATGACAGTCTGTATACCTCCTTCCAACCTTCCCTGCCCAGTGGGAGTGGAGACTTGTTTTTGTTGTCCCTCCCTGGGTAGAGGATCATGCCTTATACCTGTGCAAAATATATTTTTCTCATTCATATTTCCCTAGAAACTTTTATACAGAGACATTGAGTTATCTCAGGACACAGTAACTGTGTGCTTCTCCCATTTTAACAAAGGCTTTGTGGGAAAACAACATCTTAAGCTAAAATGATGCATCTCTAACGATGAAATATCTGGCTTCAAAGCAAGCATGAGGAGGAGAATTATGAGGGGAAGGGGGGCATTTCTGTGAGATAAAAGTCAAACCTCAAAGCTGAATATCCCCTTCCCCTTACTTGGGCCTGGGTGACTCTGAATAGTTACAGCAAATCATCACCTTCCAGAGAAAATGGGGGCAGTGCAGCCCTATTTCTTCTAGTTTCATCTGCTGGGAAATCCTGGGCACACTCTAACCCTAACCCCATATCTCTAAGAGAGGAGCCCAACTCTTGCCTTACCTATCAATGGTACCGAATCGGATGTTGCGGGCATGATCTCAGCCACGAGCAGCATGAAGACGGTAAGAGAGAGTAAGACTGTTATCCCTAAAACATAAACACACAGCGGTTCCTCAGACAAAAACAGACAAGAAGGCCTCAATTCTGTCTAACGAGGGCTCCTAACCTGACACTCAAAAGAAAGGGAGGCGCTGGGGGGAATGTCGTGGAATGCACGTTTTCCCTATGTATGGGCGTGTGCATTTTCCAGGGGACATTCCATGCCACTTACCAGAGTCCCAAAGGAGTCTCTTATGGAGACAAGTTTAGGACCCAGAATTTTAAAAGCATCAACACAAACTGAAAAATTTAACTTGGCACAATTATCTCTCATATTCTCTGTAAAATATTATTGAGAAGTAGTTTCACGTAGCAGGAAAAAGAAAATATGCAGTCAGGAGACCTGATTTCAGGTCTTACGTTTGCTACTCAACTAGCTATGTGACCTTAGATACAACATTCAACCTTTCTGAACCTCATACTCAGAAGATATGGGTTTGGGAATGATTTCTACCATATGCTACATCTGATGTTTAGCAACTCTTTAAGACATTGGGAAACTCATTCCACCATTCAAAATCTTGGTTTCCTTAGCTTCGTATGGGAGTGATCGTAAGAATTACACTGGGTACTGTAACATACAAATGCAAGCTGATACTAAGCTAAATTGTTCCCTCGATGACCAGTCGCCATTGAGGAACAGGTGGGGTGGCAGGAGGGAAGAAAGCACAGGCCTCTCAAGGCAGAATGGAGCTGGCCCCCTCCCTGTGCATCCCCCATCCTCTGAGGGTCCTCCAGTATTCTCAGGATTACACAGCCGTCCAGCACGGAGCCCGAATCAGGGACCTCTGGTGTCCTGGAGCCACCGTGGGCTCGGAGGTCCATGGGATGAGCCAGGGAATCCCCAGGAACCCTGATGGAGTCCTGCGCTGTCTGCTGTGAGCCCTCCAGAGCTGATCTCAGCAGAAGGTCTCCAGTCTCAGACTCCCGCCAGACACTGGGGCGCTTACCCAGGGAAATCTTCTCCCCGGAATCTGCAGGAAGCAGGAACACCAGCAGGGCGAGGGCGGAGATGAGCACACAGGGGATCAGCAGGTTGAGGCCATAGTAGAGCGTCCTGCGGCGCATGGTCACTGTGAAGGTGACATCGGGGTAGGGCTCTTTGCAGCACTCATAGAACCTTTCACTCCTCTTGCCGGGGATTCCTCCATAGGGAGGAGGAGAGAAGGAGCCATTGTTAGAATACAATAAATTACCCTGTTTATTTCAATGTGTATACCACACACAAGCACAGTCCTAAAGTTTGCAAAGTGCTAAAAAAAAAAAAGGGGGGGGTTGTAATTAGCTTGAATAAAACCTTGTTGATTTACTATAGAGTTAAGAGTATTTTAGTGATAGTTGGCCAAATTGGTACATATTCTTTTGGTGGATTGGAAACACATGATTATAATAATTATAAATAATACATTACCAATTTTACACTGTTATAAATGTAATCACTGTTTTCCTATTTTAAAATAATCAAATATAGGTTCCCATCAACTGAAATTTGCTGTTCAACTTGCTTTTAGAAATGGAGTGGATCTGCATAACGTAGAGAGATCTATCCTCACACTGGTTTGTTTAAATGCATCCTCACTGCAGTTGCCAGTTCCTCTTGGAAAGCATGGCATATCCTAACTGTTTTCTGTTTCTCCTCCTGTAGCTCTCAGTAAATTATGGAGACTACTGCAAAATTCAATAAATGCTCGCACCGGAAAGGACAGTGGAAAATCCCAAACTTTTAAAGCTTGCCCAGGAATAGGAAAGCTTTCTTCCAGGCGGTTAGTCCCATGGCTTACCCACTAGGTCCCATTCTCCATTGGGGATATAGCCACTGATATCTGCCTCCTGCATCTGCAGATCCAAGGACCAGCCTCCGTAAGACCAGGACCCAAACTTCAGTTTGCAGTGCTGCACATCAAAGGGAAACCAGCGTACATCGATGTAGCAGGAACTCTTGAATATGCCTGTGTGGGTGATGGAAACAGAAGACTGAAACGGAAGCTGACTGAGATGTGCTGAAAATACACAGCAGTTCCTTCAGCCGGTTCCGCCCTCCGCACTGCAGCTAACACAGTCCAGAGCAAATGGAATCTGTCTTTTTATTTATTCGCAAAATCTGTAAAACAGAATCTCAGCTAAGCTTCACTGTCTTTTAAAATCCAAACGTAACACTGACATGCTCTCTCAAAGACTGTTTTGTGGGCTTTTTGTGCAAAAAGTTAGCTCTATAATCTGCATTTACCATGAGCATCTTCAGACTCTAAATAATAAAAGTAAAGAATGCAAAATATCTCAGAGAAGTTGATAACCCTGATGATGAAGTTAGAAATAGAATCTAAAAGGTGTGTGTGTGTGTGTGTGTGTGTGTGTCTGTTTGGTGCGGGGTGAGGTAGGCATTTTCTTTAGGTTAAAAATGGGAAGAACACATGATTATCGAGAAATACAATCTAGAATTCTGGTTAAAGCTAGAATTTTAACTAATTTAAATTCTAGATGAAGAACAGAACAAGCTGGGCACAGTGTCTCATGCCCGTAATCCCAGTGACTCTAAGACATTGACGTGGGAGGGTCACTTGAGACTAGGAGTTTGAGACCGGACTGGGCAACATAGTGAGACATCTCTAATAAAAAAAATTAGCTGGGTGAGGTGATGCATGCCTGTAGTCCCAGCTACTCAGAAGGCTAAGGCAGGAGCATTGCTTGAGCCCAGGAGTTTGAGGCTAAAGTGAAGTGAGCTATGATCGAGCCCCTGCACTCCAGCCTGGGGAACACACCTAGAATCTGTCTGTAAGAAAAAAAGTTAAAACAAACAAACAAACAAACAAACAAACAAAAACAAGAACAGATAGATAGGTTTAAGCTGAAGAGATGGTGCTTGAAGGAAGAGTTTCCGCTGAAAAGAGCTATTCCAGGCTAGGACAGGTTGGAAGTGGATTTCCCAGAGGGCCAAGGGGAGGAAACCAGATAGAGGCCACTCCAGTTATTTACACTCATGTGCTCTTCCCTGCCCAGAGGAAGGCTGCATGGCACAAGAAGACAGGCACAGACTCGGTGTCCAGGTGTTCCTGGGGCAGGGCTGGCACTCTGCAAACTTCTGTTACTGAGTTACAGAAAGAGTGCACGCAGGAAGGGCCTCCACAGCCTTGCACACAAGGACCCCACCCCACAACCGAGTTGGGAAAAGATACACATTTTGTCCCCTGAAGTTCCTTTAAGTATGCTTTGCGTCCTTACATGAAATGTTTATAGGAATCTGGAATCATCACAGACAATCCCCCTCCATTAATAGTTGGATCCCCCCAAAACCCACCTTGTCTGCCAGTTAGTTGGAAAGCTTTGTAACTTCATGAGCCCATTTCTACGAAATAATGGCCCGAGACAGACAGAGAATTTCTAGAGACAGAAAGCAGATCAGTGGTTGCTGGGAGTAGGAATGGGAATTAACTGCAAACAAGCAAAAGGGATCTTTGTGGGGTGATGGGAATGTTCTAAAACTAGACTGTGGTAATGGTTGCATAAGTCTGTAAATATACTAAAAGTTGTTGAATCATGTACTTAAAATGCATGATATGTAAATTCTCTCTCAATAAAGCTGTTAAAAAATAAACACATGAAATGGGGGGGAAAGTCATGTTATGGTCAAGTCTCTATTTCAAAGCTTGAACTCAAAACATTCTTTCCTATCCATGCCCCTCTAACTACAGACAGGGCAGCATCCTGGGACTCGTTCTACACTCCCAGGGAGCAGGCAGGGGTTTCCCAATCCAGGCGGCCCTGGGCCTTTCCTGCCAGCGTAAGGAAGCCCCTCATGGTCACAAGACAACGTGTCCTGTCCTGACCGGAATCCAGGGCCACTGCAGTGGGGACACAGGCCTGGAGCTCCAGAGGGGGCTGCTGCACTCAGGCAGCTCGAGGCTTGCAGTGCTGGTCCTGCAGCTGAAAATAGCCTCAGCCTTCCAAACAACCTGCAGCAGCATATTCTACACTGGTGACTACCGGAGGCTGTTTTCTAAAATAGCCCTCATAACAGAAGCTGCAACACGCAGGCCTGGCGAGAAAGACCTCGGGAGTGATGGAAGGCTCCCCCCACTACCCCTGTTTGCAAGGGTCCTGCTGGTAGGAGGAAATGCCAGGGCTAGCAGGAAAGCGGATGCTTCGAGAAGCCTGAACAGCTGGACTTCTTCAATCTCTTCCAATATTATTGGGAGGTGTCTACCATTGACAGGTTCACTCGCTCCTTTGTTCATTCAGGGATAAATGCTAAGGTGAGCAAAGGCTGACTGTGCCCCCAGATGCTTGTCACCTGCTGACAGGGAAGGCACTCAGACAGCAACCGAGAAGGCACAGCCAGTATGTGTGGTATGTGAGTGGTGTGAATAGTGTATCTGGTTTGAGAGTGCATGCCTGCATGTGTGTAAGTGGTGTGTGTGAGGGTTGTGAGTCGTGTGTGAGTGGTGTGTATGGTGTGTGAGAGTGGTGTGTAAGTGGTGTGTGTGAGGGGTGTGTGTGTGTCTGGTGTGTGTGTGTTGGTGGTTTGAGTGGTTTGTGTGAGTGGTATGTGTGGAGTGGTGAGTGGTGTGTGGGTGGTATATTTGTGTGAGTGGTGTGTGAGTGTTGAGTCGTGTGGGTGGTATGTGAGTGGTTGTGTGAGTGGTGTGTGAGTGTTGAGTCGTGTGGGTGGTATGTGAGTGATGTGTGTGAGTGGTGTGTGTGAGGGGTGAGTGGTGTGTGGTATGTGTGAGTGGCTGTGTGTGAGTGGTTGTGAGTGGTGTGTGTGTGAGTCGTATGTGTGAGTGGTAGTTAGGTGTGGAGGTAATTGCAGGTTGCCTCTGAGCAGAAAGTTAAACAGCTGCAGTGTGGGAGATCACCCTGGAATAAACACATTAAAAATCTTCTAAAAGATCAAAAACCCCAGCTGTTCCTATCAATATGCTAGTGCGCACTCTGCATGCACCTTTAGGCCATAAACCCATTTCCCTTGCCCTGTGAATCGACTGAAAAGATGGACTGGTGGGAAAGAACCAATCCAGGGAGCACTTAGCCTTGGAGGTGAGACACTGTTGGGAAGAAGTCAGCCGCTAGAGAGCTCTCCCTTGAAACCACCAGACCTTGCCTGTAACCTGCGTGTGCTCTTTAGCGCACGCACTCAGGATCCTGGAACTGTCATATCTCACCCCCGGCAGCTGGAGCGCTGCACCTGCCAAGACACTGAGTCCCGCAGGGAGGAGGATGGCAAGCTGGAACTGAGAAGCAGAGCCTGGAGAGGTGGCTTGCCAGGCTGGAAGGTGAGGTGGCCACTGCCCGGCAAAGGAGACTCGCTGTATTTGTACATTGGCTTTAAGGCACACATGGCAGAAAATAAGGACATAGTGGCAAAGACGGCTTGATTGAGACAAAAGAGGAGGATGGACTTCTGGGGGTAGAAAGCACACAGAAGCACAGAAGAGAAGAGAGAGGAAGAGGTGGGAGTGAGCAAAGGCGAAGCAAAGAGCTGGTCCACCACACGGGGGCACCGGCCAGACTGACTGACACCCAAACTCGCTTCAGTTTTCTAACTGGAAGAGGACAAAGGAGGTGCAGCTTACCTGGAGGCAGGTACTGGCAATGCCCAGAAGAATTCACCAACACGTTAGTGTGGAATGTGGCGTCAAAGCGCTCATCAGCACTAGAAACAGGAAAAGGACTGCATGAGCCAGTGCCACCAGGCTGTGGATTTCCCGAAGCCCTGGGGTCTGTCTTTGATGGAGCAGCAAAGACCTTGAGAGGGGCCCCTGTCTGTCCTCACAACCCCACACGCTGCCTGAGAGCACCACTGGGACTGGCCTGGGAGGTCTTCCCCGGGCACAGCTTGGAAGGGCCAGTGTCTACCCCCATTTCAATTTTCACACCGAACTGGTGATTTTTCTCACAATGTATATAAAACCAAGCTCTTAACCAAATGAAACCTGTAAACAACTCTGGAGGACATCGGCAGATGTGACATTTTCATGGTGTCTAGAAGAACAGAGGGTGGGTGAGGCACGCTGCCACCCTGTGAGCCTCATGGGGCAGGGTTTTCACTCGCTGTGTCCAAAGCTCTAGTTCCAGCCTCTTGAAGCGGACCCACACTTGGTTTGTGCTTCACATATATATCTTTTTTTTTTTTTTTTTGAGACAGAGTCTTGCTGTGTTGCCCAGGCTAGAGTGCAGTGGCATGATCTCGGCTCACTGCAAGCTCCACCTCCTGGGTTCATGTCATCCTCCTGCCTCAGCTTCCCGAGTAGCTGGGACTACAGGTGCACACCACCACACCTGGTTAATTTTTTTGTATTTTTAGTAGAGACGGGGGTTTCACTATGTTAGCCGGGATGGTCTCGATCTCCTGACCTTGTGATCCACCCGCCTCAGCCTCCCAAAGTGCTGGGATTATAGGCGTGAGCCACCGTGCCCGGCCCACATATATATCTTGAATGACTGAACTGCAGGTGCAGGAGGGAGCTGGACACCACAACCCCAGAGGGCTTCCAGCTCCACAGTTAGCGATGAAAAGAAGGAGAGTGAGGGAAGACAACAGAAGTAAGTGCGAGTTTTAGACGGATGCACCACTGCCCCTCTCCGTCCCCTGTTCCAGCCTCCTGCAGCCAGGAGTTAACAACTGGGATAAAGGACACACACCCACACACACACAGCCCCAACAGCAATTACACCAACAGCCTGTACTAGCCTTGTCTTTTATTTTCTGGATTCTGATGTGTTGACATCTGGGGCTTTGCTGACTCTGGAGGCCCCTTGGAGAGATAGTAAACAACTCTGGCCTTTCAAACACAAATCAATCAATCCAGAACCCATACCCCCACCCAAACACATCCTTTATCAGGCTGTCACACTGGGGTTGACACCAGTCCTGCTCTCATCACTGCAGGACCAGGTAAAAGTCAACCAGGAAGAGTCCCTATGCCCCAGGGCCTACTGCAATTATTCTAAGGAGCTAATCCTAAACCTAAGCCTGCGTGCCCTGCTCCTCCCTTCCTTCCTGCAGAAGCCACAATGAAGGACGGCCCTTGCTCAGGTTTCCCGCACTCTCTCGGCCTCCCGCGTGGCCCTGGTGCCTCCCTGTGTCCCTGCATGTGCTACGCTTCCCTTTTTTTTTGAAATGGAGTCTAGCTCTGTTGCCCAGGCTGGAGTGCAGGGGCACGATCTCGGCTCACTGCAACCTCTGCCTCCTGGATTCAAGCAATTCTCCTGCCTCAGCCTCCTGAGTAGCTGGGATTACAGGTGCGTGCCACCACTCCCGGCTAATTGTTATATTTTTAGTAGAGATGGGGTTTCACCATGTTGGTTAGGCTGGTCTTGAACTCCTGGCCTCGTGATCCACCCCCACTTAGCCTCTCAAAGTGCTAGGATTACAGGCTGAGCCACCGCGCCTAGCCTGTCCTTCTGCTTCTAAGAACAGTGAGTAAAACTGCTTTCCTTCAGGACAGTCACTTCTGTGTCTAAGTGTCTCACCATGCCTGATTAAAACCAACCCTGGGTACCCTTAAAACACAGCCCTACTGGTAAAGAAAAATAAACCACCTCAAAAAAACACAGGCAGCCAGTCAAAGTACCAGCACCCCAGAGTAAAGCTCCCCTCATTTTGGCCACTATGGCCCCTGCAGGAGCTGCCCATGACTACAGAGCCTCAGGCAGCCTCTCCCATGTCTGAGATTTCTCAAGGGGAAACTTAGAATCACAGATACCGGAGGACAGTCTTCAGCATGCGACACACAGTGGAGGATACACACCAAAAAAGATCCAAAAAGAATGAGTCAATGAAAAGAAGGAAAAATCACTTCTTAAAAAAGTAATGTCCTCACAACATTCAAGAGGATATAGCAATTAGAAAAAAGAGAGAAAAATGGAAATTAAAGGTATGATTTATGAAATAACTTTTTATGAGTAGGTGGGAGGTTTGGCTGATAGAAATCACAGAGATCAAACGTAACACAGAAAGAAGACAGCGTAGAGGACAAGGCTGGGGGAACTCGCCTCACTCACAGAAGCTCCATCAGGGAGAGTGGGAGGGAAAAAATTAAGAAATAACACGAAGACACTTCTCACAGCAGAAAAACCACCCAAGCATGAAGGCAAAAAAAAAGGGGTTTTCAAGAACATTAAAGCCTTGAAGAGCTTGTTCCCAACATATATTTCCTTGGTCAGCTTTGGAACAATGAGAGTGAAACCTGAGAAAGAATACACTTTTAGATTAAACCTGGAGATCGATAAAAGAGATTTAGAGGATGACTTGAGCAGGAGGCCTAGAAAAAGGTGGGTCCAAATCCCAGCAAGATGTTAAAGTACTGAGGACAGAACCAAATGGGTTCAGAGCAAGAAAGAGGAGATATAATGAGCTGAAAAACATCATGGACTTGATTAAGGACACAGTTTTAAACATTCTTATAATAAGAAAAGGCAACCAGAAACTCTAGGAAAAAAGTAGTAATTGTATGAGAAAGCCGTGATTTGAATATGAAACAAGCAAAAACGTGATGAAGTTTAAGGGAAGGAAGAAAGGGGGATAAGGGGGAAAAAGGGGGAGACTGAGAGAAAGGAGAGAGGGAGAGAAGGCGAGAGCCAAGTTGTCATGAAAGGACACATCCCCCCCCCTTACTTCCAAAAACACATAGGGAAAGAGAGAGGAGGAGGTAGGATCAAGATGTAAATATTCTTTGCTTGACCGTAGTCTGTATCTGACTGTTAATGAGTCACATTATAAATGGTGATTGGGCACAAAATAGCTGAAAATGTGGACCTGCACAAGCTCACTCTGGATAGTATCATGATCTTCAAGCTAGGTTCTCTGGAGCCCTGAGACCCTATGGAGGCGCCTCAAGGTTTCTGGAAATATTTACCTCCAATATTTTAGTTCCTTTGAATTTGAAAATGGTAATAAAAGTCACACACTCAAATGACTATTAACAAAATTTTAACTCTTAGAGACTACCGTTGTGTTAATTTATGTGTCCTGTTTAACTCCTTTTTGCATGGAAGTTAAACTAAAGCCTCTCTGGCCATGAATTTGCACGCATTTGAATCTCTTATAAAGGAGTCACCAAATGAGATTTCAGCTTTGCATTGCTTTTAAAAAATTAAAGTCTGTCCCTCCAATTACATGGCATCTAACCCGCACCAGACGTGGGATGCGTTCCCCCATCAATCACCCTCAGTAGCAGCAACATAGAAAGCATGGTCTATAGTCTGGGCACAGTGGCCCACACCTATAATATTAGCACTTTGGGAGGCCCAGAGGGGAGGATCATTTGAAGCCAGAAGTTTGAGACCAGACTGGGCAACAAAGCAAGACCCCATCTCTACAAAAACAAAACACTGACAAAATTAATCAGTGCAGTGACATAAGCTTATGTTTCCAGCTACTCAGGAGGCTGAGGCAGGAGGATTAGTTGAGCCCAGGAGTTTGAGGCTGCAGTGAGCTATGTTTGCACCACTGTCCTCCAGCCTAGGAGACAGAGCGAGACCCTGTCTCTAATAAAATAAAATAAAAACATAAATATTTTTGAAATAAAAATAAATTAAAAATTAAGAATAGTGTGGTTTGATGCATGTTATGGGGAACAAAGTTTTGCTTATTTTAAGCTTGGGTTTCTTCCTGTCTGATTTTCATATTTATAATCAAGACTGAGCATCTGTTAGATCAGTGATTCAACTCTGAAAAAAAAAAAGTTCCTACAAGCCTTTCTTTCAAGCATTTGGATCAATTTAATTGAAGAGACTCTTGAGATCACAAGGCAAACAGGTAAAAACAAGATAAAAAAACTGTTGCTATTAGCAACAGCTTACCTGTGACTCAGTGATTTGTGACTCAGTGATTTCTGAATGTTTTTCATCCAAACAGAATATTGAGCTACATGAAATTGTAACACATAAATGTTATCAAAATCCAAATCTTAATACCCATGATGGTAGTTTTACGCTTCTTTCCCATAGGCAAATTGATTTTATAAGTACATAGTATAAAAGTAAACTCTTGTAATGGATTTGTGCTAATACTACTTTATCTGTTTTGAGCATTAGGGGTGGAGATAAGATGAGTTTGAAGAAAGGCCCTGTTGCTGAAAACTGAGTTTGAAAACAGTGATCTGAGGTGGGAAATGAAGAACCTCGGAAATGTGAGTGGCCAGAACCCCTATGAGGACCTCAGTGGCCACAGCACCGGCGCAGCTTCCCCGGGGATGCCCGACAGATGCCAGCCAACAGTGACCCCCTCACCAGTGCTGGGCAGCCCTGTGCTGGCAAACACCCATAACCGTGGAAACAGGGGTAGGGCTGCAGGGATTCATTCTCCTCCTCACTCCTCTTCTGTGTGTAAACTGTTCTGTATTAAATAGTCTGAAAATGGCCAAATATATTCTTTATTTTGACTACTGGAAGACACAGTACATCCACAGTTTGTGAAGATGCCGGCCTGTGGCCTCTCCGTCCTTGCAGGAGCTGCCTTTATCTGGCTGCCTTTGTCCTCCCCCAGCCAGCAATGACTGGGGCCCACTCTTGGTGTGAGGAGAGCTCTGAGCCCTACCCTCACCACGGAGGGGGTGACTGGGGCAAATGTAACTCAAACATGTAGGACGCAAGCTACGTGTCCTTAGCGGGGGTAGGAGGAGGAGAGGTGTCTGCATAGGCTTTAAAGGATAGCCAGAGCTCCCAAAGACGGAAACGGATGTGGACAGGCCCCTGGCGGAGGGCATGGTGGGATCACACACTTGGAGATAAGCCAGAACGAAGGAGGCTCCAGGAAGGTCTGGCTTGCCTGGATCATGGTGTTTGCTTACACCATGTTGCCCTAAGCAGTGAGGCTGAAAGAGGGCTTGGGAGCAAACCACTGCTTGGCCCCCCAGGCAGGATTCAGAAGCCCAATCCTTATGGGATTACAAGCTGTGCTTTCAGACGTCAATGGCAGTATAGGCAGGGGGAGCCCATGGGGCACAGGTGGACCCTGTGGGTGGGTCTGAGATCACACCTTTCCTTCCTCCACATCCCCTAGGATCCTCACACAATGGTGCCTGGTCTCATTCCTGCAGAGCTGCTGGCCCTGGAACAAGAGCCCTCTGATCCTAGGCTCAGCCTTGCCTCCTGCCTCAGTCAGCTCTGTAGCATTGACCTCTACGGCTGAGCACGGGAGGCCTCAACACTGAGCCAGAAAAGAAGAGAGTGATTGTGCCTCCACAGAGAAAGCATCATCTGACCCAGAAGCCCGGCTCTTATAACCTTGAGAGAAAAAGCCAGGGGTCCAGCCATCAAAGAAGTCCAGCAAGACCAACTCCCAATAGGGCACGTGTTCACCAGAATGAGCCTCTGCATTCAGGTAAAGATGAATAATAATAAAATAACAATAAGAAGAAGAAATCCAGGCACTCTGTCCTGCTGCAAAGAAAATGCTTCGCATGGGTTCAGGATGACCCTAAATAGTAAGGTCTCATGTGAAATCAATCCCATTCCCTCTGAGCTCTCAGCAACCTTGAAAGACTGAGAGAGAGAAGGGCAAGAGAGATGAAGATGAAATCTATCCAAAAAGGAAGGGAGGAGGAAGGATGATGCTCATCTATCTGATCTAAGGTGTCATTTACTTTAAATCTCTGAAGAAAGGGGAAAAAAAGCTGCCAATTCCCCAATTCCATGTGAAGACACCACTGACGGAAGCAATGCCCAGATTGCAGAGGGAAAGCAAGGCTGTTGAGAATGGGTAAATTTTCTGAACAGAAGACAGAGGGAGAGACACACCCTGTCATAAATCTTTTTAGTTCTATATTTTATTCTAAAATGTTGAGGGTCTGCAATCAGCAATGTGGCTTGTCATAGTCCATGACCAAAAAAGTCTTGAGTAGAATCAAACTTTTATGGTCATTTCTACCTGCCAGAGATTCCAGGAAGCAGAATTCTGAGGTACCAGGAGGAGGCTTCCAGAAAAATGCATTCAAGAATATTTCCTTTTTTTAAAAAAAGAAAATATTTACTTATTTATATTATTTGTTTATTTATTTATTTTGAGACAGGGTCATGCTTTGTCACCCAGGCTGGAGTGCAGTGGTGCGATCGTGGCTCACTGGAGCCTCAAACTCTTGGGCTCAAGCCATCCGCCTTCCTCAGCCTCCTGGCAGCTAGGACTGCAGGCACGTGCTATCTGTTCATATTTTGATTTTTATTTTAGATTCAGGACATACATGTGCATGTTTGTCACATGGGTATATCGCATGCGATGCAGAAGTTTAGGGTATAATTGATTCCATCACCCAGGCAGTGAGCAGAGTATCCAGTAGTTTTTCAATCCTGGCCCCCTTCTCCTTTCCCCCTACAGTAGTCTCCAGTGTCTGTTGTTGCCATCTTTATGTCCATGAGTACCCAGTGTTTAGCTCCCACTCAGAAATCTTTTCTTTAGCCACTAGTTGGCATATTAAATTGAATGTAACATGGGATATTATAACAACTGGATATGGCATAGGACGGATTACAGCAAAGCTATAAGTAACATGGGAGAAGATTAACACAGCAGATATCCAGTTTCTGGACTCCCTATTTTTGTTCCTTGTGTTACATGTCTATCCCTGACCCAGCAAAACATCATCTTAATCCTTACAGCATTATGAAAGTGTTGCATTTGGCACAGAAAGTCCCCCAACTTGGTTCTTTTTCTTTAAAATTGTCTTGTTTTACTATTCTTGCTCATTACTGATCCTTTGCTCATCATTGTAAATTTTAAATTTACTTGTACAGTCTCATGAAGTCCCTGTTAAGACTTTAGTTGGAATCACATTAAATTTAGTTGGAATCACATTAATCACACTCAATTTATTTTGGAAAAATTTGGCATCTGGTATTGAGTTTTCCCAGGCATAAACGTGATACAACTCAACATTTATGTTGTTCTTTCTTAAATTTATTTTTTGGTACTCAACACCTGCAGATATTGAAAATAAAATTTGTGAAATTACATTTTCTAACTGTCTGTTGTAAGAATATAGAAACACATTTGATACTTCGATAGATCTTGTTTTGTATCAGATATATTTTTTCTAGACAGTCTCTAGGGATTTTCTATGTAAAAAACAGATATGGCCTATAAAGATGATAACAGGTTTATTCCTTATTCATAAACATTTTATTATTTTACTTGTATTACTACTGAAATTCATATAGTCACTAAGATATTTTTAAAAAGTGATGACACTGATATTCTTATTTTATTCTACGTTTAGAAACTTCTAATGTTTCAGCATTAAGTGAGACCCCTATGTCAGGTTAGGTGAAACTTCTTCCAATTACAAATGGGTTTTAAATAACATCAACTGATTTTTCTCCAGCTACCAGAATGATCATTTATTTTTTTCTGCCTCAATCTTTTAATAGAATGAATTATATTAATGGACTTTTTTGAAAGTTAAACAAACTGTGCATTCCTAATAGAAGCCTAAACTTGTTAGGATTTATTTTTAACTTATTGCTAGACTTTGTTATGCTGATATTTTAGTTAAGACTTATACATAGGAGTTGCTTCCAAGATGGCCGAATAAGAACAGCTCTGGTCTGCAGCTCCAAACGAGATCAACGCAGAAGATGGGTGATTTCTCCAACTGAGGTACCTGGTTCATCTCATTGGGACTGGTTGGACAGTGGGTGCAACCCACGGAGGGCAAGCCAAAGCAGGGTGGGGCGTCGCCTCACCCAGGAAGTGCAAGGGGTTGGGGGATTTCCCTTTCCTAGCCAAGGGAAGCTGTGACAGACTGTACCTGGAAAAACAGTACACTCCCGCCCAAATACTGCACTTTTCAACGGTCTTAGCGATCAGCAGACCAGGAGATTCCCTCCTGTGCCTGGCCCAGTGGGACCCACACCCACGGAGCCTTGCTCACTGCTAGCACAGCAGTCTGTGATCGATCTGTGAGGCTACAGCCTGGTGGTGGGGAGGGGTGTCCGCCACTGCTGAGGCTTGAGTAGGTAAACAAAGCGGCCAGGAAGCTCGAACTGAGTGGAGCCCACCACAGCTCAGCAAGGCCTACTGCCTCTATAGACTCCACTTCTGTGGGCAGGGCATAGCTGAACAAAAGGCAGCAGACAACTTCTGCAGACTTAAACATCTCTGTCTGACACCTCTGAAGAGAGCACTGGTTCTCCCAGCACGGCGTTCAAGCTCTGAGAATGGATAGACTGCCTCCTCAAGTGGGTCCCTGACCCCCGTGTAGCCTGACTGGGAGACATCTCCCAGTAGGGGCCAACAGACACCTCATACAGGTGGGTGCTCCTCTGGGACAAAGCTTCAAGAAGAAGGATCAGGCAGCAATGTTTGCTGTTCTGCAGCCTCTGCTGGTGATACTCAGGCAAACAGGGTCTGGAGTGGACCTCCAGCAAACTCCAACAGACCTGCAGCTGAGGGGCCTTACTGTTAAAAGGAAAACTAACAAACAGAAAGGAATAGCATCAACATCAACAAAAGGGACATCCACACCAAAACCCCATCTGTAGGTCACCAACATCAAAGACCAAAGGTAGATAAAACCACAAAGATGAGGAGAAGAGCAGAAAAACTGAAAATTCCAAAAACCAGAGCACCCCTTCTTCTCCAAAGGATCGCAGCTCCTTGCCAGCAATGGAACAAAACTGGATGGAGAATGACTTTGACGAGTTGACAGAAGTAGGTTTCAGAAGGTCGGCAATAAGAAACTTCTCCAAGCTAAAGGAGCATGTTCGAACCCATTGCAAGGAAGCTAAGAACCTTGAAAAAAGGTTAGATGAATGGCTAACTAGAATGAATAGTATAGAGAAGACCTGAAATGACCTGATGGAGCTGAAAACCACAGCATGAGAACTTCATGACACATGCACAAGCTTCAATAGCCGATTCGATCAAGTGGAAGAAAGGATATCAGTGTTTGAAGATCAAATTAATGAAATGAAGTGAGAAGACAAGATTAGAGAAAAAACAGTAAAACGAAACAAACAAAGCCTCCAAGAAATATGGGACTATGTGACAAGACCAAATCTATGTTTGATTGGTGTACCTGAAAGTGATGAGCAGAATGGAACCAAGTTGGAAAACACCCTTCAGGATATTATCCAGGAGAACTTCCCCAACCTAGCAAGGCAGGCCAACATTCAAATTCAGGAAATACAGAGAACACCACAAAGCTACTCTTCAAAAAGAGCAACCCCAAGACACATAATTTTCAGATTCACCAAGGTTGAAATGAAGGGAAAAAATGTTAACAGCAGCCAGAGGGAAAAGTCGGGTTACCCACAAAGGGAAGCCCATCAGACTAACAGTGGATCTCTCGGCAGAAACCCTACAAGCCAGAAGAGAGTGGGGGCCAATATTCAACATTCTTAAAGAATTTTCAACCCAGAATTTCATATCCAGCCAAACCAAGCTTCATAAGTGAAGGAGAAATAAAATCCTTTACAGACAAGCAAATGCTGAGAGATTTTGTCACCACCAGGCCTGCCTTACAAGAGCTCCTGAAGGAAGCACTTAACATGGAAAGGAACAACTGGTACCAGCCTCTGCAAAAACACGCCAAATGGTAAAGACCATCGATGCTATGAAGAAACCACATCAATTAACAGGCAAAATAATCAGCTAGCATCATAATGACAGGATCAAGTTCACACATAACAATATTAACCTTAAATGCAAATGGGCTAAATGCCCCAATTAAAAGACACAGACTAGAATATTGGATAAAGAGTCAAGACCCATCAGTGTGCTGTATTCAGGAGACCCATCTCACATGCAGAGACACACATAGGCTCAAAATGAAGGGATGGAGGAAGATCTACCAAGCAAATGGAATGCAAAAAAAAAGCAGGGGTTGCAATCCTAGTCTCTGATAAAACAGACTTTCAACCAACAAAGATAAAAAGAGACAAAGAAGGCCATTATATAATGGTAAAGGGATTAATTCAACAAGAAGAGCTAACTATCCTAAATATATATGCACCTAATACAGGAGCACCAAGATTCATAAAGCAAGTCCTTAGAGACCTACAAAGAGACTTAGACTCCCACAAAATAATAATGGGAGACTTTAACAGCCCACTGTCAATATTAGATCAACGAGACAGAAGGTTAACAAGAATACCCAGGATTTGAACTTAGCTCTGCCCCAAGTGAACCTAATAGATATCTACAGAACTCTCCACCCCAAATCAACAGGATATGCATTCTTCTCAGCACCACATTGCACTTATTCTAAAATTGACCAAATAATTGGAAGTAAAACACTCCTCGGCAAATGTAAAAGAACAGAAATCACAAGAAACTGTCTCTCAGACCACAGTGCAATCAAATTAGAACTCAAGATTAAGAAACTCACTCAAAACTGCACAACTACATGGAAACTGAACAACGGGCTCCTGAATGACTACTGGGTAAATAACGAAATGAAGGCAGAAATAAAGATATTCTTTGAAACCAATGAGAACAAAGACACACAACGTACCAGAATCTCTGGGACACATTCAAAGTAGTGTGTAGAGGGAAATTTATAGCACTAAATGCCCACAAGAGAAAGCAAGAAAGATCTAAAATTGACATCCTAACATCGCAATGAAAAGAACTAGAGAAGCAAAAGCAAATAAATTCAAAAGCTAGCTGAAGGAAAGAAATAATTAAGATCAGAGCAGAACTGAAGGAGATAGAGACACAAAAAAACCTTCAAAAAATCAATGAATCCAGGAACGGGTTTTTTGAAAAGATCAACAAAATAGACAGACCGCTAGCAAGACTAATAAAGAAGAAAACAGAGAAAAATCAAATAGACGCAATAAAAAATGATAAAGGGGATATCACCACCGATCTCACAGAAATACAAAATACTGTCAGAGAATACTATAAACACCTCTATACAAATAAACTAGAAAATCTAGAAGAAATGGATAAATTCCTGGACTCATGCACCCTCCCAAGACTAAACTAGGAAGAAGTTGAATCTCTGAATAGACTAACAACAGGTTCTGAAATTGAGGCAATAATTAATAGCCTACCAACCCAAAAAAGTCCAGGACCAGACAAATTCACAGCCGAATTCTGCCAGAGGTACAGAGGAGCCGGTACCATTTCTTCGGAAACTATTCCAATCAATAGAAAAAGAGGGAATCCTCCCTAACTCATTTTATTAGGCCAGCATCATCCTGATACCAAAGCTGGGCAGAGACACAACCAAAAAAGAGAATTTTAGACCAATATCCCTGAGGAGCATTGATGCAAAAATCCTCAATAAAATACTGGCAAACAGAATCCAACAGCACATCAAAAAGCTTATCCATCATGATCAAGTTGGCTTCATCCCTGGGATGCAAGGCTGGTTCAATATATGCAAATCAATACATGTAATCCATCACATAAACAGAACCAATGACAAAAACCACATGATTATCTCAATAGATGCAGAAAAGGCCTTCGACAAAATTCAACAGCCCTTCATGCTAAAAACTCTCAATAAACTAGGTATTGATGGAACGTATCTCAAAATAATAAGAGCTATTTATGGCAAACCCCCAGCCAATATCATACTGAATAGTCCAAAACTGGAATCATTCCCTTTGAAAACTGGCACAAGACAAGGATGCCCTCTTCACCACTCCTATTCAACATAGTGTTGGAAGTTCTGGCCAAGGCAATCAGGCAAGAGAAAGAAATAAAGGGTATTCAAATAGGAAAAGAGGAAGTCAAATTGTCCCTGTTTGCAGACGACATGATTGTATATTTAGAAAACCCCATTGTCTCAGCCAAAAATCTCAAGCTGATTAAGCAACTTCAGCAAAGTCTCAGGATACAAAATCAATGTGCAAAAATCACAAGCATTCCTATACACCAATAACAGACAAACAGAGAACCAAATCATGAATGAACTCCCATTCACAATTGCTACAAAGAGAATAAAATACCTAGGAATCCAATTTACAAGGGATGTGAAGGACCTCTTCAAGGAGAACTACAAACCACTGCTCAATGAAATAAAAGAGGACACAAACAAATGGAAGAGCATTCCATGCTCATGGATAGGAAGAATCAATATCGTGAAAATGGCCATACTGCTCAAGGTAATTTACAGATTCAATGCCATCCCCATCAAGCTACCAATGACTTTCTTCACAGAATTGGAAAAAACTACTTTAAAGTTCATATGGAAACAAAAAAGAGCCCACATAGCCAAGACAATCCTAAGCAAAAACAACAAAGCTGGAGGCATCACATTACCTGACTTCAAACTACACTACAAGGCTACAGTAACCAAAACAGCATGGTACTGGTACCAAAACAGAGATATAGACCAATGGAAGAGAACAGAGGCCTCAGAAATAACACCACACATCTACAACCATCTGATCTTTGACAAACCTGACAAAAACAAGAAATGGGGAAAGGATTTCCTGTTTAATAAATAGTACTGGGAAAACTGGCTAGCCATATGTATAAAGCTGAAACTGGATCCCTTCCTTACACCTTATACAAAAATTAACTCAAGATGGATTAAAGACTTAAACCTAAGACATAAAACCATAAAAACCCTAGAAGAAAACCTAGGCAATACCATTCAGGACATAGGCATGGGCAAAGACTTCATGACTAAAACACCAAAAGCAATGGCAACAAAAGCCAAAATATACAAATAGGATTTAATTAAACTAAAGAGCTTCTGCACAGCAAAAGAAACCATCATCAGAGTGAACAGGCAACCTAGAGAATGGGAGAAAATTTTTGCAATCTACCCATCTGACAAAGGGCTAATATCCAGAATCTACAAATAACTTAAACAAATTTACAAGAAAAAAACAACCCCATCAAAAAGTGGGCAAAGGATATGAAGAGACACTTCTCAAAAGAAGACATTTATGCAGACAACAGACACATGAAAAAATGCTCATCATCACTGGCCATCAGAGAAATGCAAATCCAAACCACAATGAGATACCATCTCTCTCACACCAGTTAGAATGGCAATCATTAAAAAGTCAGGAAACAACAGATGCTAGAGAGGATGTGGAGAAATAGGAATGCTTTTACACTGCTGGTGGGAGTGTAAACTAGTTCAACCATTGTGGAAGACAGTGGAAGATTTCTCAAGGATCTAGAACTAGAAATACCATTTGACCCAGCAATCCCATTACTGGGTATATACCCAAAGGATTATACATCATGCTACTATAAAGACATATGCACACGTATATTTATTGCGGCACTATTCACAATAGCAAAGACTTGGAACCAACCCAAATGTCCATCAATGACAGATTGGATTAAGAAAATGTGGCACACATACACCATGAGTACTATGCAGCCATAAAAAAGGATGAGTTCATGTCCTTTGCAGGCACATGGATGAAGCTGGAAACCATCATTCTCAGCAAACTATCACAAGGACAGAAAACCAAACACCACATGTTCTCATTCATAGACGGGAACTGAACAATGAGAACACATGGACACAGGGCAGGGAACATCACACACCGGGGCCTCTCGGGGGGTGGGGGGCTGGGGGTGGGATAGCATTAGGAGAAATATCTAATGTAAATGACCAGTTAATGGATGCAGCAAGCCAACATGGCACATGTACACCTAATGTAACAAACCTGCACATTGTGCACAGGTACCCTATAACTTAAAGTATAATAATAAAAAAGGCTTATACATTTATGTTCATAATGATATTTTATGCTGGGTGGAACTTGCCTGTAAACCTACCTTTTTGAATTTCTTTTTTAAAAATATACTGATCAAAAGAATGAAAAGATGACCTCCAGATTGGGAGAAAATATTTGCAAAAGACACATCTAATAATGAACTGTAATCCAAAATATACAAAGAACTCTTAAAACTCAGCAATAAGAAAACAAACAATCCAATTAAAATAATGGGCCAAAGACCTTAACAGACACCTGAGCAAAGACAATATAGAGATGGCAAAGAAGCACATAGAAATATGTTCCACATTGTCATATTTAATACAAATTAAAAAAAAAAAAACTGAGACACCACTACGCATCTATTAGAATGACCAAAATCCAGAACACTGACAACACCAAATGCTGGCAAGGATGCAGAGCAACAGGAACTCTCATACACTGCTGGTGGGCATGAGAAATGGTGCAGTCACTTTGGAAGGCAGTTTGGCAGTTTCCTACAAAACGAAGCATACTCTTTCCATGTGATCCAACAATTGCCTTCCCTTGTATTTATCCAAAGGAGCAGAAAACGTGTGTTCACACAGAAACCTACATACATATGTTGATAGCAGCTTTATTCATAATTGCTAAAACTTGGAAGCAACCTTCAGTAGGTGAAATGGATAAACTAACTGTGCTATATCCAAACAATGGATTATTATTCAGTGCTAAAAAGAAATGGGCTATCAAGCCATGAAAAAAACATGGAGGAACCTTAAATGCATATTACCAAATGAAATAAGTCAATCTGAAAAGATTACAGACTGTAAGATTCCAATTATATGATATTCTAGGAAAAGTAAAGCAATGGAGACAGCAAAACAGATCAGGCCGGGCGCAGTGGCTCACGCCTGTAATCCCAGCACTTTGGGAGGCTAAGGCAGGTGGATCACCCGAGGTCAGGAGTTTGAGACCAGCTTGGCCAACATGACGAAACCCTGTCTCTACTAAAAATACAAAAATTAGCCAGGCGTGGTGGCGTGCACCTGTAGTCCCAGCCACTCAGGAGGCTGAGGTGGGAGAATCGCTTGAACCCGGGACGTGGAGGTTGCAGTGAGCCGAGATCGCACCACTGCACTCCAGCCTGGGCGACAGAGCGATACACCATCTCAAACAAAACAAAACAAAACAAAACAAAACAAAACAAAACATAACAGGTCAATGGCTGCCATGGATTGCAGAGAGAGGGCGGGATGAATAGGTGGAGCACCGAGGATTTTTAGGGCAGTGAAGCTATTCTGAATGATACTATAATGGTCGATACAGGTCATTATACATCTGTGCAAACCCACAGAACCCATACGCCACCAAGAGAGAACCCTGATGTAAACTATGGACTCTGGGTGGTAATGATGTGTCTGCATCAGTTCATCTATTTCAATTGTACGGCCCTGGTGGGGGATGTTGATGATGGGGGAGGCTGTGCTTGGGTGGGGGTTGGGAGGGGACATGGGAACTTGTACCTTCCACACAGTTATGCTATGAACCTCAAACTGCTTTAAAAAACAAAGTCTGTTTTTTTGCTAGTCTATTCCCTTTTTGGTCTATTTTTCTAGAAAATATTAAATCTATCTAAGTTTCCAAAATTTTGGCATAAAATTGTGTCACAATATTCTATTTTTAAGTATTTTTCTGTAGTTGAAAACCCCTTTTATATCCAGTAAATGTTTGTTTGTGCCTTCTTTGTTTTCTTGGTAATTATTTCCTGAGGTATGTTGATTTTATTAGTTCTTTTTTAAAACCAATTTGTCCTTCGTTGATCTCTATTTTAGTTTTCTTATTTAATACATTTCTAGGTTTATCTTTATTCCTCCTTCTTTTTTTCATTGGAGTTAATGTTATATTTTATAACTTCTTGAGTTTGGTAATTATCTCACACATTTTCCCAAAAAAGATATTAAAAGCCTTTAGGGTTTCCTAAAAAAGATGTCTATGCTGCTATCAACATATGTGTGTAGGTTTCTGTGTGAACACAGGTTTTCAGCTCCTTTGGGTAAATACTGAGGAGGACAATTGTTGGATCATATGGTAAAGATGCTTAGACAAGTATCTTTTCTAACATAAGCATTTAAAGGCTATGTATGTCTGCCTGCATTCCTATACATATGTGAGTGCATGTGTGCACACACACGTACACACACAAACTCACACCACACATGCTAAATGTTTTTATTCACATTTAGATATCCAGTTTTCCATATATTTATTTTCTAGTGGAATGAGGATGCATTTTTTCTATATCTGTATCTATATCTATATATTGGGTAAGACTTGTTAACTGTGTTGTTCAAAACTCCTACATACTTACATTTTTTTTCCCCTTGTTACACTATCAATTACTAAAAGAGGTACATTAAAATCTTCTACTGTAATTGTGGACTTATCCAGTAAACTTTAAATTCTACCAATTTTTCTTCAAAGCAATTTTATTAGATATATACATGTAAGATTTGTTATATATCCTTAGTTTTAAAAAATCACTATCACCTGACCTTATTTAACCTTAATTATACTTGTTTTTCTTACTGTGTTTGTGTGGGGGGGGGGTGTTGTAAACATAGCCACTCACATTTTATTTTTGTTCCTGTTTTTGTTTTTCCTTTTTTGCGTTCATCCTTTACGTATATATGGTTTAGTTTCATCTAAACAGTCTATCGTTCGATTTAAATGCATAGAGATATATTGGGGAGATCTGTGTTTTAACCAGCTGGCCATCCCATTTACTTTTATCTTGTCTACTGTAATATTTGTTTTCATTTCTACCATCTAATGTTATGCTTTTGACTTCTTCCTCCTTGGATTGCATTTAGGTTTCTCCTGTTTTCTTTTTTTTTTCTTTTTTTTTTTTTTTGAGACGGAGTCTCGCTCTGTCGCCCAGGCTGGAGTGCAGTGGCGGGATCTCGGCTCACTGCAAGCTCCGCCTCCCGGGTTCACGCCATTCTCCTGCCTCAGCCTCCCAAGTAGCTGGGACTACAGGCGCCCGCCACCACGCCCGGCTAATTTTTTTGTATTTTTAGTAGAGACGGGGTTTCACCGTGTTAGCCGGGATGGTCTCGATCTCCTGACCTCGTGATCCGCCCGCCCCGGCCTCCCACAGTGCCGGGATTACAGGCGTCAGCCACCGCGCCGGCCTTCTCCTGTTTTCTTCATCCCTTCCCCATTCGACCCCTACTTGTTTGGAAGTTAAATATAGTATTCTTAATGTGTCTGGTCTGGTGGTTATTCTCACACTTTAACCTTGTATATTTCACTTAAAGCTGACGTCTCCATGGCCTTCCAGAGTCATATAAGTACACCTGAGGGTTTTACCTCCAAGCACTGTCCAAGTTACTATTTCATGCTATATTTTCCAGTATTTTAATTCCATCTTTTTTTTTTTTTTTTTGAGATGGAGTCTTGCTCTGTCACTCAGGTTCCAGGTTGGAGTGCAGTGGTGCTATCTCAGCTCACTGCAACCTCTGCCTCCTGGGTTCAAGCGATCCTCCTGCCTCACCCTCCCAAGTAGCTGGGACTACAGGCACATGCCACCACGCCCGGCTAATTTTTGTATTTTTAGTAGAGATGGGGTTTCACCATGTTGGCCAGGCTGGTCTCGAACTCCTGACCTCAGGTGATCTACTTGCCTTGGCCTCCCAAAGTGCTGGGACTACAGGCATGAGCCCCTGCGCCCTGTCCCACTTTGTTTTTAATACTCTCAAATTCATCATTATTATTTTATATAACCAAATCTGTTTACATGTACCTGAATCTTTGCCAATTGCTTCGCTCACTGCTTCTCATGCCTAGTTCCTAAACGTCTTCTGGTAGTTTTTTAAAATAGTAGCACAGCCCCTGCACGGTAAACTCCTTTAGTATATGTTTTCCCGAGAATGTCTTGATTTTGCCCATCAGGTAAAGAATGGTTTAGCTCAGGATAAAACTCTAGGTTGACAATTATTTCCTTTCATACTTAAAAGACGTTATTTTCGTTTATTTTTCTGGCTTCTACTGTTGCCTTTAAAAGGTCTGCAGTCAGTCTAATTGCCATCTCTTTGTTAGCAAGCTATCTATTTTTCTCTCATCGCTTCTAGGATCTTTTTTTGGCTTTGGACATTCCTGCAGCTTTTTTGCACAATATGTCTTGGGCTCATTTCCTATCACATATCTTTCCTCAGACTTTTATCTCCTGAAGCTGAGGATGTATGTTTTTCATCAATATTATTACATCCTCAGCTGTTCTTTTGGGACATGGCTTCTGTTGAAAAAAATCATTGTATTTCAATGGAAAACGATGTGTCCCCTACAGCACATAGATCTCACTTAGCAAGTCTCGCCCTGTTCACTGTCTGAGCTGCTTTGCCACTGTGCGCGGACCGTAAGCAGCTGATAGATGCGGAAGTTCTCAGTCGCCCAGTAGTGATTTAATTGGTAGTGCCTTGACTTCCTGCCCCTTTAGATAAACAAGTTCTGTGTCCATTTAGAATTCATCTCGAAATTCCTTTACTCTATATAAATTTGTACTAGTTTGACTTTCCCATTGAACTGAGAACATCTGCTTTGTTTCCTCATGTGATATGAGTCAAATAGATTCTTCAACATGCTCATTTTTATATCTGTATGTGAGCCATAACTTTACCTGTTTTCTGAAAATAATCTTTTAATATTTCTCCCACATGCAATTTATTATTGCCTTCTACTATTCTAGCCAGTGTGTATGGGAGCACCTATCCCCGGCATGAGAGGAAGCAGCCCTCCTTGTCAGGCACAGCCTCTCCTGGGGGGTGCAGGCTTCCAGACCTGCTTTCTGCATGACCTTGGCCACAGTGTGCTCCAGCTGTCATATCTGAAAATAATCACAGCGCTTTCCTCAGAAGGTTGTTAATATATGTAAAGCATTTGAAACAGGACCTGGTGCACAGAAGCACTACAGAAGTGTTGGATATTATTGCACGACCGTAAATCATTCTTTCCTACTTTCCATCTATTTAGCTTTCTATGATTCACGCAGGAAACTGCCTCTGCTCCTTCAACTGTGTCTCATCTGACATTCTATGCCTCCACTGTCTTTAATTTTGATGGCTATATTATTTCTCATCTCTCTTAATTTTACTTGATTCTTTTCAAAGTTGCTTTTTAAAGGGTTTCTCTCATTTGTGTTTTTAATTCTTACTTGAGTGTAATTATTTTCAAATCATTTGTCAGTTTCTATTGTCTTAAGTGTTTAAGAGTCCAAACCTGCCTTTTGCTATGTTTGTGAATGCTTGCTCAAAGTGAGATGTTTCTGTATGTGTTTTAATTTGAAGTTCATTTTTAGCTGATTTTTAAAAATTGAGTTTCCATATTATTTCTTATAGTGTTTCATTCCTCATACAGTTTTCATCTGTAATGTTTTCTTAAAAAAATTAATGAAGGCTAAATGGCACAAGAGCTTAAAAATATAGATGCAGGCCAGGTGTGGTGGCTCACGCCTGAATCCCAGGAGTTTGGGAGGCCGAGGAGGGCGGATCACCTGAGGTCAGGAGTTCAAGACCAGCCTGGCTAACATGGTGAAACCCCATCTCTACTAAAAACACAAAAATTAGCCGGGAATGGTGGTGGGCACCTGTAATCCCAGCTACTCAGGAGGTTAAGGCACAAGAATTGTTTGAACTTGGGAAGTGAAGGTTGCAGTGAGCCGAGATCCCGCCACTGTACTCTAGCCTGGGAGACAGAGCCAGACTCAGTCTCAGAAAAAAAAAAAACACACAAAAAAACCCACATGTAGTCACAGGGGTGGGACAGGATGGATGTGGAGGGAGGAGGACGCAGGAGAGAAAGGGGCAGAGCCCTTGGCTGCCCTCTCACAGCATTGCCTGCACACCTGGCCTCACACCTGGACACTTATCAGAGCATGGAATATTTGTCAGGCTGCAGAAAACCCATGTCTCAAACCCCAATCACCATCTGCAGAGCATGTTCATGGCACATGAACCTTGCTGACTGGACATACTGGAATGAATCCCCAACCTGTGTTGCTACCGTGTCTATGGAGATCCTGTGGACCTGGCCGGAGGGGGACTTCTCTCCAGGTGCCCTGCACTCCATTCTGCCAGGTGCCCAGAGCCTCACAGATCAGACCACTTTGCATGCCACTACAATTGGTGCTGGAATTTCCTGGGTTCTGCTGGACATATCAAACCAGCACCAGGAGGCACCCCTTCCCTCATCTGTTGTGAATTCCCATGGAAGACTCTGAGCCCTGACTGAGCACAGCCTAAAACAGTCATGCTTCTTTTTCATCGTCTTGCACTGGATGGTAGATTTTATTTTTTTCAATTCCAACTTCTCAGGGAGAATGCAGCATTTTGAAGGTCCTGGCCTTCTCAGTTCCAACCCACCTCGTACAGGGCAAGAGGGCAGAAGCACGAGTTTTACTCCCGCCTTCTTGGGTAATGACTTTTGCGACCCAGGATGGTTGACTGAACTCCCAGGGCCTCGTGTGGGAGAGAGCTGGGCTCCACGGGCCCCACCCTCCTGCCTGCTTATAGCTTGTAGCCTGGGCATTCCTTCTAACAGTTTTACGTAGCCTAGATAAATGGACGTGAAGGAGCTCATGAAATTTTTTAAAAAGTATGTCCATTTCTAAACTATGTGACCTGTTATGCCTTTTCTGGCTCCAGATGTATGAAACAAAAGAAAAAGGAAGCTAATTATCCCCAGCAGTGGAAGGAGAAGATGTTCTGACACTGGGATTACTATGCACACAAGGACTATTCATCATGGGTGGAAATTCATCCCTATGAGGAAAGGGTCACTTGGAGACACAAAGGTGAAGGGAACAACATTGCACCCTGCCAGCTCGTCCCCCAGTGACAATGCTGACTGGGCAAACAGCCAGCCTTGAGAGCCTCCTACACAATCGGATGCCCAAAGTCCACACCAGAGGTTCATTGAAAAATGATCAGGCTGATTTTTTAAAGAGCTTTTCCTTCAGATTGAGTGAAGAAATTGACCAACCTTAATCTGAATAAATATAAAGTCTAAATAAACTAAGCATATGCTTTCAGAAAAATGCCACTTGCTATGACAGCATAAATACAAGAAAAACGATAAGGAGGTAATACGGCTAAAAACGATAAGCAAGAGCTGACCAGGGTTAAATCAGGTCACAGGGGTAGAGCCCTATTCTGATAGGACTGGTGGCCTTATAGGAAGAGGGAAGCCAGCACGTGCCCCTCTCTCTCCCTCTCCCACTCCCTCTCTCTTTCTCTCTGCCATGTAAGGACACAATGAGAAGGAAGCCATAAACCAGAGAGAGTTCTCTTCAGGGAACCAAATCCAGACCCTTGATCTTGAACTTCTCAGCTCCCAGAATTGTGTGAAAATAAATTTCTATTATTTAAAGCCTCCCAGTCTATGGTATTTTGTTATGACAGGCTGACCTGAGTAATCATTATTACTCTTGCTAAATATGACTAAGAAGTCTTCACATAATCCATAAATAAACATAAGAAGGCTGTCAACAGTTCAGAGAAGAAGGCAGAAGGGATCACACCTTTGTGACAGGCAGAACGGCATGGTGCTGACATCCCTAGGTTTACTATTTATCTTACCTATTCCAAACTGGGTTCTGGAGAAGAATGCACCAAAAAAACCCCAACAGGTACAGACCAAAGAAGTCCTGAGGAAAGCTTGCCCTCTCTCGCCAAATGGTCAGGAGAGAAGCAGCCTGACAGCTGGACCGTGTCTAGCCAAGAGCGCTGCCCCAGGGAAACACCAAAGGAAAAAGCTGGACTCCACCAGCAGCCTCATCAGCAAAGGCCCAGGGAGCACTCTAGATTCAAACATCCCCAGGCAAAAGGGAGACACTCCTCCCCATACTTGCAAGAGGTGATGTCAGAGAAGGCCAAGCAGTGACCTCATCTTGACCCAGCCGCCTCCTGCTGTTTCAGTGGAGAACACTTGGGGAGCCTGGACTTCCACTCCCACCTAGCAGTACCAAGGTCCCCATCCCTCCCAGGTGTCAACAGAGGCTGAGTGGGGGGCCTGAACCACACGACAGCAGGGGTGGTGTCCTCCCTCCTCTGCTAGCACAGTGTCAGAGGAGGTCTAGTGAAAAGGAACACTGAAATAAGACTTGGAGTCTCAAACAATAATACCCAAAATGTCCAGGATATAATTTTAAAAATCACCTGTAATACCAAAATCAAGAAAAAAACCTCAACTTTAATGAGAAGAGAAAATTAGCAGATGCCAAAACAGATAATTCAGAAAGTTGGAATTCTCTGGATTTTAAAACCTCAATCATAATAATGCTTTGGTAGGCAATTAAGAACATGTTTGAAACCAGTGAAAAAATAGAAAGTCTCAACAAATAAATAGAAGATATAAAGAAAAACTAAATGAAAATTTAGAACTGAAAAATACAGTAACTGGGATTACCAACATGTAGGCTGGGCTCAATAGTAGAGTGGAGATAGCAAAGGAAAGAATCTGACTTGAAGACAGAATAGAAATTATGCAATCGGAGCAACAAAGGTAAAATAGACCAAAAAAAAGAAAAAAAATCGACACAGCCTGCAGGGGTGTGAAGCCATAACAAAATCTGATATTTGTGTCATGAGAGTCTCAGAAAAAGAAGAGAAAGAAAATGAGAATGAAAAATGTTTGAAGAAATTATTAAAAATTTTCCAAATTTAGCAAAAGATATACATCTACAGATTCAAGAAGCTGAGTAAAACCCAAACCAGATAAATACAAAAAAATTAATGCCAAGAATCATCATAATCAAACATCTAAAAATTAAACACAAAGAGAAAATCTTGAAAGCAGCCAGAGAAAAATGATCCGTAAGGGGGAAAAACAAAACTAAACAACAACAACAAATTTAAATGACAGCAGAATTTTCAACAGTAACCACGGAGACCAGCAGGAGGTGGTATGACAGTTTCCGAATGCTGAAATAACTTACTGTACACTCAAAATTCTAAATCCAGTTAAAATATCTTTCAGGAATAATGAAGAAATGTCAAGACATTTTCAGATGAAGAAAAAACTAAGAGAAATAGTGACCAGCAGAATCACCCAAGAAGTATGGCTCAAGGAAGTTCTTGAAAGAGAGAAAAAAACAATAAAAGAAGGAAGAGAAAATTTATCTACTTTACTTGAACCAGTAAGATGTTTATATCAGTAGTCAGTAACGTAATAAGTTACATACATAAAATGTAATATCAAGAGCAACCATGAAATAGGTGTACAAAGAGACATACTCAAAAACACTATAAATAAAAAAGATTCTAAAAATTCTAAAAAAGAAATTCTAAAAAAAAGTTAAGTACATCATAGGCAGGAAAGAAAAAACGAAGAATATATATATATAATATATATATATCACAGACACACATACCCTGCAAACATTACTCAAAAAACACAAGAGTAACTATATTATTATCAGATAAAGCAGATCTTAGAGAAAAGAAAATTATGAAAGATAGATATAAATTTACATAATGATAAAAGCTCAGTCTACCAAGAAGATGCAGCAATCATAAATCCTTTCTCAAACAAGAAAGCTTCAAAATACATGACCCCAGAACTGATGGAAATTTTCAAAAGATATAGACAAGTTCACAACTATATTTGGAGGTTTCAACACTCCTCTCTCAATAATTCATGACAGGGCAACTAGACAGAAAATCAGCAAGGATATAAAAGAACTTACACCATCAAACAACAGGACTTAATTGGCATTTAGGAAACTGTCTACCAACAAGTACTCATGGAGCATATACCAAGATAGACCATATCCTGAGCCTAAGAAAAACCTCAATACATTTAAAAGAAGTGAAACCACACAAAGTGTGATATTTGCCCACAATGGAATCAAACTAGACATGAATAGCATTAAGATGACAAGAAAATCTCCAAACACTTGGAAACTGAATGCCAAATTGCTAAATAATCCATGAGTCAAAGAGAAAGTCTCAAGGAAATGGAAAAAAATACACTGAACTGAATAAAAATGCAATGTATCAATATGTATGACATGCTGGTAGTGCTAAGAATAAATTTATAGTACTGCTTATTTTAAGAAAGAGAAAAAGATTCAAGTCTATATCTATGCTCACTCGGTAAGAAACTAGAAAAGAGAAGACAAGCCCCACAAGTAGAAGGAAGTAAATAATAAATATAAAAGTATAAAATCACTGACACGGAGAAGAGAAAAAAAAGAAAAAAAAATCAATGAAATGAAAATCTTCTTTGAAAATATCAATAAAATTGACAAACTAATACCACGAATGTATTCTATGTGTCACTACACAGACATTGTAGACATCAAAAGAATGATGAGGAAAGCTATGAACAACTCTTTACATAGAAATTAACACATACATTTAGCAACTTAAATGAAATGCACCAATTCCTTGAAAAGTACAAACTACCACAACTCAACCAATAGGCTATAAATAAGCTGAAGATCCCTAAAACAATTAAACACATTGAGTTCATAATTTTAAATGTTTTTTAAAAAGGTATCTCCACATCCTGAATGGCTTCGCTGGGGAATTTTAACAAACATTTAAGGAAGAATTAATATCAATTCTATAACTGTCTCCCAGTAAATAAAAAAGGATAAAACACAGAGGCTTTTATTAACCTCATAACCAAAACTAGACAAAGACAGTAGAAAAAATTTATAAAATGCAAAACAAAAACTACAGACCACATTCTCTCATAAATATACATAAACCACCCTTAATAAAATATTGGCAATACAACTTAGCAGTATATATAAGGAATTACACACATGACCAAGTAGAGTTTGTTCCATGAGTGTAAAGCTAGTTCAATAATTGAAAACTGATCAATGTAATCTACCATATTAAGATGCCAAGGAAGAAAAATCACCTGATTATATCAATTGATGCAGAAAAAGCAAGTAATAACACTCAACACTCATCCATATTAAAAAGTCTCAGAAAACTGGAATAGAGGGAAACTTCCTCATCCTGATAAAAGCAATTCCACAAAAAACCTACAGCTAGCATCATACTTAATAGTGAAAGACTGGATGCTTTCGCCATAAGATCAGAAACAAGATAAAGTTGTTCACTTTTAACATTCTAATTCAGCATAATACTAGAAATCCTAGCCAGGAAAGTAAAGGAAGTAAGAGGCCTAGAAATCAGAAAGAAATTTAAAAAGTTACTATTTTCAGGTGACATGATGGTCTATGTGGAAAATCCAAAGGAATCTCAAAACAAAAACAATTAAAAAAAAAACTGCTAAACCTAATGAGTAAGTTCAGCAAGGTCAGAAATACAAGATCAACATAAAATAATTGCTATACTAACAGTAAACATGTGGTTACTGAAAATGCAGTATCATTTACAACTGGTCAAAAATGAAACAAATATAAATTTAACAAAACAAGCATAAATCTCACATGTTGAAAACTACAAAATACTGATGGAAAAATCATAGAAGATTGAAATAAGAGGGACATACCATGATCATGGATTGGAAGATTCAACATAATTGTCCCTACGAGAACCTGTAGGCTTAACACAATTCCCATTAAAAACCCAGCAAGAGTTTTGTACATATGGATACACAAAGTCAGTCTGAAATTTATATAAACAAAGAAACTAAAATAGCTAAAACAATTTTGAAAAGGAACAATAAAATGGGAAGAAACACTCTACTCAATGTTAAGCGTTACTATACGATGAAAGCAAAAGACTATAATAGAGGAAGAGATATCTAGATTAATAAAACAGAATTGAGAACCCAATAGTAGACCCACACAAATATACCCAACTGATTTTTTCAAAGCAATTCAGAAGAGGAATATAGTCTTCTCAATGAGTGGACCTGGAATAACTGAAAATCCACAGGCAAAAGGATAAACTTTGATGTAAATCTCAGATATCATACCAAAAATTGACATCAACTTAAAGAACAGACTTAAATGTAAGACTTAAAAATGTGAAACTTTTAGAACAAAACATAGGAGGAAATCTTCAGCACTCTAGGCTATGAGTTCCAAGACTTGACATCAAAAACACAATCCATCAAAGTAAAATTTGATAAAAAACTTCACTGTAATTTTTAAAAAGAACATGTTTACTCTGTGAAAGACCCTGTAAAGAAGATGAAGAGATAAACTACAGAAAGACAAACTATATTTTCAAAACACATATCTGACAAAAGGCATATCTAGCATAAAGAACTCTTAAATCTCAAGAGTAAAAATAAAACAAACAAAACCCCACACAATCTAACTAGAAAACGGGCAAACAGACATGAACATATATTTCAATGAAGAGGATATACAGGTGACGAACCACCACATAGTAAGATGTTCAACAGCATTAGCCACCAGGAGAATGTAAATTAAAAACACAATGGGTTATCACTACACACCTACTAGCGTGGCTAAAATAAAAAAAATAGTGATAACACCAAATTCTGGGGAGGATGCGGAATTACTTGATCACTTAGGTGGGAACGGCCACTCTGGAAAAGAGTATGGCAGTTTCTTATAAAATGAAGCATCTGCTTATTATACAACCTAACAATTGCGTGCTTATGTAATTTATACCAGACGAATGGAAACATCTTCAAAAACAAACAAACATGGACATGGATGTTATAGAAGCTATGATTGCAATAGCGAAAAACTGAAAACATCTCAAATATCTGTTAATGGATTAATAGTTACACAAATTGTGGCACATCCATACCACAGACCACTACTCAGCCACCCTCAAAAGGTTACAAACTATATTAGTCTACACATAAAATATTCTTGAAATGCCACAATGACAGAGATGGATTAGTGTTTGCCAGTAGTTAGGGACAAGCGGGATGTGGCTATAAGGGTATAGTGCAAGAGATCTTTACAGTCGTGGAACAGTTCTTTATCTTAATTTGTTGGTGGCTACATGAATCAATACATGTGATGAATTTGCTTAGAATTATATATACTACACAAAAATGCATGAATGTAAAACTGGTGAAATCTGAATAAACTTTGTGGAATATACCAATGTTAATTTCTTGGCTTTGATATTACACTAGAGTTATTTAAGGTGTTACTGCTGGGGAATATTAGGAGGAATATGAAAATGTACCTCCCTATAATTTTTTTTCCATTTCTTATGACCTATAATTATTAATCTGTTAGAAACATACTAAATCCAACAATGGTGAACTAGAAAGTATCATCTCTATGAATTATGTCACTATTAAAATGATGATGAGAAAAACCCATGGAAAACAGGATGAGTGAAAAATGCAGTCCGTCTAACCACATAAAATATATTAAGTAGATGGACTGAAGGAAGATATATAAAATGAAATTTAGCAGTTTAGGGAGCGAGGAACAGAAATTAACCAATTTGACTGTGTCGTGGCTACCCATCTTGTTCTTTTGAAATACGAAGGCTTCTTTCTTTGCCTTGCCCTCAACCTGAAGTCAGCTTTCATAATAAATGAGGCAGAGTTCAACAAAGCCAAGATAAAGAGATTGTGTCAATGTAGACTTAAAAGTCAGAAATAAATGCAAACTACAAACTCAGATGCTACCTACCACAGGTCTTTATGAAGCCATGAACCCACTGGTAGGGACAAAACATTTAACTAGCTCATAGTCATAACCTTTAGAGGCACCATCTGGAAGTCAATAAAGTAGAATCCATACTACGTTCTGCTTACTAAGAACATCAAAGGAGCTATGTTACAGGCACAACATATTTTGCCTATTAACTACAAAATGCATAAGTAATTCTGTAGTGATTCACTAAAGTTCTCTAGCATTAATGCATCCCTGGGAAAATGAGAAGCACAAACTAGGTATCAGGGAGAAGCATTCATTTGTCAAAATGAAGTTCTGGATCATTTTTTTTTTTTGCTATCAGCTACCAATGGTGAGAGCACTATTCATCATTCAGTTGGTTTTCTCTGGACAGCAGGAGGGAGACAAGCATGTAATTGAAGGAAGTGTATGGGCTGAAATTCATGACTTCCAGCCACCAAATACCTCCTAGTTTCCATCTAATTAAAGGAATGCAAGCTGGCATTCATGCCCAGCAGGACAGAGTCTTTCACAAGTGATCCAGGGGGACCATGTATGACCGATTCCTGAGCTGTACTCCACACCTGCTGTATCAGACCCTGAGGAGGTAAAGATGCAGTTTCCATTGTTAACAATCACTCGGCAGCTTCTTAGCCAGAGCAGATATTGGAACATCGAATCAGAAGAGCAAACCAGGCAAGCAGGATCTAGATCCTGCACATGGAGCCCAAAGCACTATCTAAGAACTCCCTGAGCAGCCTGAGAGTTTTTAAAGCTCTTTCCGATTGTCCCCTCTTGACCCCAGAAGACTGCAGCGGAGCGTCTCTAGAGTCTACTAGGCAGCCCGGGCACAGCAGTTCTAAGTCCTTGACTCTGGGACCCCAGGCAGTAACCCTGCTGCTACTCCAGGCTTCCAACACATGGCCCAGCTGCAGGGGAAGGAGAGCTGGCAGACCCCACATGCTGCTTCCTGACTCTTTTACTCTTTCAGGTGCTTTGGTGAATTTTTATCGTTTTCCTCAGAAGGGTTTGGTGCATGGGCACCAGGTTGATTCTTTGGTATTTTATGGTTATCATCATGAGTGTAAATGAGGTCTGTTCTTTCCATTTCACTTCACTGTTCTTCACTCACACCTAGCTCAGCTATTGTCTTCTTTCTTAAATCTTTTATTAGTTCAAAGTTTGTCAGCTGCGTCTGCCTTTAGGTGACTAACCAACTGGAAGTAATGATAGTGTTTTTTCTTTCTCGTAATATTTAGATATCTTTCTTTAACTTGCTGTCATAGGGCTCCGGCTAGGGCATCCACCCGGCAGTTGAAAGCAGTGATAGCTGTTGTCTTAGTCAGTTCTGGCATTTATCTTCCACAGTTCTGGAGCCTGTAAGTCCAAGATCAAAGCACCCACGGATCTGATGTCTGGGGAGGGCAACTGTCCTGGTTTGCAGATACACATCTCCTCCTTGTGTCCTCAGATGGCCAAATAAGCAGAGACAGGAAGAAAGCCCTTGTGTCTCTTCTTATAAGGACACTAATCCCATTCATGAAACTCCACCTTTATGACCCAATCCCCTCCTAGAGGCCCCACCTTCTAATTCCATCACCTTGGGGGTTAGGATTTCAACATACTAATTCTCGAGGGGACACAATCATTCAGTCCCTAACATTTCTCATCTTTGCCTTATCTCTGACTTTGAGGTGGATTCACCTGACTTTTCAACAGTCAGCTTTGTTTGCCAGTTTTCTTCTGAGTAATATTTATCTGCTTATGAATTTTCTTCCAGTCTTAGTTTATTTTTTGTGAATATTACTACTTTTGGGAAATATTTGTTAGATACAAATCTTTCTATATATCTTCTGGGTTAGTTTTAACCACTGTTTTATTTCATTCCATGTAAGCATACTTACCCTTTCTTGAGATCCTGGTTTTTGTTAATTTCTCCTTTGACTTTCATCAGCATTGACTGTATTTTTTGCAGTCACACTGCAACATAATTATTCATGAGCACTTTGTTTTCTCAATAAATTTTCCTTTAATCAATATAAAATATTCATTTTGTCCCTTTTTACGTATTTTGTCTTTCATCTATATTTGTGAAATAAGAACAATGCTAAATCTGTTTCTTCTTATGGCATTTGGCAGACATGGTTTTTCGATCCTTTTCATTTCAACCTTTTGGATTATTTGATTAAAATCTACCTTCTGTATATACAATATAGTTGGATTTTGATTTTTTGAAACCCATCTAGGAGTCTGTTTTGGTTTGAGAACTGTTATGGGATTTAAATCCATTTGAATTTTTGTGATTAGTGATTGTTTTAACTCGTTTCTGCTAGTAGGTTTGTTTTCTGGTTTTTTGTAGGCTGTTTTTTTTTTTTTTTTTTGGCCAGATTTTCTCATGTTAGAGAAGAAATGCTCTTCCTCTACCCTTATAGATTCTTTTGGCGGGGGGGAGCTTAGGAATTAAACTGACAAAAGACAGATGAGCAAGAGAAAACTGACTTTTATGCCTACATGGGCACAGGGGCACAAAGAAAAATGCAACTCTTCAAACAGCTAAAGGTGAGATTATATACTGCACAGCGGAGAGAGAGGGGAGAGGAAGGGCTTCTATGAAAAGAACAAATCGGTTTCTAGGGGAGCAAATGGGAGATAAGAAGGTCTGTGGGAAAGTTTTGTTTATGCAGGTGCAACTGGTCTTTTCCATCTTCTTTCCAGCCAGTAAAGACTCCCCTAGAAAGGAGATTTATGCCAGGCTCGCTCCCAGAAGTTTTTGCTGTAGTCTGATAAGTAAGCTCTGAAAAAGCTTCTTTCCCTATCTGTTTAATCTCAAATGTCTTCAGTTTAAAATAATGTTCATACCCATGCCAGGGATCCATGAGAGACCTCATACTTACACTGTTTCTCAGTTTTCTGTTCTTGCATTAGAGGTATCGACTTCAGGTTTTGGTCCCTTATTTTATCTCTAGTGGTCTGGAAGTTATGACACTATTTCTGTTACTCTGATAGCTATTCAAATATTTAACATACATATTTACTTGTACTTTTTTTCATTTTGTGCATTTAACGAGGTTTATCTTTATCATGCATGAACCAAAGAAGGCCGACACCAAACGTCTGCTGTTACTTCTTCTACTTCTTAGTCCCCTGCCAACAAAAACCATTTAACAACATCATCAAATAATTAGACTGAACTATGCCTTTTAGTGATTCCATCACTCACGAGTGCTGATTATATTCCAGGTTTGCCTCTTTCTTGGTTTCTTCTCATTTTGCTGGAATACAATTCTGAGTAATTCTTTCAGACTTGAGTCTTTACATATTTAAAACTGCTTTCATTTTTGCCCAGAAAGTTCAGTTCAACAAAATATTTTATTTTAAAAATAATTGCCCTTCAATATTTGAAAGTAGTCCTCTACTAGGCTACTGTTTCTTGCTATTGTGATTTTTTTTTTTTTTTTGCTTTGAGAGCTTATAAGGGTTTTGCCTTTATCATGAGTGTTTTAAAATCGCAGCAAGATATTCAAGACATATGTCTCTTTTTATTCACCCTGCTTAGCTCTCAGTATGGTATTGGCACATGCATAAATGAATATAACCATCCCACTTCAATGCCATGGGGAGAAAGATGTATTGCTCAATAAGTGCTGTTAGAATTATTTTCTATCCCTTAAAGAAAAGTAAAGTTAGACCCTTACCTCATAGCATACACAAACATTTTAGGGAAAAAAAACCATACACAATAAAAAACAAACTATTTAGTAGAATAAATGGATAGTCTCCTGGTCTGGGACCCCAAAGCCATAAAGGATCCATAAAGGAAACAACACAAAAATGTGATTAGCTAAGGATGTAAAATTTATATTAAAAAAAGACCACAAATAATGTGAAAAGATGACTAGAGTAATTTCAAATGCATAATCCTTCAAGATAGATTGGTATGGGTAGTGGAGGAGAAAGGAGAATCATTTCTAGACTAATTTGCTTCTCGGGATAGGACCCATACCCTACATCCCTGCCCCACACAATCAGAACTTACTTATTTTTAATCTAAGGGTGCTAGAAGATGGCTCTCTTGATCCAGACAGCCTGAGTTCCAAGGTTCTGCCCAGGTTCTGGCCTCCAGCAACTCCCTCCTGGAACAGGGTAGTGGCCCCACTAGTCCCTCACCCACTGCGATGTGCTGCTTGCCATGTGCTACTTGTCACACTAACTTGGGGGGATTACAAAATGTGAATAGAACTTGGTTGCTCCCAAGGAGCTCACTGGACAGTGGGGAAAAACAAGAGTATCAAACTCACATCCGCAGCATCGTGTGATGTTTACAAAGAGTCCTCCAAGGTACACAGCAGCCCAGAGTAGGCGACTGTGGCCAGGCGTCAGGGACAGATTTCCAGAGAAGTCCAGTTGGACTGGTGGCAATTCCTTAGATTATAGCTAGTCCCTGACCTGATTATTCTGTTCTTTTCCCTCTCCCTTTCATTCCAAGCATATGCATTGAGGATCCTGCCACATTTAGTCCCTTCCAAGGTGATCTCTCCCCCTCCCCGCTAAGGGCCCTGTGCCATATGACCTAACTTACATATCTTTCCATGAAATGCCCCATCTTAAAAGTGAAAAAAGGCACCATTAACAGCAGTGCCAGGACCTCAGGCACAAACCCGGGCTGTCCCAGACAGACCAAGACGTATGGCCACCCTGCCGTGAACAGTTGCCCACACCCTCCCACTGGATGAGGCTCTCTCTCTTCCAGATCTTTCTAAGATGTTATGTCCCTGACATACGTCATCTTCTGCTCTGCAAGATGCACTTTGTGCCCTTGTCTTACAGCCACAAAGAGCCTGTCAAGGACTGGGAAAGGCACGAGGATGTGGAGTCAAGGCCTCAGAACTGCGTCAACAAGCCATTTAATTTCAGGAACCATTTCCTCAATTGTGAAGCAGAGTAATTTTAGATGACTTCACTGAAGGACACAAAAATACGTCAGATGAGACCACCCACGGTAAACTGATTTGCTACTGATTACACATGCCTCGAGGGCAGTGAATGTGCGTCTTCCTAGAAGCACAGTGTCTTACACAGAGTAGGTCCCCAGAAAATACCACCCGGCCGACTGACAGCATCAGCTCCACCGACCATGTGGCCCTGGCCCACAAGGAAAGCTCTGTTTCTCCAGGTTTTGATACAAGCAATGGGGCACATCCAGCTCGGGCCCCACACCCTGCACTGCTGAGGTCTTAGCATGCTGGGGAGGCCCAGCTGCCTTCTGATGCCTCACACACAACTTCCTAAGTCTCCTCCTGTGCAGACAGCTGAAGAGCGCATCTCTAGTGGGCAGTGGACACGCGCAGGGACCCCACAGCAGGCTCGGGAAGGGGCGGGGTGGCGGCGGACCCTGGCCCTCACCTGGCTGCCCGCACTGCTCCCTCAGGCAGCTCATGATGAAGACTGAACCGCCCATTGAGTTCCTGTCTCATGTATTTATCACACAGCCCTTACAACCGTGCTGGCTCTGTGTTCCACATCACAAAGATCAATAAGCTCATCTCCAAAAGCCGTGCTCTTGGGCACGATTAGCTTCAGGGCCCTTGGGGGTGCAGGGGGTTGGGGAGCTGCTCCGTGGACTGGCCCGTTGCCACATGCCAGAAGACAGCCTCACCCAGGCCACCTCAATGCAACACCATCCCCACAAAATTCTATTCACCGCAGCACCTGTCCTCTGCTTGAAATTCTGCTCAAACTCTTGCACAGACAGCAGTTGGGTTCTGTCATTCCACGCTCTGCTGTGGCACTGCCCTGTGGCCCACACTGGCTGGCAGGGGATTTGGTCAAAGAAAAGAAAATGTCAGATGCTGAGTGAAATCAGTCAAGAGGCGACAGTAAACCCCACAGCAGCTTCAGAAAAAGAAAAGAAAAGAAAAGAAAAGAAAACCCCACAGCAGCTTCAGAGAAAACAAACTCACTCTTTTTAGGAAGTGGAAGGCTGAGCCTGGCAGAGCAGCCCAGAGCAGGTGCGAAAGTGGAGCCAGCTCAGAGGGAGGGAAAGGGGATCTCTCTGCTTTTTAACTTTAGAAAATAAAGCACAAGAGACCGAGCTCTTTCCTGATGTGTCGAGAGACTGGCCAGTAATGAGTCAGACTATGGAGTCAGGCAGACCCAGCTGAGTGACCTCGGGCAAGTGGCTGAACCTCTCTGAGCACCAGCTTCCCGCCCTGAGATTTGTGGACACTCAAACAGACTTCATAAAGTCCAGAAAGAAGGCATAAAGCCACAATTTCCTGGCTATCATCTGCTGGCACTGGGCGAGTGCCCAGTAAAGGGGGCTTGGCTCCAGGGTGCTGAAGACCAGGAGCTGCGGGCAAGTAGGCTGAACGCAGTGCATGGGACCTTCAGTAAGCACCGGATGAGGCAGACAGCATTAACAGTCAGCCAGCGACAGTCCACTCACTCTGGTGCAGACAGGTGGGCTCCGAGTTAGCCCGAGGCAAACAGCTGGGCCATCAGAGGCTGATTAAGGACACACACGCACTTGCCCTTCCTCCCTTCCTCTTGCTGAGATGTCAGAAGAAACAACAAAAGCAAAACCTGCCCACTGCCACAGGCTGGGAGGAGTGTACAAGCAGAAAAGAACAGATAATAACTTCTGGACAAAATCACCTGATGGGAATCAATTGCTAACAAGTCAAGAGGAGAATATGAATAAATATTTTTTTTTAAAATGTTCAAAGCAAAAAGGAACTGAAACAAAAATTCTGTCAAAGGTATCAGGGCCTCTCCTGTCTCACAGTCAAAGCCAAGGCCTCCACGACTTGGTCCCCAGCTCCTCCCATCATGTCTCTGACCCTCTCTCTGAACCCTGGCTTCCCCATCCACCAATTCTCTCCAGCCACAGCAGCTGAATTTGCTCCTAGGACAGACCTGGATAGCATGTTCCCGCCTCAGGGCAATTGATGGATTTTTTAAAAGATAAAATCATGACACTTGCACAAATATAAAGTGATCGTGTGTCAAAGACTACTTAAGTCATTAATGAAGGAAGGAACCAGGAAAATGTTAAAACCAATTCTGCAGAGCATCCTAAAAGCAGACACATACAAAGACAACCAGGCACACTGATCTGAATCTGTCAACAGGGGAATTGGTCCACCAGCAAAACACATTTGCTTCTCCGTGGACTAGAATCATTGGTTTTGCCATCAGTTTTCTAGAAGTTAGAGTTGAAAACTAGTTTGAAGACCATGACAGGCACAGTCCACTACAGACTCAGATGACCAGGAAGGTGCCTGTGACCATGCCTAGTATTCTGTAGGAACCGAGGTGTCTTTTTTTCTCTTCCCTCACTATTTTTTTTTTTTTTTTGCATTTCGAAGTCTTTCACAAGCCTTCTTGACAGGGCCCCTGCACTGGCTGTTCCTTCTGTCAGGAACACTCTCTCCACTTGATATCACAGGGCCTGTTCCTTTGCAGCCCTCTAGTCTGTCTCCTGGTCTCTCCCTGACCTCTGGCTCAGCCCTCACTATTCCCTTTCCTGCTTCATTTTTCTGGGATCACCTACAATCTGGCCCATGCCTCCCTCCTCTCTTCCCCATCTCTGTTTCTCTGGTGGGTTTGGGTCTGGCTGGATCACTGCTGAATCCTTAGTTCCCAGAACAGTGTGTGATTATGCTGAGGGAGCCTTCACTAAATATTGGTTGAGTGAATGAACAAATTAAAAACAAACAGCAAGAGCGACCATGATGAGACCTGGGAGAGTGAGATGGACAGTTCGGAGGATGACTTTGAAGATGCAAACATAGGTTGGCTGGCTCCACTCACTGCTTTAAAACAAGCTGCTGCTCCCCCTCTTCCCACAACACATGATTTAGAAACAGCCTCCCTCCAGCTCAGGTGTGAATATCTGATTAATACAGAAGCTGTAACAGCACATCCTCAAAACTCCTTCTCTGAGATCTCCAGCAGCAAAATTACCTCTGCTCACCTGGAACTACTACTGTCTTAGTTTGTTTTCTGTTGCTTATAACAGGATGCCTGAAACTGGGTAATTTATAAAGAAAAGAATTCATTTCTTACAGTATGGATGCTGGGAGTCCGAGGTCAAGGAGCTGCATCTGGTGAGGGCTTCTTGCTGGTGGGGACTCTCTGTAGTGCCAAGGTGGTACCAGGCATCGCATGGGGAGGGGCCTGAAGGTGCTGGCTCAGGCCTCTCTTCCTCTTCTTATCAAGTTATCAGTCCCATTCCCATGATATCCTATTGATCCATTAATCCATGAATAGATTAAAGCATTCATGAGGGCAGAGCCCTCATGACCCAGTTGGCCTTCAAAGGTCCCACCTCTCAATACTGTCATATTAGGGGTTAAATTTTAACACAAATTCTGGAGAAGACAGATATTCAAATATTTGTAAAGGACAAATATTCAAACTATAGCAACCACATCACCTTCCAGTGATGCCCTTGGGCCCTCCAAGAGCCTGGCCATGACTGCATTATGAGCCTTTGAGCACCAGCAGGCCAATCTCGGTTAGGCTGAGGGATACCACAATTTCAGGAGCTATTAACCATGACAACACTACATCTCACAGATTCACTCCCTAAGATGCCATTCCATGTGTGCACTGCCATGACTCCATAATAGATACATCGCAGCCCACGTAGAATAGGCACCCCTTGCTGGGATGCAGGCTTGGGCTCTTCTTTAGTCCAGTGAAATTTGCCACCTGCCTGCCTCCTCTGCTCTGGCTGAGAACACCCTCACCCCTAGGACCCTCAAGTCCTAGGACTCTCTCCCTTCCACCCATATTGTTGCTATGCTCCCTACCAGAAGCTGAGATTGGATCTACAATCAAAGCAGGGTGAAAGCAACTAGAACTTGAGTGGATGGCTCATCTGCGCTGTAGCAGACCATGTCGACAATCATCCTCCTGTGCCCAAGGCCCTGACAGCTGCCTACTGCAAGCATCTGCAGCTCTGCACTTGATCCACACATGGGGCAGGCAAGCCAGAGGTGCCAGGGAGCTGACACCCCTGGAAGCAGCTCTCAGCCTATGATGGAAGGCAGCTGGCAGATAAGCATCCCAGTTTCCTCAGAACAAGGCTGAGATGTGCTATACACAGTCTCCCAGAGCTCCCCAGTAGGAATGGGCTCTGTTTGCCCGCAGTATGATTTGCTTTTCAATGCTCACTCCAACGGCTTGCCTGCCCTCCCTATCTCACTCCCCCTCCCCTCATCCTGCTTCCCAGGATCCCTTCCCAAATAAGCTACATGCTCAGGAATCCTTGTCCTGGGTTGGCTCCCCCAGGTTCCCTAAGACGCTTGGCAACAATGATGAGCACAATTATGAGTGCTTACAGGCTTGGCCACACTGCTCTCAAGTGTGTCCTGCATAGAGGTCCCCTCTCCAGCCTCTGCTATCAGCCACAGGGTCAGGAAAATGAGTGAAAGACACAACCCTGCAGATGACAAATGCAGCTTTGCACACTCAATGAAAATGGATGGCTGAAACCCCATGCTGTTCTAAACTTTCAGAGCCAACAAAAACATCTTTAAATATCTTCATCAAAAAAGATTTCCATTATTGCAATAGAATTTTCTGACCGAGCAACTCAGAAACAGAGAAGCCCAGAGAGGGTGAGGCAGTTGCCTGTCTCTGCACGGTGTAGGGGCATCCGCAGAGTTGCGGGATTCAGACTGTCCTTCTGCAAGCGGACTGCTGATCCCAGCAAGGCCTTTAATTCCATCCAAAGGGGAAAATCACGGCAAGCCATCCATAATTGCTACCCACTTTAGGCAAGATGGTGTTCAGAAAACTCCTTGAGCCGCAGGCTTAAAGTAAAGCAAAATAAAGCAACAAAGAAATGACTGGGATCAGCACCAGACAGAGACGCTTTTATTCGTGCCCATCCTCTCCTCAGAGCGACCTGGCCAGCTGGCTGGCAGCAGCATGACTTGTTACCCACCCATCAAGGAAATACAGCAGCCCATTCCACAAATGATGCAGAGATGGCTGTTTTGCAGTGACCCAGCCACTTTAAAGCATGGAAAATGCATTATATCTCAAAAAGCAATAGTGACTCACGTGGGGACTCCAATATCAAACGAGAATAGAGTGAGAAATAGGACAGACATGTTTGGGAGGCTTCAGCTGAGCTACATCAACACTGCTTTCAAAACTGGGGCTTACACAGGATGCATTTAACCCCCTCCTTTAGGAAAAGCCCCTCGACTCCATTCAGACCATAATGAACTAACAGATGAGTCTACTAAGCAGAACATATTATTTTCCACGCCTAGAAGCTGGCAGAAAGCATTAAATTCGGTATCTCTCAAAATCCCCAATAACAGAATATCAGAGGGTTAGGATATTAGTAGTGAAGACTATTTTTGCTATTTCCTGTGTGAATTTTTGGACTCAGTCTCAGTTGAATGTTTTCTAGGTTGCCTACATGATTTCTTTCCTTTGCTTTCTTTCTTCTCTGGCTGTTCTTAGCCGCACTGTATTACACTGATCCATCTTCTTCGCTCCTCCTCCTAATAATTCCTGCACCCTCCCTTCCTCTCTCCATCTTGTCTTTGCATAAATGTGTATCAAGTGCCCTGCTAGGTGCCCCTAAGAGGTAGCAGACCCTAAGTGCCATCGTGGACAGGAATCCTTTTCTACGTGACAGAGAAATGTGTTCTAGACTTGGCAGGGGTGAGGGTGTCAGGGAGGTTTCCCTTGCTAACTGGGAGTTAAGGGGTGGGCATTCCTCGCCCCGCAAGACGCTCATATAAACACTCTGCCTGGAAGCATTGGTGCATCAATGAGCCAAAGGACAAGCAGTAGGGCTGGAGAGTGGACGAGGCTACAGGGTAGGGATAGGCTGGTCAGCACATACCTGGGGGCTGCACAGTGTGTCCAGGCAGGAAGGGGAAGCCAGCCAGCAAGGGGGGGCAGAGATGACAAGATCTGTCTTGTTTAGAAGCTCTCTCCTCCTGCCTGCTTCTCCTCCCACATTGCCAATTTCAGCAGGCACATGGCGGAGCGTGCCTTCCCCTTCACAATGCACGCCTCTTCTGGTCTTTCGGTTTCCTGGGGCTTTACTTTGACCCTTGCAGTTCCACCGCTTTCCTTCCTTAGCTGTGATCACTAGTGTCCCCAGAGCACCCTGTGGCCTCCCTCTTGCCCTAGATAGGGGTGCTGATTTCCCCTTTCTTGACTCCAAGCTGGGCTCCTGCCTACTCTGACCAACAGAATGTGGAGAAGGGCTGTTGCGGGACCCTCACGCTCAGTCCTTAAGAGTCCCAGCAGCCTCTCCTTCCTTCCTGTCAGAGCACTGCTGGCCACCAAGCTGGGGGACACCGAGCCTTGTGGAAAAGGCCCAGAAGGGGTGGGTGCACAGTCCCCAGCTGAATGGCTGAGCTTCCTGCCAGGGCCGGCGTCCCCACCAGCTCAGCCCAGACCTGCCCCGCTGTGGAAGTGTACCCCTCAGCACATCGGCCCAGTGGAGCCCCAGCCCATGGCTGTGCCCAATGCCACGTGAAAGAGACAACCAGCCACATGGGCCTGGACAGCCCACGGCATCATGAGGAATAATCTGAGTTGTTTGCTTTAAGTCACTCAGTTCTGAGGAGTTTGTTCTGTAGCAATAGATAAGTGTCTATGAGTGGTTTAAATATTCTCTGAAATCTATTCATTCCACGTTGGGTTCATGTGGACCTGCGGGCCATATATTTAGCAGTTACTTCAAAATATATTTAGTAGTTACTTCAAAAAGAAAGTCCTACATTCCATGTCTCAGGAAAACAAAAGCAGAAATTGAAGCAGCCTCTACATCCTCCATGATGAAGCCTGGCGGACGTGGTCTATGTCCACCATGGGAAAGAGGAACGAGCAGGATCCTTCAGTAGAGCTCAACAGATGTGTGAGCGATGGGGTTCTGCACCGGCAGCTGGGTCAGGCATGTGGAGGTGGGGATCATTTCTAAGGGCCTGGACCCTGGTAACATTTGTCAGGTAGAGACTGCTCTATCTTTGCTCCTTGAAATTCAATTACAACTTGGAAATTCCTCATTAGCCAGAGCATTTGGAATCATCAAACATTTTACATTTTGGAGTTAAAGATCCTACACATAGGCCATATAAACTGCCTCTTGTAACCGTGTTAATAAGATTCCACCAACATGTTATACATATAATATGGTGGGGTGCTCTCTCTCTCTCTCTCTGTGTGTGTGTGTGTATGTATATGTATGTATGTGTGTGTGTATATGTGTGTGTGTATGTATGTATGTGTATATATATATATATGTATATATATATATATACATATATATATATATATATATATATTTGGAGATAGCATCTCACTCTGTCACCCAGGATGGCAAGCAGTGATATAATCAAAGCTCACTGCTGGGCTCAAGGGATCCTTCTACCTCAGCCTCCTGAGTAGCTGGCACTACAGGTGCAGGTCACCATGCCCAGCTAATTTTGTTGTTGTTGTCGTTATTGTTGTTAGAGATGGGGGTCTCGTACATTGCTCAGGCTGAATGTTATAAAATTTATTCTTGATTTCAAACTTAAAAAATCCGAATTGGAAAATGAAAAACATTGATTATTTTTTTCTAAATTGTTAAATTACCATCTTGTTCTAAAAGCAGGAATCCTCATCATTCTGCCTGTAAACACACAACTGCCTTTACGGAATGTGTGCTCTTTTCCAAGTGCCAGACTAAGTGTGCTACACACATCCACAGAGCGATCCTCCGAACTCTGTGAAGCCGGCACTTTCCCCGTTTTTCAAAGGAGAAATCTGAGACTCAAAGGTTATACAGACTGTAAATATTACAGCTAAAATTAACACGGAGACTTCTTCAACCCTGACCCTTTGCCCTCAAAAAGTCAGATACAATGCCCTCATTATGGACTGAGTTGCATCTCCCTCAAACTCACATGTTGAAATCCTAATACCTGGTGCCTCAGAGTGTGGCTCTATTTGAAGACAGAACCTTTAAAAAGGTAATTAAAGTAAAAGAGGGTCATGAGCATGGGGCCCTACTCTAATTTGACTGCAGTGCTTACAGGAAGAGGAGACTAGGGCACGGACAGAGACAAGCGAAGGTCACGTGAACCCAGTGAGATGGCAGCCATCTACCAGCCAAGGAGAGAGGCTCAGAAGAAGCCAGTCCTGACAACACCTTCATTCAGACTTCTGGCCTCCACAATTGTGACAGGGTAACTTCTATTGTTTAAGGCTCTGAGTCTGTAGCACTTTGTTACAGCAGCCTTGGCAAACTAATACAGCCCCCCAAGAAACAGAAGACCCAAAGTCCAGGCATGGAAAGGCACATGTTTGATCCATTCAACAGGGGACCACTTACTCCTATTTTAGACGTTTTTCAAAGCTCAGTTGTCTGAACTAATTTGAGAAGCAGAAAAGTGGCAGCAAATGAGAAGAGGATACTCTTCTAGAAACGGGCCCAATGATTCAAGTGAAATGTGGCCGGCCCCCAGATGCAAAGACAGAGGCAGAATGAAAAGTCCATACAAGAAATAGCATCGCCCAGCCTTCTGGAAGTAGCCATGTAGGACAACACATTGCTTGTCCAGCGGGATCACCGAGTGACCATGGAGGGCAATTTGGTCACACTGTTCCCTGCATCAGGAAAGCCTGGGCTTCCTTCTTCATGACCAAAGGTAGCGGTCATGATTAGGAAATAACTTTCTTTTCATGATGTTATTTATGAGGTCTGACACCTTATTAGTCAGAAATGTTCTGGGATCCCTTATTTGACTATGCAGTTTAACGAGAAATTTTACTGCTTCTAGAAACTTACCCTGCCTGAATAATTGCCTTTTAGGCATCTGGTCTGCAAGTCAGACTGTCTTGGTTTACCGACGTGTCCCTTATTTCCTGACCTCAGGAGAAAGACTATTAGAAATCAGGTATATACCCTGCAGGGGAAGTTTCTGCATGCAGCTAGAGATGACAGTCCTCACGCTCACCTGCAGCCATCTCTGCCACAGAACTCTCCAATGCACAACAGGGAACATAGACGAGGATGTGGGTCCAAACTGTGGGCTCCAGCAGTGCATCCCATAGGCCAGCACTTCCTGCTGTTGGTCATAACTGCTGCCATTCAGAGAACAAAGGTACTGCCTTATGCAAGAATACTCCATGTGCCAATATGCACAGAAACAACACTAGGCCCCGAGAACATACAACTTCATGGGCGTCTTAAGTAGCAGGCTAGCCAGCGTGTGCACGTGTGCATGCCAAACCAGGGAATGCTGGCTTACAGGGACAGAGCTGCTTCTCAAAGGCCTGGCCGCTCGGAAAGCCGTGTAGGGAGCAGTGGCCCCAGATCATAGATAACATATCCAGCATCTCTGTGAAATATTCAAATATACGTGATAGCTACATGTATGCAAGCATAAAATCATTTTTTTCCTTTGTTCAATATGCTTACCTGTTATAGAGAAGAATGTCTGGTTTCCAAATCTGGCCATCTGGGAAACGAACAGTCTTCACCCCTGGATATTCTGACACATTCCACTGTAAATAGTGATCTGTCCAAGACTGACACACACAATGACATTAGCAGCACTTCACTTCCTTGGCTACTAATATTTCTCATAAGCGATTATTAGGTAAGTGCAAAACCAAAGAGAATTCCAGACATTTATTATAACTGAATTGCTATTTATAAAATATAATGAAAATGGGAATTCAAAAATCCTTTCCAAAATGACTGTGAAGAGCATAAAACTCACATTTAAGGTTCTGCTGTCACCATGAACACATTCAGATGGTATCATTAAAGTTAATTCCAACCCTCTGCATGTCCCCGAGCCTTCTCCTCCTGCAGTAGATGGGTTACTTCTAGCCAAATGAATAACTGTTTTGCCTTAGAAGTTTTCACTGTAAGAATACTTCGAAAAAAGGAATTCACTTATTTCCACTGGACTAAGAACCAGGCTGGAGAAATGTGGAATATTTATTTCCATAAAGCAATACTGTGCAGCTGCATGGGAACCTCTCAGAATTTCTAAAGGAATGTTTTCAGATTTGAATTTTTATTTTGTCACAGGGATAGTGCTTCCGACACCCGACAATGCAAATCCTGAGCCCTGATGGTGAAACGCAGAGTCAGGACGAAAGGAGGCAGGTGAAGACTCAGGAAGCACTCACACAAGCTCACGGCCAGGCCTTAATTGAGGTTATCGAGTGACTTTTGCCAGAGGAATACCCACGTCTGGGGTCATCCCTCCGAGGATCAGGTGCTAAACAGCCCTTCCTGGAGCCCACAAGCTCTGCAGAGGATGCTCGGGTGGGATCCCACCTGCAGCTGCCACATAACCAGCACCACCCCACAGGAGGCTCAGGGCTGACAAGTATGAGCCCAGAAGCTCCTATAATTGCACCATTATCCTGTATTCTGTCCCCCTGGTACCACCCATGCTCTGAAGCTCAGGCTTTCCAAGATCCAGAAAGGTATGTGATGCACCACCCCAACCTGGGACCAGGGTGGCTCCTCACAATCAAATACATGGTAATTTCTGCAGCAAAACATGCCTATTTGCACTAAGTGAGACAAATAAATGCCTCAATTCACATAGATTTCAATTTGATTTTAGACCAAAATAATTTGACGCAAAGTTACGAAAACAACATCAAAGGAGGGGGAAAAATTTTCAGAGCTGCTGAGATTTGGGAATTGCAGATGAGGGGCTGTGGGCCTAGAGCTATTGATACAACAAGGGAAGCAAAGGGCATGTCCCAGACCAACCATTCTCTGAGGAGGGCAGGCAGCATCCAGAAAGATGGTCCCAAGTCTGGAAGGATCTAATCTGACATCAAAGGAGAGGAACTATCCAGGTGAGTGACATCATTTTGCAGCCAGGGACCTCCAGGAATGAGGATGTGTTAATGGGTGATGTGCAGAAGTATCCTCTGGGGCATTCAGGATCGACAGCTGCCTGCTGGGGTCTCTAATGAGATGGAAGTGGTTGGGGAGGGGACAGGAGGGGCACACCCAGGAATGGTGGGTCTTGTCCTAGTTGTCTTCCAGGAATGCCTGGGCACCAACCAAGCCATGCTTCCTGCAGCTTGCTCCAACTTGGCACCTCTGCCCTGTGCTTCCCTTCATTTCTCTCCCTTGCCCTGGGCACAAGGCCCTGCCACAGCCAACACCTGTGCTTTCTGTGCCACAGTCTTGCATCTCACCCTGGGATGCTTCTCTGTGTCGGTCACTAATTATCACAGAGCCAGTCACGTTCACCATTATTACCACACAGGTCAGGGCCCCAAGATTCCACGAACTGCCCTGGAAAGTGGGCATGGTAGGCCAAGGCACTTCTCTCCTTCTCCTCTGCCTGCTGAATGATGGCCAGAGAGGGAGGGGAGACAGGAACTGGGAATGGGAATGGGAGTGCTTGGATGGTCAAACCCAGACCTCGTCCAAGGCACAGCCAGAGCTGTACGCTGCCTCCCCACACCCCGCACACCCCACTGCGTAAACCACGGGCTCATCCCCTCCCCGGCCAGATCACAGCCTTTATGCTAGTCCAGTGTCCTGTGTATGTCCAGACTCACCATAGCAGACTCACCATAGTTCGGGGGGGTCAGTGATATGACTGCTTCCATTTACAAGAGGACGCCAGGGTTCAGAAAGCTAGGATGTTTTAGTCAGTCACTGGGTCAGGGCTTACCTGTGTTATTTGACTTTAAGCAAACTGATCTTTGGGTTCTACCAGAGCTGGTTCTTCTGGCTCAATCTCCCTGATGCTGCTGCCCATCTGCTGTTTTCCCTTGCCCCAAACCAGGCTGACCATTGTGTCAGAGGCATTTAAACCAGGGAAACTCCATCTTAAATAGGAGCTGGGTAAAGCAGGGCTGAAACCTCCTACTGGGCTGCATTCCCAGATGGTTAGGCATTCTAAGTCACAGGATGAGACAGGAAGTTGGCACAAGATACAGGCCATAAAGACCTTGCTGATAAAACAGGTTGCAGTAAAGAAGCCGGCTGAATCCCACCAAAACCAAGATGGCCACGAGAGTGACCTCTGGTCATCCTCATGGCTACACTCCCACCAGCTCCATGACAGTTTAGAAATGCCAAGGCAACATCAGGAAGTTACCTTACATGGTCTAAAAAAGAGAGGCATGAATAATCCACCCCTTGTTCAGCCTATCAAGAAATAACCATAAAAATGGGCAACCAGCAGCCTTCGGGGCTGCTCTCTCTATGGAGTAGCCATTCTTTTATTCCTCTACTTTCCTAATAAACTTACTTTCACGCCCTGAATTCTTTCTCACACTAGATCCAAGAACCCTCTCTTGGGGTCTGGATCGGAACCCTTTTCAGGTAACCGTAGTGGCAGAAAAGGTAGGGGGAGCTGCCAAAAGCATCCGCATCAGACAGACCTGGGTTTGCACCAAGGGTCTGGCAGAGACTAGCGGCGTGAGCTTGTTCAGGTAAATCATTGTCTCTGAACTGCAGTTTCCTTACATGTACCCTGCCTCACAGGATGAGATGAGATAATGTGTGCAGCAGCAGATTAAAGTCATATGGCCCTGGCAGGCAAGTGATGAATGGTGGCTTAAAAAAAGAGAGAGAGATTTCCCCATTTTACAAAATCCTGCTGGACTTGGGAGCTGTAGTAACAGTCATAACATAGCTGCAGCCAAGGGTGGGGAAGACTGAGTGCCAACATGCAGTGGGAACCTCATGCTGTGTGCCCTGGAGCCCAGGTCCACAATCCTGAGCCCGGGGGCCCCACCAGCAACCCCCACAGGCTCCCATGACGGTTTCCCAAGAATGGATATGGAATAAGGCCCTACAAACAACAAACTTCTAGAAAAAAGGTTGTTCTCTGAAAGCACTTGGTTCCTAGGTCCCTCGGGAACAGGGGGCATCAGACAAAATCTTTGTAGACAGCACCTGACACGTTTTCCACAGAGTGGGGATCTGAAAAGAAGCGTCAATGAACCTAGACTCCCAGACAATCACATTTAGAGGAGTGTGTGCTCTTCCTTCTCTCCCTCCTTTTGTGAGATTCCTTCTCATTAAATCTTCAAAAGAAGAGTGTGTGGAGTTGTGAGGGGACACTGAAGGGAAGGGAGGAAGGGGCCATTGATCTAAAAGGCACTGGGGGAATCCCAATTCTTCCATGGCTCTGGCACCTGGGCCCTATTTGTGCTGCTTCGAGCCCACAGGAAACTCTAAATGTGTGTGGATGCTAGTGGCATGGAAGCATTGAGGGAGGGCGGAGGAGGGGAAAGGGATGAGAGAGGGGAAGGGAGGGAGGAAAAAGGAAAGTTATCTTTCATTAAAAAAATACATTATGGTATAATAAGAAAATAGATTTGGTTTTCCTGGCACAGAGCTTCCAAAGCCCTGGGAATTTCCTGAGTGAGAGGAGTGTCTTTTGTGATTCATACAGAGCCCCTTCTGACCATGCCTGAGGCCTGAGTTTACGCTGATGAGGTGACTTAGGGTTGGGCACCTAGATAGCTTTCATGGGGGCTGGTCACCTAGTGACTGGAGTAAAGAGCTTTCTGCCCATTGCACTCACAGCTCTGGGGAGGGGTGAGAAAGGGGCTCGAGACGGGGTTATAAACACTCTTGGTCAGCACATCCACTTGCAGGGAAGGTGGCCACTGGCGAGAAGTTACGACAACAGCTCCGCGCACCCTTGCGGCCACGACGCCCTGTCCGCTGCGTCCTTCCACTTGGTTCCTGAGCTGCATCCTTTAGAATAAGCCAATAAACCTAAGTCATGGGTTTTTCTCTTCCCGAGTTTCATGTTGCTGAATTCCTGTTCTGAAACTCTGAATCCATGTAATCTTTTCTCCAGGGTATTTTATATAAGTAGATATTAAATATTTATTTAATAAATATATTTTATTTATAAATATATTAAATAAGTTTGTATATTATTTAAAATTTTATTAAGTAAGCAAAGTATTTTCCTGAGCTCTGTCAGTCATCTTAGAAAGTTATTGAACCTGGGGGAGAAGGGTATGGGAACCCTCGAATTTTCAGTCACCTGCTAGACATGTGGGTAGCCTGGGTACACCATTTGCAGCTGGTATCTGAAGTGAGACTGAGCCCTTTAACCTGTGGGATCTGATGCAACTCCAGGTAGATAATGTGAGAAATGAATTGAATTGGTGGACCCCCAGTTGCTGGTGGAAAATTGGTTGTTGGTGCTAGAAAAGTCATCACACGTTTGATGTCAGAAAACACTTATCTTTTCAAAATTATTCCCGTCCATTATTTTGTTAGTGGAGGAAAGCAGCCTTTCCACCCCACTGACCCTGACGCTTTCTTCTCTTGGTGAGACATAATGATTGACACATCGCTCTTCACCTTGAGATGCCATCACAGCCCTAAGCAAGCCACTAGCCGGCTTGTCTGTAAACAGGAAGCGTGGCATTTCCATGTGTCAGAGATCAAGTGATGATGAATGCAGAAATTAAAAAGGTAAATATTTTAGAAAAAATAACAGCTTAAAATCTTATCATCTATGGTGTGAATGCTATTAGTACCATAATTAGAATTAGGAGGTTAAAGTTAGAGAAGGACCCAGGAAGGCTGGGACATCAAATGCCAGGAGAATGGTCACAATTGCAAAATGACAGAAGACAGGTGTTTTAAAAGCAAATGTAAGTCTCTGGATGGTTCAAATGTCTCTTCAGAAACTGAAATGGCTTCTGTCATTTTTTTCTCATAGATTAAATCAGATTATGTCTGACAACCCTCTCAAAATGATAAAAACTAATCTGCAGAGAAAACTGGCTGCAGAGGAACCGGCTGCAGAGGAACCAGCTGCTTCCTCCTCGGAACATGAAGAGGTGAACAGAGAGATGAAGCCTCTTTCTCCTCCCTCACGTTTCTGAATGATCAAAATCAAGGGCAACTGGGAGAAAGAATAACAAAACCAACAAACTGGAGGTCAAGGAGAGTTTTTTTCTTTTTTTTACCTTTCTGCCTTTTCCATTTTTAATAAACAGAAAATGTATCATTTGCAGAGTTTAAATACCCTAGAGAAAAGATTATGTGGATTCAGATTTTCTGGACAGGAATTCAGCAACATGAAACTCGGGAGGAGAAAAACCCATTGCTAGAGCCGTTTTTATGGCTCTCTGCCCCCGGCCCACATTTGCACCCCCCTCAGAACCCTGGCCCTGAGAGCCTTCAGTACCCAGCTTCACTTGTGCATGTCCATTATCGTGCTGGGTCAAGCCAGGCTGGTCCCCAGCCAGGGAACACAAGAACAGCAATCAATGGAAGGTTGCTTAGAAGTGGCCTCTGGGCAGCATCCAAGCTTGCTCTGGTGACTCCTGAGTTCCTCATGTCCATGCTGTGGACATGAATAGAAATGCCAGGGCTTCCAGACTGAAACACTGGGTGGGGGCGGGGAGCAGAGAGACACAGGCACTGGCTAGATGACTGTTAAGGTTTGTTTTAAACCCAGGATTCTTGTGAGCCCTTAAAAATTCAGTTGGGAGACAGTGTTACAACTGCTAGATCATCTACAGGTGCCGCTTTCCAGATAAATGTTATCACCCAGCTTTATGAGGGCACACCTTCTAAGGGAATCCAGCATGTTTCTCAATCGGTAGGCACCTAAAAGTAAACATTAATGACAAAATACTCAGAAATGCCAGTGCTCCCAGATCTTCACGTTTAGGAGAATTTGTGCCTCTCCTTCTCTCCCATTTCTTTAAAGCAGAGATTTCTCCCACGTCTGGCCTCTACTATCTGACCACCAGCTGTCATCTGTAATATCCCTGGGGAGATACTTGTTCTTGCTATTTTAATTTCCTCCTCCTCCTCTTTTCCTCCTCCTCCTCCTCCTTTCCTCCTCTCCTCCTCCTTTCCTCCTCTCCTCCTCTTCCTCCTCCTCTTCCTCCTTCTCCTCCGCCTCTTTTCCTTCTCCTCCTCCACCTCCTCCAACTCCTCCTCCATTTTTCCTCCTTTTTTCCTCCTCCTCCTTCTCCTCCTCTTTTCCTTCTTCTTCTCCTCCGCCTCCTTCTTCTAAACGTGTTAATTACACAGCCTGATCATAAATGGCTTAAAGGTAGAAACTGGGTTATGTATTTCTGGGTCCCCTCACCTGGCCCAGTTTAATACCTTCCACAGAGTAGGTTGCTCCAAGAGGAGGTGAGTTAAAAGGTGAGTTTTCAAACAAATGAAGCTGCAGATGCTTCTGCAAATGTAAGCCTTAATTAAAATTAGCTGTGCTTGAAATAAATTTAGAGGTCTCTGGTGACACCCTCTGAAGCAAGGATGTTTATTTGTGGAGCATCTGAATTCCATACTGGAAGTAATAATCCAGTTACATTTTTCTTGGAAACCACCATCCTTTAAATAAAATTGCCAAATCATATACATTGCTGAAGACCAGTCACTTACTGAGGGCTAAGGAAGATAGGCACCAGGGAGAGAGACCTCTCCATAACATGCATTTCTCTCTGTAAGAAAAATGTCAACAGCAGCGTTGTTCCTTAGAGGGCATGGCAAACGTCCAACTTTAATTAAAAAGGGAAGCACTTGCCTCATTCTCCGGAGCCTGGCCTTATACACACAGTACGAAAGTGCTGCACGGCCATTCAGGAGATGGCTTTATGTTGTGTCACGCTACCCAAGCACCTCAAGGTTCACCTTGAGTTTTTGCTTCATTCTCTCATTCGGCAAAAGTTCTTTGGTGCCCGCTACAGGTGAGACAGTGAACTAGGGGCTGTGGGTACGGCAGTGACCGAATGCACCTGGAGCCCTGTCCCCCACACTGTGCACACATTCTAAGGGTGATGAAGACTCAGAACCAATGAACAGATAGACGAGTGAACACAAAGCGGGTTACATGGTGAGAAGCCTTTGGGAGAAAAATGAAACAGGATAAAGAGAACAGAGTGGGCTGGAGGTGGAGGGGAGGGTTTGGGACAGTACATCGGAGCTCAAAGAAGACTCAATGAAGAGTTGACCTTTAGGAAGAGATCAGTGAGAAGTAAGGGGGAAATCAAGTGGTTCTTAGGGACGAGTCTTCCTGGCAGGGAGAGCAGCCAGTGCAAAGGCCCTGAGGGGGGGGCACGGGCTCGGGTGACGTGTGTGTCACCCAACAAGTGGACAGTGAGTGCAGCCAGGAAACAAAGAACAGAGGGGAGGGGAGAGGAAAAAGGAGCCAGGCAAGGAGGGAATTGAATCCAAGGCCACTTCGAGGACTTCAGTTCCTATGCTGTCCAGGGAGACAGGAGCCCCTGGAGGGATCTGTGCCAAGAAGGTATATGCTGGCTGCTATGTTGAGGACAAGACACCACCAGAAGAGGCAACACTGAAGCAGGAAGGCTGGATGGGGACTCCTAATAATGGAGGTGAGAGATGACACCCATGTAGACCAGGGTGAAAGCATCATGGTTGATGCCCAGTAGTTAGATCCTGGATCGGTTTTGCAGGTCAAGCTGCCAGGATTTGTTGATGTATCAGAGGTGAGGTGTGCGAGACAAGAGTTAAGGGTGACTTCAAGGTTTTTGGTTTGAGCCAATGGATCCATGGCTTTAACATTTATCCAAATGAAAAGTCTGTGGGAGAGACAAGAGTGAGAATGACCCACGGACACTATTTTGATGCTACTGGCAGCGAGGACAATCATTAATGCCAGGCTCTCAGCAGGGGCCAGGAGATGAGTCTGTCCATGGGAAGAAGGCCTGGGCCTTCCAGGAGAGCACAGATCATGTGTCCTGGGCAAAAGGAGGGAAGCTAGAGTAGGTGGCAAGGGATATGCTCACTGAAGTATGCTGCTTTAAATCCTGCAAGGGAATATCTCAAGGGCTCTCACCTGACTAATGTTAGGTTCTGCAGGAGTCTCACATGTAGCTATGGGTGCACCTTGGAGACCTAGCAATGGCTTTAAGCACATCCATTTTCTTTTTCTTTCTTTTTTTTTTTTTTCTTGAGATTGAGTCTTGCTCTGTTCCCCAGGCTGTAGTGCAGTGGTGCAATCTCAGCTCACTGCAACCTCTGCCTCCCAGGTTCAAGTGATTCTCCTGGCTCAGCCTCCTGAGTAGCTGGGATTACAGGTGTGCACCACCACACCCAGCTAAGTTTTGTATTTTTAGTAGAGACAGGGTTGCACCATGTTGGCCAGGCTGGATGCAGATCCATTTTCTATCCCTCAACTCCACGTGTATTCGCAGGATAACTCAACTGCCCAAGAACCACATGGGACTATCCTTTGCCTCCATTTTCACTTCTCCCATTCAACTTTATAAAGAAGGGCACATTTCTCTTATCTTACCTCAACTCCCATCTTGGGACACTGACTCAAGAACCAAACAAATGGTCAATTCAAGTATCAGCGTTTGTGTCTGTGTGAATTACCTTACAAATTGGGTGGCAAATACTTTCAAAGGTCAGGTGGGTTTAAATTCTTTTCTTTGTTTTCAACAAAATTGAAGGAGAAACTAATCAAGCTGTCAGCTGATACATTTGATAAAAACTACATTATTTTTGGCATATAACCTAGAAGAAGTTCAAAGATTGAGTAACATTGCTTTAACAAAGTGGCTTTCATGTCCAACTACTCATGTTACTACACCTAGTTAAAAAACAGCAACAGAATTGAAGTGAAAACTATCATTCTCTCCATTCAAGTAATAAAAAGTCATCTGTGGATACATGAACTAATTTAAAACAAACTCATCTTGGGCAGAGATATAAATTGCCAATAAAAATTTATGTTTTATAATTACTTAAAAATTTTAATTTATGTCACCTTGATGAATTATAATACCAATAACAATAGCAAACTTAAATCAATCCAAAAGAAACAAAATTTAATACTTACGGTGTAAAGGAATAATTCTTGTGTAAATATTTACATTTGAAAAAACCAAGGCACGATTAATAAAAGACTTTCGGCCCTGCACGGTGGCTCATGCCTGTAATCCCAGCACTTTGGGAGGCCGAGGTGGGTGGATCACCTGAAGTCAGGAGTTCAAGACCAGCCTGGCCAACATGAAGAAACCCTGTCTCTACTAAAAAATACAAAAACTAGCCGGGTGTGGTGGTGCCTGCCTGTAATTCCAGCTGTTCGGGAGTCTGAGGCAGGAGAATCACTTGAACCTGGAAGGCGGAGGTTGCAGTAAGCCAAGATTGCGCCACTGCACTGCACTCCAGCCTGGATGACAGAACAAGGCTCTGTCTCAAACAAACAAACGAACAAACAAACAAACAAACAAAAAAGAGACTTTCAAACATAAAATTATATTACATTAGGATAAAATTCCGTATAGAAACTAGAATAGAAATGCATGTGCAAAGAGAAAAAAGGGACTACGTTAAATATCTGACAGTTTAAAAAAAGGCTTGTTCATATGGTGTTTGAATGAGATGGGCACCAAATTATTATGGTATTTTGAATTCCATTTAAAATAGAGACTGACTGTTTCATTTTTCAGTGTTAATATTTACAATTGGATGTTAAGTGGCATCATTTGCAATTAATCAAATTTAGATTAGTATTGCAGATGTCAAGTTAAAAATCTACAAATGATAGGTAGCATTTCAAGATTCTTATAAGCATTGCTAGAGCACAAAGTACGAGGGCCTCTGGTTTCGGAACACTCCACCTGATTCAAACATGCAGCTCCGGAGGCCACAGAGGGCAGGGATGGAGCTTCTGAGTCCTGGGGACTGGCTGTGGTGCAGGTTGTGGACATCTACACACAGCCCTGTATCTTCTTGTCTTGCCTGAAGTGCTTCTGAAGTGTCCCCACATTACCTTGTCCTATGTGTTGATCTTGTGCATGTGTTGAGCACTGCAGACTGTAGTGTCATACAGCCAGCATTCATTGTTGGCAGGTGTGGAGTTGGTGTGACAGCCATGGCCTTTTGTTTTTTTGGTTTTTTTTCCTAAACAGGACCTCTCAGAAGCAAGCATCTCAGGTATCAGAACAAGAATCTTGGGTGCAAGATCTTGCAGCCCATGGGAGAGATTGTCATTCTCTTAACTTACCATTTGCAGCCAAATGTTGGTGGTTAAAACTTGGTTCTTCTCATCCTTCAAAAAAAAAAAAAAAGCAGCAGCATAAATAATATGGTTTACAAAAGAAAGAATGAGACAATTATTCACATGGGGATCTGACTGTCGAGAGCGTTGTTGTGTGTGGAAATTAGAATGCACCAAGCACTTCCAATATATGCAAGCAGCATTTCCCTAGAGTTAAGCTTTTCTATTTATTCCAAAGTAAGACACATTTATTATACAGCACTTAAAAAAGATGGAAAAGTATAAAGAAGAAAATTAAAACTCTGCAACCTTACCATCCAGAAATGATGCCTGCTAATGATTTAGCTATTTATCTTTGTATTTTTAAATAATTCATATGCTTAAAAAAAAACATAAAAGTAGGTGAAAATACAAGTTTTTAAAGTCAGGTTTGTTTCCAAAATATATATGCTTTTAAACAAATACAAGTATGTTATGCCTCCCTCCCCCAGGAAAGGGGCCATGGCCCTGTGTGGAGCTGCTGCACCCTGTGTGAGTGGTGCCATGAGGGCCATGACTCTGCCTTGTCCCTGCAGATCTGGGCTTTTCTCTCAACCTCTAACTTCTAGGAGGCACATCGGGCTCTTGAAATACACCTGAAGGTAAAGCCTACCCAGGTGATAAACTAAAGGTGAGAAAGATGAGGTGACTTTAGAAGCAGCCATTCAAACTTGGATCTTTCTGACTCCAGAGCTTATTTTCCTACATTTCCAAAACACCTCCCTGAGTTCTGCCTCCAGCTAAGCCTATGCACTAATCAGGGAGCTTGGCTAGTGTACCAGCTGTGACTTTGCTCCAGCACAGGACGTACAGAGAAGAGACCCGTCAAGACTGGCCTTTCCAAATGGGAGGCAACTTGCGTTTTAGTACGGCTGACCAAGCCCAGTGAAAGGAGGCAAATGAGTGAATTCTGTACAATAGTCATACTGAGAATGTTGTGATTCAGCATGAAATAATCAACTCCAACGTAAAGGACTCTGTGAATTAGCAATTGACACCCTCTCCAGGGAAAATATTAATTAATGCCCCTGTGAAGATGTTCCCAGAAGCTGAAACCTCAAGCTCCCGCAATAGAATCTACTTGGCCTGGTTCACCGATGGGAAGTTTCAAAAAAAAAAAGACCCAAAGGCAGAAAGAACGTGGCATCTGCTGGGGCATGTCAGTGAGCAGGGATGCAAATGAAAAACGAATGCTGCCTCTCATTAAAATGAAAATGCGTTCAGCATGTAAGCAGTTGACAGGGACATCAGTGCCCCAGCCCAGTTGCTCACATGTTGGGCACCTCTGGGGTGAGATGGGCCAGGTGGGGCAAATCCCACAGAGAGGAGAGGGCTGCCTGGGGAGGGACATGGGATGATGTCTCAGGGGACCCCAGGCCAGAGGCAATGTCCACAAGATGCTGAACATTTATTCAGTTACAGGAAAAAATATATCCCATTTTCCTAATAAAATGTGCCAGGAGTTTTTGGTGGGAAAAGCTGTAGAGCTAACATGTCTCTGTACTCTGCACTGAGCAAATGATCCCCAACAGAGCTATCCATTTAAGTGGCTGGAGCACTCCAGTTCCAGTTCAAGCTCCAATATTATTGGGAAGCACTGTTAAAACTCTTCAGAACGTGTATCTGTTGCCTCAACTTATTAAGGAGTTGTTGTTTTTAATGGACTTAAAATTAGCAAGGGTTCCATTTAGGTGCCTTTCCTTCTTTTAATTGCATTTGTGTCTTCATCTGCTGAGAGAAAGGCTTCTGTGGTTTGGGAGCTCAATTACTACGAATCTAATTAAAAGGCTTTCTTCTTTCCAACATTCTAACAGAAACCCCATTAGAGAACACTGAATTTCAGTGGTGTGTGGCAACTTGGGACCAAGTGCAGCTTTTCAAACTGTAATCAACAAGCAGCAGCCACCACCACCTGAGCATGCAGGGATACCCGTTAGGGGAACCCCCCACAAAGACTCAAGAGGGAGAGAGGAGGGCATGAGGAACCATGCTCCCAGAACAATCTCCCTCCTCTTGGCACCTGTCCGGGCCACACACGGTCTGAGTCTCTTGGCTCTCTGTTTGCAGTGACAAGGTCCCTCACCTCCTTCCCATTCCCACTGTGCAGCCTGCTGCCCCTATGCACACGCAGGTGCACACACACAGAGGCTGTCCTCTACTCATCTTCACACCGGACTTTCTGACCATCCATATGATCAGATCACCCTCCTCCAACTGCACTGCCCAAAGGATCAAGTCAAGAATCTTGAGTGAAGTGCACAAGCCATTGCTACAAGCCATGGTCCAGCCGAGTTTTCATTCATTCGTTCATGCAACATTTATGGAACACCTCCTGTCCCCAGCATTATGCTTGCCTGATGTGTGCAGTGGAAATTAATATTGCTCCTGAGCTCCTAGAATAAAAAGTGTGTGTGTGTGTGTGTGTGTGTGTGTGTGTGTGTGTTGGTGGGGGGGGATGAGGTAGGATTCTACAACACAATAATGATACACTTATAACAACATATAACAACAAATGGTAACAAGGATCACGGAGGGAGGGAAAACAGGGTCCCTACAAGGAGGAAGACAAGGACATGGACTTCACCCAGAGTGACAAGGGGTGGCGTCCTGGGGCTGAGCCTCTGCTTTAACCACCTGTGATCCTGCAATACCACAGTATGTGGATCCCCTCACATCCACCATGTGCACCCAGTCCTGAGCCTTTATCCCTCGGTTCCCACCACCAGCTCTGCTTTCCAAGGCTCTATCCAGGCATTACTGTCTCCAGGCCCCCACGCCTGTGACCACAGATGAGAGGCAGTTGCTGCAGGACTCAGTCTCCTCATTTGCAAAATGGCTCTTGACTGACCCCTTTCCCCCTTCTCAAAGAGGTTCTGTGGGACTCTGGCAGCAATAGGTCTGCAGGTGCCGTGTCTTCTCCTATAAGACCTTGACCGGCTGGCAAGAAAAGCCCTCCCTCCCCAGAGGCTGCTCCAAAAGCAGGTTCAGAGTCCATCTGTCCCCTCCCCTTTCCCCACAGCCTTTTCCTTCCTCGATCCTTGGCAAGCACGTCCCGACCCTGCTGCACTAAAGCTGAGCTCAGCCCCCTGCTTCCTGACAGGCTTCTGCACAGAGGACCTGGGGGAGGACTTCAGCTCTGCACTCAACTTCCTTGCCTCGGGATTTGTACTTGGCCACACAGGCTGCAGGTGAACTGGGAGACCTGGGGATGGTGGCCACACCTCTGAGTGTGGAAAGTCCCCAGATGGAATTATAGTTCCCACATGGCCCTCTGGCCCCCGGCAGAAGGACATTCAGGGCAGGTATGCAGGGGCTCCACTCCCACTGCCCAGAATTTACCTAGGGACAAAATCCAGTTCCTCACCCCAGGAGGGAAGTTTCCTTCTCTTTCACCCAAATATCCTTCACTGCTGCCAGAGCCCCCAGCCTGCCATGCAGCACTTGAGCCTGAAACCATGAATCAGCAGGCAGAGCTGCCTACAGCAGTCACTCCCTCCCAAGTTGGAGGCCACCCGAGTCAAACAAGGGGGTTCCTGCAAGAGAGGGGACAGAAACATCCAACCCTGGCCCAGAGGCCTGTGAATAAATATGCACATTTAGTCTCCCGAAGAACAGTATTCCACAGGAACCTAGGGGCCTGCAATTAAGTAGCACAGACTCTATGTTTAATTCCATTTGGACGCTTATAACAAAATATCATACACTGGGTAGCTTATAAAAAATAGAAGTTTGTTTCTCACAGTTCTGGCGGCTGGAAGTCCATGATTAACCTGCCACTATGGTTGAACCCTGGTGTCTGGTGGGGGCTGGCTTCCCGGATCATAGGCAGCCACCTTTCACTGTGTCCTCGCATGGTGGAAGGGGCGCGGGAGGTCTCTGGGGCCTTGTATATATGGGGACCATCCATCATGACTGCACCGTCATGGACTAATCACCTCCTAATACCATCGCCTTGGGGATTCAGATCTCAACATATGCATTTAGTGGGGGAAAAAAACATTCAGACCATTGCACTGTGAAAGTGGGTTTCAGCAATTCCAGATCCTCAAGCTGCCCCCCTGGCTATTCCTGCCCTCCCCAACTGGGCAGGAGGGCATGGAGGAGCAGAGTCCACACAGGCAAAAGACCCTGGGGGCTCCCGACTCAGCAGGCAATTGGCTTCTGTGCATTTCAATGTTCTCTCCTCCGAAACAGGGATGCAAACAGCTGCCCTGTCTGCTACAGCAGGTGGGAAGAGGAGGAGCATGCTGCAATCTGTGCGATGTCACTCAGTGCCAATGGCTGTCACCACGTGGCTACTCACACACACGGCTCTCCTGCAAGATCTACACTCCCCTCTCCCTCTGGGATGAAGACAGGAGGAGGCAGGGTCCCCAGCCCGCCACAGAATCCCAGAAGGCCGGTGTGGCAAGGCACCCTCGAGTCAACGCGCCTAACTCCCTTCATTCTTTTTCCATCTGAGCTCTTCAGTTGAGAGCATGCTTTGATTTAAGTGATCGTGCTTTTTAAAATCAATCTCTCTGAATAATCGTCTATCTGGTTTAGAGTACAACTGTCGTGGTAATGCGTAATGTGCTATCTTGCATTTCTGCAGCAATTATTCTTTCGTGAATTACTGGGTAACATCATTCCATGTGATTTTACAGAGCTCCCATCACATTATTTCTTTTTCCTTTGTGTAGATGCTGAGAAAAAAAAAAAAGCAAAAACATAACAATAGACCTAACCACCACCATTTCTAAATTCTTGTTTGCAGAGAAAATAGCTGGATAATATAAATTCATATTTGTGTAGCAGTCTAAAGTTTATAAACGGTGACTTCTTTTATCTAATTTAATCTTTACACCAACCATATTTTTTTCTTAGTTTTACAGCATAACAAACTGAGGTTTTCCCTGAGTCAGCAAGATAGTAGGTCTGACAAAAGACTCATATCCAGAATAAGAAATAAACTCCAAAAAATCAATCAGAAAAGGGCAGGCAATCCAATAGAAAAATGGGCAAAAGATGAACAAGTACTTTACCAAGAGGATATCAATAAATATCAGGTATCAGGTATTGACGATACCTGAAAATAACAAAGCTAACCCTTAAACAGAGTTTGCATTTCTAAATGTCACATGCACACGCAAACAACGCATTTTGGCTTCACGACAATAATCCAGCAAAATAAATACTATTATTTTTCTCATTTAATAATGGAGATTATGGGAGACCCCCCAAATTTAATTTTATATGTCTCTTTTCTGTTTGAATGCTTTGCTATGAGCAGGTATTACCTTTATAATCAAAGGAGAAGAGGAATGCATAAATATATCAATTATGAAACAAACAAGCTCCTGGCCCTAGGTCACACAGCTAAGTACAGAAACCTGTTTAAGAGGTTAGGGGGTTGGATTTCAGTTTCATAAAGTTTAGTTTTCAACACTTGTGTTTTGAACCATGATGTGATTCTGTCCTCCTTGTTGTAACAGCAAACACTGTGATTACGATCACGGAAAATAATTCCCTTTGGTAATTGTACAAGACAGAAGTTTTCAAAGTATGGGCTTGGAACCCCTGGGTTTCTGAAATGCTTTCAGAGGACCAGTGAGTCAAATCTTTTTTTCATAATGGTTAGACGTTATTTCCCTCTTTCATCCCCCTTTTCCCTTGAGTCTTCCATAGAGGTTTGCGGAGGCTACAGGACATAGGGACCAGCAGCAGACTGAATGCAGAAGCTGGTCAGAGAGTCCAGATGTCTTCTATTACATGAGGCATTAAGGAGATTTGCAACAATAAAAAGCAACGCCACCCTTCCCACTGATTTCTTGGGTGAAGATATGGTTATTTTCCATAAAATGCTATTTATGTTAACATCTTGCTATTTATGGAATGGCCTTATTATATTAAGTGAATTACTGAACTTTAAAATGCTTCTTAGTTTTATCTCCAATGTGTTAAATATTGATAGATATAATCACATAAACAAAACTTAGAGGATCTTCAATAACGTTAAGGAGAGCAACGGAGTCCTGAAGCCTGGATGTCTGAGAGCTGCTGATGGGGAGCTTGGCATTTCTAGGACCATCCTGGTCCTCGTACCACAGGGCCTGGCCCTCTCGGGATACAGAGCTCGGCTCTACCTCTGCTCACATTTTGGGATTGCTCAGGGTCTGTTTGTTGGGGACACAATGTGAAAACTATAGATATCACAGGCTCTGGGCTCTGCTATTCACTAGCCATGTGGGCTAGGGGTAGTCCCATCCCCTGAACTTTTCTGAGACTCAGTTCCCTTATTTGTAAAAACAAGGGTAATGGCTATCAATTGCTCTCTCTGCAGCATGCTGCAAGGACTGAATAGGTAGCAGGAAGAAAAGTGCCTAAGAGCTGGGTGCGGTGGCTCACGCCTGTAATTCCAGCACTTTGGGAGGCCGAGGCAGGCAGATCACGAGGCCAGGAGATCAAGACCATGGTGAAACCCCGTCTCTAATAAAAATACAAAAAATTAGCCAGGCGCGGTGGCAGGCACCTGCAGTCCCAGCTACTTGGGAGGCTGAGGCAGGAGAATGGCACGAACCTGGGAGGCGGAGCTTGCAGTGAGCTGAGATCGTGCCACTGCACTCCAGCCTGGGCGACAGAGTAAGACTCTGTCTCAAAAAAAAAAAAGAAAAAGAAAAAGAAAAGTGCCTAAAATATAGCAAAATTCTCCACTGTTAAATTATCGGAAAAAAGTTCCTTTGATAGAAAGGTACTGAAAAGGCTAAGAGAATTGGCCCGAACTGGCAATATCTCCTCACTATCTGCGGCTGCCTATTTTTAGGGGTGGCACATAATTACTGGTTGGTTTTCTGTTTCTAATTTAACTGTGTAATAATTTGTTTTGATTCTCAGTTTATTCATTTAGCTCTGCAATGTTCCTTTTATTCTGTTATTTTATTGGCTCATCTTTGAAACCTGGTTGGTTTGGTTCCCACTGAAAATTAAGGCTTAGGAATTAAGTGTCTAGAGGTCAGCATTTAATATTCCCAGTGGGTTCATGGTTATTCTGCGATGCATCAATGTGCAGATGAGAATCTTTTCAAAAAGTGTGTGCAACCTGACTTCCTTCAAGCCTTGGATCCTGGCCTCATCCACCAGCTAGCCACCTTGGCAAAGGGTTAAGCTAAGGAACTTCACTATTTCTAGGATTCTGGAGCTCCTTAATCACAGCCGAACTGTTTACAGATATATGCTTATTTCTGACGGTACCGTTAAACCTGACAAACAGAGGAAATGCATTATGCTTTAAAACACAGCACCCCGAAGATCCTGAGATTGGAGATGTTGCTCCAAAGAGCCACTGAGGCAGAGACTGCAGTCTTTGGAAAAACTTCTGCCTCTAGAACTCCCCCAGCAGAGTGATTCTGAACTCTTTGATTCTATTTTTAACTACCAAAGTTAATCCTGCACAGTTCGAGAACACTGATTTCAAGAACAATGCAACGTATAAGGCTTAAGGGATTTAAAAAATCAGACCACAGTGTAATACGTGTATATTTATATACATATTTTTTTTCCTCCCAACAGGTCAGCATGTGATTCCTTGAGACATAATCCCAGGAAAGACCCATGATGACAAGATGGAAAACTGGCTGATCAGCCTGGCTCCTTTAGGGAGAATAAATGCCAGGTGAACAGAGGCAGGTGGGTTTCCTGAGCTTAGGACCTGGATCCGGGCAACACCACTGATTTTTGTTTCCCCTGTGAAATCCAGATCCAATTTGCCCAATGCCAGATTGAAGGGAGCAAGGCAGACCAAGGTGTTCAGCTGCCTGTGTGTGCAGGAATAAGAGAGCTTGCCCGGGGGAGGTGAGCCCCACCCAACCTGATGTCCACTTGGTTCTCGCTGGGTGGACTCCCATGCCCAGAGCTGCCCCATCCTTCTCAGGGAGGGAGGAAGAGTTCAAGCATGCACTTTTCACTGCAACTGAAAGGTTTCCTTTCCTTCTATGAGAAAGGGCCCCCTATCTCCCTCAAAGGACCTACCTCTTGGGGAATGAAGCCTGGAAGGTGGATCATGAGAGCAGACCCTAACAGAGAAGGAATCGATCTTGAATTAGCAGAGCTGACAATGGGTAGTGATAGGAAGATTGTGGAGTAGAGGAGAAAGAGGAAGAGAGATGCTGGGTTTCCGGCATACTGAGTGGAGCAGGAATCAAACTTCATCTGAACTACCCTTGAACAGAAAGGATAAATCTCCCTTTAAGTTTAAGCCATCATCCCAACTGAATCAGTTTTCAGGAATTTCCTTGAGTGTTTACAAGTTGTATCTCTCTGGACTAAAAGCAAACACCTATACACACAGCCAGACTCCCACAAATGCCTTGGTTACAAAATTTCTGTAATTTCAATATCAGGCTTTTTCAATGAATTGTCAAAAAGCTAGCTGCAACAAATCTCATCACAATTGGGGTCCTCTAAGGAACTGAGTTAGAGATAAGGAGACCCCAACAGAGCCCTTGGTATGGAACCGGTGCAAAGTGGGTTCCAAAGGCCAATAGAAAGGGAAGGGGATAAGATGAATGAATGGAAGTTAGGAGCAGGATTTAGAAGCAGTCATTTATTTTTCTTGGTTTTGTTTTTGTTATTTGATATTTCTAATACTTCTATAAATAATATAGGTTAATTGGCTTAAGAAACAAAGACAAAAATAAATCAGGCCACGAATCAGGAAAGTATAACATAAAAATAATGCATCTCTACTACATCACAGAAAATACGAATGAGGCATGGGCCAGATGAAAACAAATTGGAATGACAGCCACAAGAAGGAAGTATGAGTATGAATGAATGAATGATTAAATATATACATAAATAAAAATTTTAAAATAACAAGCACAAAGAAGAAAGGCAGCCAGGCATACACACACAACTAATATACAAAGTAGCCTGGAAAAAAGCCCAAATAAGAAGGGCATGCTTCTCATGAGTTCTTTATATTATACTATATAAGTCTTGGATCAAATTAAGCATGATTTCAAAGATGAGCTAATAAAATAACAGAATAAAAGGAACATTGCAGAGCTAAACAAATAAACTGAGAACCAAAACAAATTATTACGTAGTTAGATGAGAAACAGAAAGGAACAAAACAGACACAGCTAAAAAATTAAGTTACTGGCATGAAGGCAGGACCTGAGATAACCACGGTGTAAGATAATCACAGTGTCTGCAGAGCAAACACACCAAGAGATTACATCCATTACAGAAGTTGGAAATGGAAGTGAAACAAAGAAGCCATAGCTAGAGCTGAAATGGTGACTACAACACAGAGAAACTAGTTAAGTATGCCAGGATAATACATGGGGGCCCTGCTTCTGGTCCTAGAAAACAGGAGACTCTATAATGTTAATACTATCCTGCTACAAACACCTGGAAATTCTGGAGAAAATCAAACAAATGTCTTTTTAAATGCTGATTTTGGCTCACAAGAAAGCACAAGAAATCCTTCAAAACAACAACAACAACAAAATCCAAGAGGAAATTGAAAAGAACATTGTAAGTACGTGAGCTGACACCATAGCAGAGTGCAGGAGTATGGAGACCAGTGGCCAGTGTTATTCACAGAGAGCCTAAACAATGCCTAAGTGGGACTATAGAAAAGATTCTCTTTCGTAGGTGGAGAGCTGAACCAAACCCCCCACCTACTTCTACCAGCATGGTCCAGGAAATTTGAAGAGACCATTGGCCAAGAAAGAAGCAAGTTAGTCTGTGTCATTCTGGGCTGAAAGTGGAGAACCAGGTCAGGGTACACTCTATTTCCTGAAAATGTATCAGCCTTCTTTCTGATGGAGAATTCAAATGTAACCAATTCACAAAGCCTAGGAACTTTGCAAGTCATGGCATTAGCTTAGAAGTTGTTCTAGACCAGTAAAACTTGAGGACCCAGACAGACGCAATGAGAACAAACAAATTAGCAAACCACAAAAAAGACAAAAGAAAGAAAATAATAATAAAAAATTGTTGCATAGAAAACACAATGATTATACCCTCCTGATCAAAAATACAAAATACATAAAGTATAACATTTTCCATGAGTGAAAGAGAGAAAACCAAGTCAGGAGGAATAAGCCCCCAAAAATACAGACAAGAGAAATATCAGAGGGATAATACTGAATAAATATGTTTAACGTGATTAAATGCACTACAGAAATCAAAAACATAGTAAAAGAATAAGATATTCTAGGGGTAAAAACGCAGATTTGGAAGAAAACAAAAGTAAGAGCTTTACAAAATGAAAAATTTAGTAACTGAAATAAAAGCTCAATGGGTGGGTTAAACAATGAATTGGAAAGAACAGAAATGATAATTAGTAAGCTGAAGACAGACTCAACAAAATGACCTAAAATGTAACTCAGAAAGATAAAGAGATGGAAAATGCGAATGCTTGAAAGACTTGAAGGACACAATGAAAAGATTCAATGTGTGTATAAAATAGTTTCATAAAAGAAAGGTTAAAGAAATAATGGCTGAGAAATTTCCAGAATTGGCCAACTTTTCCTCAGATTAAGGAAGTATGAGTTCCTCAAAAATATAAGTATAAATCAAAGACTAATTCAAACCTCCATCATTTTTTAGCTCTGGCATGTAAATAGCTTAGAATTAATCACTCTCATAACAACAGAAAAAAAAAAATGAATGAAATGAAAAATCAATGACATTTATTGGACTCAGGAGGGACTGCTGCTGCAGGGTAAGTACCACACTGAAATATGGAGAGACATGAAATTCAGGGCACAGCCAAAATCTGCTCACTCAAAGCAGAAGCCACTGGAGCTATGAACTTGTGGTAATGCTTAAATGGTAATTTCAGTGAATCTCTGGTTGCTGAGTGTGAACCAGCAATGAATGAGAGTGAGAAGCCCCCAGACAGCCACAGTCTTGCTGAGGTCTCTACAATTTCATGGGTTTTATGTCTAGAAACTCCACCAGGTTCTCATAGTAAATGTGCAAGGAAGATCTCCTTGTGGCTCCAGCAAGAGAAGGGGAGAAGTAATCACTGGGAAACAGGTCACCCAGAGCCTTCTCCACAAAAAAGCCTACTCTCCAGGGTTTCTCAGAGCTTATCCCTGCTAGGGAAATTACACTGGTCCCACTCCAGCAGCCTGTAGCCTTTCTGTCTTACCTAAGAAGGGAAAAAGCTATACCACTGCTATACCACTAGAGAAACACTTGTGAAGGTCAGAGCCCAGACACACAGGCCTACTACAATGCTACCATGTAACATAGGATTACAGAACACTTCTTCCCCTCATCCCCACCTACCACCCCACCAACAGGGGTCCAGTATAACTACTGTGAACTACAGTCCAAAAAGCTGTAGATTCTCTGAGAAAGAGTACTTAATTAAGGAAGACAGACATCAAGAGGGAAGACAAAAACAGGAACACTAGAAGAACCTGAAGGCTCTGGCAGTTAAAGCTATAGCAAACATCAAATAAAGCCCAACTACTACCTGTCACATGAATTCGCACACTAAAAAGCTACTTATCTAAATTCATAATGTCATGACCATTTCTGCTTTATTACAGAAAAATTACAAGGCAATTAAAAGACAAGAAAAAACAGTCTGCAGAGACAAAGCAAACATCAGAACAGGACTTAGATATGATACAAATGTTGAAATTATCACATAAGAAATTTAAAATAATGTGATAAATATGCTAAAGGTGCTAAAGGAAAAATAAACAACATGCAAAAGCAGTTGGGTAACATCAGCAGAAACTCTCAGAAAGAATTGCAAGGAAATACTAGAAATCAAAACCAGTGTAACAGAAATAAAGAATGCCTGTATGCAATTTGAACATGTTGTGTCAAAAATGTAAGTTAAATGAAATTTAAGCCTTGTAAAGTTTCAAAAGAAAAAAGAAAGAAAGCGTTTGATGGCCTCATGAGGAGCCTGGACACAGCCAAGCAAGGAATCAGTGAGCTGGATAATGTGTCAACAGAAACTTCCAAAACTGAATTGCAAAAAGAAAAAAAAAACAGATTATCCAAAAATTGTGGAACAATTTTGAAAGGTATAACACATATATAGTTGAATCACCAAAAGCGAGAGCAGAGCAGAAAGAATAGTTGAAAGAATAATGGCTGAGAACTTCCCAACACCATTGACAGACACAAATCATAGATCCAAGAAGCTCAGTAGACACCAAGTAAAATAAATGTCTAAAAAATTCAACATAGATCTTATTCTTATCACAGAAATTAAATCAAAATGGATCATAAGCCTAGATGTAAAATATAAAATTCTAATACTAGAAGAAAAGACAGGATTAAATATACGTGACTTTGGGTTTGGTGATTATGGTTTTTCATACAACAGCAAAGGCATGATGATCCATGCAAAGAAAAAATTAGTAAGTTGGACTTTATTAAAATTAAAAACTGCTCTATGGAAGATACTGTTACAAGAATGAAAAGAAAAACTACAGACTGGGATACAATTTTACAAAATACATCTCTGATAAAGAACTTATATTCAAAATATAGGAAAGAAACCAGCAATACATTAACAAACAACCTAACTAAAAAATGGCCAAATGATATGAACAGGCAACTCACCAAAGAAGATGTACAGATAACAAATAAACATATTAAAAGATGCTTCACATCATGTTATCATGGACATGTAAATTATAACAATGCAATACCACCATATACCTATCGGATAGGCTAAAATCTGAAAAGTTCACATTACCAATTGCTGGGAGGATGGGGAGCAACAGGAAGGCTCGTTCATTGCTGGTAAGAATGCAAAATGGTACCACCACTTTGGAAGACGATTTGGCGGTTTCTTACAAAACTAAACCTAGTGTTACCATACGATACAACAACTATATTCCTAGATATTTACCCAATGATTCAAAAACACATATCTACAGAAAACCTGCACATGTTTATAGCAGCCTAATGCATAATCACAAAAACTGGATGCAATCAGGATGTCTTATAACAGGTGAATGGAAAAACAAACCATGGCACATCCACACAATGGAATATTATTCAAGTATAAAATGAAATGAGCTATCAAGCCATGAAAGATATAGGTGATTCTTAAATACACAGTGCTAAGTGAAAGAAGCCAGGCCGAAAAGGCTACATATTGTATCATTCCAATAAAAAGACATTCTACAAAAGGCAAAACTTTAGAGACTGTAAATTTATCAGTGGTTGCCAGTGGTGGGGGTTAGGAGTAGACAAATGGAGCACAGAGTACTTCTAGGGCAGAGAATTCTGTATCATATTGTAATGGTGAATACAAGACATTAAGCATTGTCAAAACTCATAGAACTTTATAATACAAAGAGTAACCCAAAATGAATGCAAAATACAAAACAAATACTTAGGAGATTCGGTGATCCAGAATGGAATACAAAATGTAACAAAAGGATTCAAATGCATTACAAAAGTATAAAACGACCTTACTGACGTGACTGGGAGAAAAAGGTGCTGGTCTAAGTAACTTTGAAACTGGGTGTATTCTGCAAGGAACTGTGTATCAGCATTGCACTCTACTTGATGAAGTTGCTCCTCACAGAGTTGTAAGTTACCAATTCTGAAACTACTGTACATGTATATTGCAATCGAACAGTTAAGTAAATGGATGCCATGTGTAGAAATCAGTTTTCTCACTTTAGAGTGAGAGTTGGAGACTTAAGCATGAATTCACGTTTAGCTTAATAAGGATACATACGGTTACATACAGAAATACTTACAGATATTTCTGTATATATGAACTACTATATACACATATAACTCTTTGCTCTGTCAGAAAGGGCCTAGAAATGATGACGCCCCAATGGCAATGAACCCACCTAGCACCCAAACCTTGCTTTCTAATCATTCACCAATACAAGGAACCAGGATTTCTGGAGAAAGGGCTGATTCTAGGTGTTGGGCAGGAAATATACCAGATGAACCTGGAACATACTGTAGAGCCAGAAAGAAGGAAAATGAGTGAAAAAAATAAAATAACACCAGTGCTGTTAAGCCAGAGGGATACTGCAGCAAATTTAACAAGTACCTAGTGGTAAAAAACAGTAAACAATTTGAACAACAAAATAAGGTAATACTGGATTACACTCCAAAATATAAAATAAATACTGCTGAGTCCACACTAACATAAATAAATGATTAAATAAATAAATGGGGTGAAGGAGGCAAACTCTCCATGAAGAAGAATTTCAATTTATGTAGACACTTTGCCTTCATGGAGGTGAAACACTACTTTCCACTCCCTAATTTGGGCTGTGCATAGTGACTTCCTGGGCTGTGCATAGTGACTTCCTTCCAAAGAGTACAGTATATAAATAGGGGAAAAAGAGTAACTTTGCAGTCGAGGGACCTGACGAATACCATTTTAAGCCATTTGATTAAGGCCCACAGCAACAGTAAGTCATATTGATATTATGCACCCTGGATATGATATGATAACATATAATACTCTGCTGTCTGTCTACCCCAAAACACATTACTCCATTCTAACTTGGATAAAAACATCCAACAAATCCCAATGAAGAGACATGTTACAAAATATCTGACCAGTGCCCTACTCAAAACTGTCGAGATCATCAGAAACAAGGAAAGGCTGAAAAACTGTTACAATGAAGAGGAGCCTAAAAAGACACAAGGACTAAATGCTACATGGACTCCTGGATGGGATCGTGGAACAGAAACAGGAAATGGGATTTAAAAAGCCAATAAAATGTGAATAAAGTACGGACCTCAGTTTAAAATATCTATGAATATCCAATTACTAATTGTAACAAACAGCATCATACTGATGCAAGAGGATACTCACAGGGGAAACTGTGTGGCCTCCAGGGAAACTCCCTGCAGTACCTTCAAGTTTTCTTTAAAGATAGCTGTTAAAGTAAACTTGAAAAATAAAAGTGTTTATCTTTTTTTTTTTTTTTTTTTTTTTGAGATGGAGTCTCGCTCTGTCACCCAGGCTGAGTGCAGTGGTGCAATCTTGGCTCACTGCAACCTCCGCCTCCAGGGTTCACGCCATTCTCCTGCTTCAGCCTCCCGAGTAGCTGGGACTACAGGCGCCTGCCACCAGGCCCAGCTAATTTTTTGTATTTTTAGTAGAGACGGGGTTTCACCATGTTAGCCAGGATGGTCCCGATCTCCTGACCTCATGATCTGCCCGCCTCAGCCTCCCAAAGTGCTGGGATTACAGGCGTGAGCCACCGTGCCTGGCCAAAAGTGTTTATCTTTAAAGAAAACTTGAAGATATTACAAGGGAGTTTATTTATAATATGTTTATTTATAATTTTAAAATTAACTAAGTCACATTGTAGTAAAACGATAGAATATGAAAAAGAATATCTTAAAAGTACAGAATCAAACAGTTTATCCACAGGGTAACAACGACTGGCCAGGGAGCAGATGGCAAGCCACAATAAGAGCAGCCAGGAATCAATGAAGTAACATGTTCAAATTATGGAAAGTAATTATGGACTTCAACTTTGGAATCTAAGACCAGCTACACTGCCGTCCAAGAGTAAAGTTAAAAGAAAAACGTTTTTCAGATAAACAAAGACAATGTCATTACTGACACTACTTCATTGGAGTAATTACTATCAGGTGTCCTCCTGGAAGGAGAAACTGAATTCAGAAGAATGGGATACAAAAATTGGAGTCAGCATAATTGAAACTCTGAAAATACTTTTAAATACAAACTCTTTTCAGGTTATTTTTAACATACACTCAAGGGATAATTCCAATTCCACTGTTAATCCTCTAAGCATTTATTCTAGTTTCACATGTCATCAAATCTAAGATGCTATTCAACTGTAAGACATGCCCGATTTTAAATAAAAAAGTTAAAATGTGAAACTAATGTGCATCTTAGAATGAATGGAATATGGTGCTAAGTTTCTTTGTATGCATAAGGATAAAGATACAGAAAATATATAAAGTAGCAGAGACGGCTAATGATCTATCACAATGTCAGGCACTCTAATGTTTGAAAAACATTAATTGGGATAAAGGGCCTACATGGGGGGTTTCTGCCAGAATCAACATTGATATTTTTATAAATTATCTCAAAGGCAGGAAACTTTCTAAGTTTGCAGATGCTCCTAAGCTTATTTAAATAGCAAAGACTACTAGAAGTGACCTACAGGGACATGTTGCTGAAATATAAGAATTAGGGGGAGGCCGGGTGCAGTGGCTCCCACCTGTAATCCCAGCACTTTGGGAGGCTAAGGCAGGTGGATCACCTGAGGTCAGGAGTTCGAGGCCTGGCCAACATGCTGAGACCCTAGCTCTACTAAAAATACAAAAATTCACTGAGCGTGGTGGTGGGTGCCTGTAATCCCAGCTACTCAGGAGGCTGAGGCAGGAGAATTACTTGAACCCAGGACGCGGAGGTTGCAGTGAGCTGTGATCGTGCCGTTACACTCCAGCCTGGGCCACAAGAGCAGAATTCCGTCTCAAAAAAAAAAAAAAAAGAGTCAGAGGTCAGCCGATGAGCATAGGTATGAGTGCAGGCCGTGCAGGCAGCGCCAGCCTGTCCTCGTGGCCACCTTCTAATGCACTAGCATGAGCAGTCAGCGAGGCTGCACTCGAGTAAAGTAGCCTGAGGAGTTTCCCAGGGCAGCTGGTCCAAACTGTCTTCCTCTTCAGGACAATTCTTGGACAAAATGTCCACCACTGGTGATTCACATTTATTAAAGACTTGCACATTTATTAAAAATATCTGATGGAGAGGAAGGAACATTGAACATGATATGCCAAAGCTTCAGTCCTCTACTGGAGCCACCACGGTAAATCCAACCCTGACCTAAAGGGGCTCTGCTCTTTGCCCAAAGTGCATGTTCTGAGACTGTATGTGCTCATGCACATTGCCGCCCAGTCAGTCCCCAGTGCTGAACTCCAAACGAGGAACACACTGGTGAGAGAGAATTCAATGGAAGTCCTACCTTGTGAAACCAGGCTGGGGTCACCCTAAATCTATGGTCTAAGAGAGCCCTATGTAAATTACAGACATTAAACAGAAAGAACTATAACCCCTCCTACCAATTCTTAGTTCATATTGCTGTCACAAGGATTCTAAGAAGTCCTGTAGAATCTGATTAAACTTGCAGTTTTCCAACATGTTTGTTTTTCTGTAAAATTTATAAATAGCGAGTTCCATACAGACTTTTAGGCTCTAATCCTTCTCTTATAGACTTGTAGGAAGATAATAAATTACTGGTGTCCAGAAACACCTTGGCAGTTCATTCTAATTAATCAAACAGAGTTTTAACACAAGGAAAACTATACCTCTCCCTTCTTCAGCCCAAAATTCCATTGCCCATCTAATCTAGGGCTTATACTGATGAATAGTGAGGTGCTAAAAAATCAAATACAGACCATTCATAAACCCTTTTCTTCTTCTGAAAAGGAGAATGAAGTGACTCCTGACATGAGGCCACTACACCAATTACCAAGAAAAATGTTCCTATCACAAAATCAGGAACCAAATTGCGTTGGAACTTTTTCATAATTTAAGTGATTAAATAGTTTGCATAAATTTCCAAAGTAATTCCTTCCTTCATAAATGACCTTTTGTTATATATGAGCCACTTAATATGTCAGGGAAATATTTTTTCATTATAAACCCTGAACTGGCTAGGAATAAATTGCTATGTGTAGATGACGTCCAAGTTTGAATCTATATAATAGTTAACAGTTGAATTTCTGTCCCACACCATCCACCCTCCTTATCTCATCCCTTCACATGTAGCCCAAAATAAATTTGCACTAGTTTTTACATTTATTATAACCTAGAACAACAATGTTTCTTTGCAATTTGATAAAGTGTCTTGGTCTGTTTTGTGTTGCTGTAACAGAATATCATGAAGGGAGTAATTTATAAAGAAATTTATTTCTCACAGTTCTGGAGGCTGGGAAGTCCAATTTCAAAGTGCTGGCATCTGGCAATGGGGCTTCTTGCTACAACATCCCATGATGGAAGACAGAAGGGCTAGAGAGTACTCGAGAGAGAGCAAGAGGGGACCAAACTCACTTTTTTAACACATCCACTCTTGAGATAATTTATCTCCCCCTCTCACAATACTCACTCCTACAATAACAATATTAATCATTATTAGCTAATCACCTCCTATTAGGCCCACTTCCCAGTACTGTTGCATTAGGAATTAAGATCCCAACATATGAACTTTGGGGGACACATTTAAACCATAGCACCAAGGAATACATTTGTCCTAATTTATATTTTATAGAAAGTCAGGTTATCATGAAAGATTCTCCCAAGTAGCTGGGACTACAGGTGTGCACCACCACACGAGGCTGATTTTTGTATTTTTAGTAGGAGACAGTGTTTCATCATGTTGGCCAGGCTGGTCTTGAACTCCTGACCACGAGTGATCCACCTGTCTCGGCCTCCCAAAGTGTTGGTATTACAGGCATGAGCCATCATGCCCAGCCTGAGCTACTAATTTCACATTTAAGAAATTATACTAAAAAACAGTGATCATTAACAAAAATAGAAACCCAAAGATGTTCATTATAATGTTATTTATAGGGCTTGCAATATTATCAACAAAGTTAACTGCCCAGCAATACATCATTGCTTATACATAAAATGGAATATTATATAATTAGTATGTTTTTTCAAAATAATCATATTAAAAATAAGATATACAGTGGAAAGAAGACATTGCATAAAGTTGTACTAATTGCATTATCCAACTGTTGAAAGAACTGTTAAGTTCTATTCTATGATCCCCATATTTTACATCCTGTATTGCCACAAATATGATCTGATTATTTTCATGCTGAGTTGTTCTCTAAAACATTCTCATCTTACATATAACCTGCTTTACTAAGAATTACAGGTGGAGATTGTGAACACAAAGATAGAATAGAAATTACTCAATTTGAAAAACAAAGGTAAAATAAACTGAAAAAAAAGTCAGACTTATGGGACTACAAAAAAAATCTAATAATCATATAATTGGAGTCCTAGATAAAAGAAGAAGGTGGAGTTGAAAAAGTACATGAATAATGACCAACACTTCACAAATTTGATAAAAGACACAGATCTATAGATTAAAGAAATGAACAAACCCCAAACAAGATAAATCCAAAGAAATCTCCACCACGACACATCACAGTCAAATTTCTAAAAATTAAGGACCACACAAACACCTTAAAAACAGAGAAAGAAAAATGACACATTACCTATACTGCAAAAACAATTCAAATGACAAAGTATTATTCATTGGAAACCACAGAGTTCAGAATGAAGAAAAACAACCTTTTCAAATGCTGAAAAAAAGATCACCTCAGAATCCTATATACAGTGAAATATATTGGTCAAAAATGAAAGAAAAATGAAGAAATTCTCAGACTGAGGCAACTAAAAGATTGTGTTGCCACCACATCTACCTTCAGAAGAATAGCTAAAGTTCAATAGATTGAAAGGAAACATTAAAAGAAGGAAGAGTGGAGAGAAAGCAGGGAAAAATATGGCAAGTAAAAATATGGGTAAATATAATGGAACTTTTTTTCTCTTGTTGAGTATTCTAAGTTATGTTTGTTGGTTGAAGGAAAAAGTATAAAACTGTCTGAGATGGTTTTAATGTATGTGGAGAAAATAGTAAAGGTAACTACAGGAGAGGATAAAGGGAGGTAAAGTTTCTATGCTGCATGCAAACTGGTAAAATAACATTAGTAGACAGGAATAAGCTATTCATAAATAATATAATACCTAGAAAAACGACTAATATTCAAACAATAGAGTATTACTCATTGGAATAATTTATATATACACAAAGAGTTCCACTGGGACACACTATGAATAAATCAAATGGAATTCTTAAAAATGTTCAAATAGCCTATAGGAAAGCAGGTAAAATATAAAAAAGATAAACAAAATACAGAAATAAAATGGCACACATAAGCCCCTAACATACCAATAATTACATTAAATGTAAATACTCTAAGTACAGTAATTTATTTATTTTTATTTTTCAAATTTAATTTTATATTTTAAGTTTCGGGATACATGTGCAGGTTTGTTACACAGGTAAACATGTGCCATGGTGGTTTGCTGCACCTATCAACCCATCACCTAGGTATTAATCCCAGCATGCATTTGCTATTTTTCCTGATGCTCTCCCACTGCCAGGACCCCACCCGACAGGCCCTGGTGTGTGTTGTTCCCTGCTTTACCCCATGTCCATGTGTTCTCATTGTTCAGCTCCCACTTATGAGAATATGCAGTGTTTGCTTTTCTGTTCCTGCATTAGTTTGCTGAGAATAATGGCTTCCAGCTTCATCCATGTACCTGTAGAGGACATGATCTCATTTCTTTTTATGGCTCTGTAGTATTCCATGGTGTATATGTACCACATTTCTTTAGTCTATCATTGATGAGAATTTGGGTTGATTCCATGTCTTTGCTATTGTGAATAGTGCTACAATGAACATACACATGCATGTATCTTTGTAATAGAATGATTTATATTCCTTTGGATATATACCCAGTAATGGGACGGCTGAGTCAAATGGTATTTCTGGTTCTAGGTCTTTGAGGAATTGCCACACTGTCTTCCACAATGGTTGAACTAATTTACATTCCCACCAACAGAATACAAGCATTCCTATTTCTCCACAGCCCTGCCAGCATCTGTTGTTTCTTGACTTTTTAATAATCGCCATTCTGACTGGCATGAGTTGGTATCTCATTGTGGTTTTGACTTGCATTTCTCTAATGATTCGTGATGTGGAGCTTTTTTTTCATATGTTTGTTGCCCACATAAATGTCTTCTTTTGAGAAGTGTCTGTTCTTGCCTTTCGCCCATTTTTTTAATGGGGTTGTGTTTTTCTTGTAAATTTGTTTAGTTCATTGTAGATTCTGGATATTAGACCTTTGTCAGATGGACAGATTGTAAAAATTTTCTCACATTCTATAGGCTGTCTGTTCACTGTGATGACAGTTTCTTTTGCTGTGCAGAAGCTCTTTAGTTAGATCCCATTTGTTAATTTTTGTTTTTGTTGCAATTGATTTTGACGTTTTCAACATGAAATCTTTGCCCATGCCTACGTCCTGAATGATAGTGCCTACATTTTCTTCTAGGTTTTTATATTTTAGGGTTTTACATTTAAGTCTTTAATCCACCCTGAGTTAATATTTGTATATGGTGTAAGGAAGGGATCCAGTTTCAATTTTCTGCATATGGCTAGCCAGTTCTCCTAGCACCATTTATTAAATAGGAAATCCTTTCCCCATTGCTTGTTTTTGTCAGGTATGTAGAAGATCAGATGGTTTTAGATGTGTGGTCTTATTTCTGAATTCTCTATTCTGTTCCATTGGTCTATGTGTCTGTTTTTGTGCCAGTACCATCCTGTTTTGGTTACTGTAGCACTGTAGTATAGTTTGAAGTTGGGTAGAGTGATGCTGCTCCAGCTTTGTTCTTTTTTGCTTGGAATTGCCTTGGCTGTAAGGGCCCTTTTTTGGTTCAATATGAATTTTAAAGTAGTTTTTTTTTTTCTAATTTTGTGAAGAATGTCAATGGTAATTTAATGGGAATAGCATTAAATCTGTCTACTTTGGGCAGTATGGCCATTTTCATGATATTGATTTTTCCTATCCATGAGCATAGAATGCTTTTCCATTTGTTTGTATCCTCTCTGATTTCCTTGAGCAGTGGTTTGTAGTTCTCCTTGAAGAGGTCCTTCACTTCCCTTGTTAGCTGTATTCCTAGGTATTTTATTTGCTTTGTAGCAATTGTGAATGGGAGTTCATTCATGATTTGGCTCTCTGTCTGTTGTTATATAGAAATGTTTGTGACTCTTGCATATTGATTTCCTGTCCTGAGATTTTGCTGAAGTTTCTTATCAGCTTAAGGAGATTTGAAGCTGAGACAACGGGGTTTTCTAGATATAGGATCATATCATCTGCAAACAGAGACAATTTGACTTCCTCTCTTCCTATTTGAATACCCTCTACTTCTTTCTCTTGCCTGATTTCCCTGGCCAGAATTTCCAATACTATGTTGAATGGGAGTGGTGGGAGAGGGCATTCTTGTCTTGTGCTGGTTTTCATGGGGAATGTTTCCAGCTTTTGCCCATTCAGTATGATATTGGCTGTGGGTCTGCCATAAATGGCTCTTATTATTTTGAGGTATGTCCCATCAATACCTAGTTTATTGAGAGTTTTTAACATGAAGGGATGTTTAATTTTATCAAAGTCCTTTTCTGCATTTATCGAGATAATGAAGTGGCTTTTGTCTTTAGTTCTGTGTATGTGACGAACTACATTTATTGATTTTCCTATGTTGAACCAACCTTGCATCCCAGGGATGAATCTGACTTGATCATGGTGGATAAGCTTTGTGATGTGCTGCTGGATTTGGTTTGCCAGTATTTTATTGAGGGTTTTTGCATCGAAGTTCATCAGGGATATTGGCCTGAAGTTTTCTTTTTTTGTTGTATCTCTGACAGGTTTTGGTATCAGGATGATGCTGGCCTCATGAAATGAGTTAGGGTGGAGTCCCTCCTTTTTAATTGTTTGGAATAGTTTCAGAAGAAATGGTACCAGGTCCTCTTTGTACCTCTGGTAGAATTAAGCTATAAATCCATCTGGTCCTGGGCTTTTTTTTTTTTTTTTTGGTTGGTAGGCTTTTATTACTGCCTCAATTTCAGAACTTGTCATTGGTCTATTCAGGGATTTGACTGTATCCAGGTTCAGTCTTGGGAGGGTGTATGTGTTCAGGAATGTAACCATTTCTTCTAGGTTTTCTAGTTTTAAATAAAGTAATTTAATACACGTTGGCAGAGACTAGAAAAACAGGTCCCAATAGTCTTTAAAAGACATGATGCTGAAATAACTCACATCCACATACGAAAAAATAAATGTAGATACAACCTTACATCCTTCACAAAAATTAACTCAAAATGGATCACAGACCTAAATGTAAAATGCAAAACTATAAAACTAGAAGATAACACAAGAGAAAACCTACATGACTTTGGTATGGTGATGACTTTTTAGAAGTAACACCAAAGGATGATCTACGAAAGAAAGAATTGATAGACTGGACTTCATTAAAATTAAAAACTTCTCCTCTGCAAAAGAAAATTTCAAGATAATGAGAAGCCAAGTCACAGAATGGGAGAAAGTAATTGAAAGAGACAAATCAGATAAAGGACTGTTATACAAAAACATCAAACAGTGCTTAAAATTCAACAAAAAGAAAACAAGCAACCCAATTTAAAAATAGGCCAAAGACCTTGCTATAGTTTGTCTGATCCCTCCAAATCTCATATGGAAAATTGATCCCCAACACTGGAGGTGGCACCTAAGGGGAAGTGTTTGGGTCACGGGGCAAATCCCTCATGAATGGCTTGGTACTATCCTCCTGGTAATGAGTTACCACTGTTTTAGTTCCCATAAGAGCAGTGAGTGCTAGTTGTTAAAAAGAGCCTGTCACCTCTTTCTCTTTCTCTCTTGCTTCCTCTCTTATCATGTGATCTCTACACATGCTCCTCCTCCTTCACCTTCTGCTATGAGTAGAAGCAGACTGAAGCCCTCATCAGAAGCAGATGATGGTGCCATACTTCCACAGCCTGTAGAACTGTAAGCCAAATAAAACTCATTGCTTTATAAATTACCCAGCCTCAGGTATTCCTTTATAGGAACACTAAATGAACTAAGACAGATCTTAACTGATACTTCACCAAAGAAGACATACAGATCAACATATGAAAATATGTTCCACATCATATGTCATCAGGGAAATGCAGAGTAAAACAACAATGAGATACCACTACACATTTATTGAAATGGCCACAATCCAGAACACTGGCAACACCAAATGCTGGCAAGGACAAACAGAAACAGGAATTCTCATTTATTGCTGGTGAGAACAGAAAATGGTACAGGCACTTGGAATGACAGTCTAGGATTTTCTTACAAAACTAAACATACTCTTACCATTTAATCCAGCAATTGCCCTCTTTGGTATTTACCCAAAGGATTTGAAAACATATGTCCACACAATACCTATACACAGATGTTTATAGAAGCTTTATTCATAATTGCCCAAAACTGGAAGCAACCAAAATGTCATTCAGTAGGTAAATGGGTAATCTGTGGTACATCTGGACAATGGATTATTATTCAACACTAAAAAAAAAAAGAGCTATCAAGCCATAAAAAGACATGGAGGAACTTTAAATGCATATTACTATGTGAAAGAAGTCAAATCTGAAAAGGCTACATTCTGTATGCTCCCAACTGTGGGACCATACATTCCCAGAGCTGACATTCTGGAAAAGGTAAAATTATAGATACTATAAAAAGACCAAGGGTTTTCAAGAGTTGGGTGGAGCAAGGGATGACTAGGTGGAGCAGAGAAGACTTGGGGGGCAGTGAAACTATTCTGAATGATATTATAATGGTAGATACAGGTCATTATACATTTACCCTAACCTACAGAATGTACAACACCAAGAACAAACACTAATGTAAACTATGAATTTTGGGTGACAATGATGTGTCAGTGTAGGTTTGTCAATCGTAACAATGTACCACTCTGGTCAGGGATGTTAATAATGAGAGAGATTATGCATGTGGGGTGACACAGGATATGTGGGAAATCTTTGTACTTTTGTTCAATTTTGTTGTAAACCTAAAACTGCTCTAAAAATAAAATCTACTAAAAACAGCAACAAAAAAGCATGACCAAACTATAAGCTGTCTACAAGAAACTTATATCAAATAAAACAATACACACGATTTGAAAATAAAACAATAGAACAAAATACAGCATGTAAACCTTAATCTAAATAAATCTGTTGTGGCCTGATATAATATCAAATAAAGCATTCAGAGCAAAGAAAATTACCATAGATAGGGAGAGACAATATCTGACGATAAACAGGCCAATCTGCCAAGAAAACACAGCAATCTTAATTGTGTGTCATCAAACTTCAAAACACATAGATGACAAAACTTACAAAATTGAAAGGAGAAACAGAAGCATCCACAATTATAGCTGGAGATGTTTATACTTTGTCTCTCCACAATTTAAAAGAGAAAGAGACAGAAAATCAGCAAGGATACAGACAAACTTAACAATATCAACCAACAAGATATAACTAAAATTTACACAACACCCCAATGAACAAAAGCAGAAAATACTCTTTTCACGTGGCCATGGAGTACATACCAAAATGTGCCATACTCTGGACCATAAAACTCAAAAATGTAGAATAACTGAAATAACACAAAGTATAATTTGGAATCAAATTAACAATGGAAGAATAATAGGAAAATATCCAAAGGCTAAAATATTGAAAAAACACACATTCTAAGTAATCTGTAGGTCAAAAAGAAAGAATCAAGATAATTTTTAAAAATATATTTTGAATATGAAAATACAACATATTAAAATTTGTGAGATAGAAAGCAAGCAATGCTGAAGGAAATTTACAATAATAAATGCATATATGAGAAAAAAGGAAAAGACTCAAAAAATAATATAAGCTCCTATCTGAAGAACCTACAAAAAGAGAAAAAAAAATTTCCCAGAGAGCAAGAAGGATGAAGGAAAAAATAGAGGTAAGAGCAGAAATCAATGATATTGAAAGCAAGCAATAGAGAAAATCAATGATACAAAGAGCTGGTTCTCTAAAAAGAACAGTAACATTGAAAAACCTTTAGCGAGACTAATAAAGAAAAAAGAGAGAAGATTCAAATAAGCAGCATGAGGACTAAAATAGAGGATATGAATGCAGATCCTGCAGATATCAAAGGATAATAAGAAAGTACTATGAAGAATTTTACACTCATAAATTGGACGATTTAGACGAAATGAATAAATCCCTCAAAAAAGACAAATGATTACAACTCACCTAATACAAAATAAATAATTTTAAAAGTCCTATAACATTAAAGATGCTGAAATTGTAATTTTAAAACTCTTAAAAATAAAGTCTCTAAGCCCAGACGATTTCACTGTATCAAATGTTTAAAGAATAATTTTAACACCAATTCTACACCATTGCTTCCACAATTTGAAAGAGGAAACACTTCTCAATTCATTTATTAAGCCAGTATTACCCTGCTTACAGAAACAAAGAAAGTATAAAAAAGAAAATATAGATGAATATCTCTCATAGACACAAAAATCCATAATAAGTGTTAGCACATTGAATTCAGCAATATATACAAAAAAATTATGTTCCATGACCAAACCAGGGTTTATTCCAGGGATTTAAGGCTGGTTTAATATTTGAAAATCAATCAATATAAAACTTAAATAGAAAAGGCAAAAGAAGAAAAACTACACAAAAAAATTCATATCAAATAATGTGATTCTGGCCAGCCGCGGTGGCACATGCCTGTAATCCTAGCACTTTGGGAGGCCGAGGTGGGTGGATCACCTGAGGTCAGGAGTTCAAGACTAGGCTGGCCGACATGGTGAAACCTCATCTCTAATGAAACTACAAAAAATTAGCTGGGCGTGGTGGCGGATGCCTGTAATCCCAACTACTCGGGAGCCTGAGAATCACTTGAACCCAGGAGGCGGAGGTTGCAGTGAGCCGAGATCATGCCACTGCACTCCAGCCTGGGCAACAAGAGGGAGACTCTGTCTCAAAAATAATAATAATAATAATAATAATAATAATATTAATAATGTGATTCATATCAAGAGCCGCAGAAAAAACCATCTGACGAAATTCAAGACCTATTCATTATAAAACTCAAAAAAGTCGGAATAAAGGCAAACTTCCTCAACTTGATAAACAGCATTTACAAAACAGTTATAGCTACAGTTATATTTAGTAGTAAAATAATCAATAATTTCTTCTTAAAATAGGAAACAAGGCAAAGACGTTTGCTCTCTCTACTTTTATTCTATTTTCTTGAACTTATTGCACTGGCTAAAACTTCTAACACTATGTTATGTTATGTTATACTGTTAGAAGTTTTAGCCAGTGCAGTAAGTTCAAGAAAAGGCAATGAAACACATACAGATGGAAAGGAAAGAAATAACACTGGCTGTTTGCAGAAGACATAATTGTCTGCATAGAAAATCCCGAAGAATCCACAAAAACAAAACAAAAACAGAATAAGTGAGTTTAGCAAAGCTGCAGGATACAAAATTAACATACCAAAAATCAACTTGATTTATATACACCAGCAATGAGCATATGGACATCAAAATTAAATATACATTAACATTTACAATTTTTAACAATAAGAAGGAAGGAAAGAAGGAAGGGAGAAAATGGGAACAGGAAGAAGGAGGACAATGAAGGAAGGGAGAAAATGGGAACAGGAAGAAGGAAAACAATGAAGGAAGACCAATGTATTAGTCCCTTTTGCATTGGTAAAAAGGAATACCTGAGACTGGGTAATTTATAAAGGAAAGAGATTTATTTGGTTTCTGGTTCTGCAGGTTGCCCAAGAAGCATGGTGCCAGCATCTGCTTCTGGTGAAGCCTCAGGAAGCTTAAAATCATTGTGGAAGGCAAAAGGGGAGCAGGTGTGTCATATGGCAAAAGAGGGAGCAAGATAGAGGGCAAGTGGTGCTAGCCTCTTTTAAACACCCAGTTCTTGCATGAACTTATTACAGTGGGGAGAGCAGCAAGCCATTCATGAGGGATCCATCCCCACGACCCAAACACCTTCCACCAGCCCCTGCCTCCAATATTGAGGATCACATTTCAACATGAGATTTAGAAGGAACAAATACCCAAACCATATCATTCTGCACTTGGTCCCCTAAATCTCTTGTCCTTCTCCTATTACAAAATATAATCATCCCTTCCAAATAGTCCCCAAATGTCTTAACTTATTCCAGCATTAACTCAATCAAAAGTCCAAAGTTTCATCTAAGGCTCAAGGCAAATTTCTTTGACCTATGAGCCTGTTAGATCACAAACAAGTTATTTGCTTTCAAGAAACAATGGTGGTACAGGCATTTGGTAAACATTCCCATTCCTAAAGGGAGAAATCAGCCAAAAGAAAGGGGCAATAGGCCACACACAAGTCTGAAACCCAGCAGGGCCAACATTAAACCTTCAAGCTCCAATATAACCTCCTTTGACTCCATGTCCCGCATCCTGGGTACACTGTTGTGAGAGGTGAGCTCCCAAGGCCTTGGAAAGCTCTGACCCTGTGGCTTTGGAGAGTGTGCCCTCTCTGTGGCTGCTCACACAAGTTGGAGTTGACTGCCTGCAGCTTTGCTGGGCTCAGGGTGCAAGCTGACAGTGGCTCTACCATTCATGGGTCTGGCGGATGGTTGCCCCCTTCCTACAGCTCCAGTAGGCAGTGACCTGGTGGGGACTCCATGTGAGGGCTCCAACCCCATCTTTCCCCTCAGCACTACCCTATTAGACGCCCTCCATGGTAGCTCCACCCCTGCAATAGGCTTCCACCTGGGCACCCAGTGTTTTCCATACATCCTCTGAAAGCTAGGTAAAAGCTGCCAAGCTTCCTTCAATTTTGCATTCTGTGCACCTGCAGACTTAGTACCACATGGTACCACCAAAGCTTACGGCTTATGTTCTCTGAAGCAGTGGCTCAAGCTGTACCTGGAGCCCTCTGTGCCATGACTGGAGCCAGAGCTTCCAGGATCACGGATGCAGTGTCCTAAGGCTGTGCAGGGCAGCAGTGCCTCAGCTCTGGCCTCAGAAACCAGTCTTTCCTCCCAGGCCTCTGGACCTGTGATGGGAACTTCTGTCCCAAAGATTTCTGAGACCCCTTCAAGGCCTTTTCCCCATTGTCTTGGCTATTAGTGCTTGCCTCCCTTTTAGTCATGCAAATCTCTTTTGGGAGAAGTTGCTCCACTAGTGCTTGTAGTCCTCTCCTGACACAATCTGCTTATTGTCCTCTCCTGAAAATGCTTTTTCTTTCACACAGCCAGGCTGCAAATTTTCTAACTTTTACACTCTGCTCCCCTTTTAAATGTAACTTCAAACTCTGAGTCATTTCTTCGCTCCTGCATCTGACAGTAGGCTGTTAGAAGCAGCCATGTCACCTCTTAAATGCTTTGCTGCTTAGAAATGTCCTTTGCCAGATGCCCTAGGTTATCACTCTTAAGTTCAACTTTCCATAAATCCCTAGAACATGAATACAATGCAGCCTAGTTATCTGCTAGGGTGTAACAGGAGTGCCCTTACTCGTTTTTAATAAATTCCTCATTTCTATCTGAGACTTCATCAGCCTGGTTTTCACTGTCCATATTGCCATCAGCATTCTGGTCACAACCATTTAACCAGTCTCTAAGAAGTTCCAAACTTTCCCTAATCTTCCTGTCTTCTAAGTCCTCCAAACTCTTCCAACCTCTGCCCATACCCAGTTCCAAAATTAATTCCTCATTTTCAAGTATCTTTTATAGCAACACCCCACTCCTCAGTACCAATTTACTGTTAGTCCATTTTGTGCTGCTATAAAGGAATACCTGAGACTGACTTATTGAGAAAAAAAAAAAAAGAGGCTTATTTGGCTCACAGTTCTGCAGGCTGTACGAGAAGCATAGTGCCAGCATCTGTTTCTGGTGAAGCCTCAGGAAGCTTATAATCATGGTGGAAGGTGAAGGGGAGCAGGTGTGTCACGTGGTGAAAGAGGGAGCAAGAGAGAGAGGAGGAGGTGCCAGGCTCTTTTGAACAACCAGCTCTTGTATAAACTCATTATACTGGGGAGGGTAGCAAGCCATTCATGAGGGATCTGCTCCAATCATCCAAACACCTCCCACCAGGCCCCACCTCCAATACTGGGGATCACATTTCAACATGAGATCTGGAGGGGACAATCCATATCAAATGGCTTAGGTGTAAATCTAACGAAGTGTGTACTTGACTTGTATATTGAAAATTACAAACACCAATGACAGGAATCAAAGAAGAAATAAACAGACATATTCACAAACTGAAATAATATAATAAATATGCTAACATTCCTCAAATTGGTATCGAGGTTTAATGTAATCATATCAAAATCCCTGTAATATATTTGTTGATATACATACGATAGTTCTAAAATGTATATGGAAAGACAAAAGGAAAAGAGTAGCTGAAACAACTTTGAAAGAGAAGGAATATAAGCAATCATCCCACCAGATTTGAAGATTTACAGTGATCTAGGCTGTGTGGTATTAGTTGAGGGATTAATACATAGATAAATGAAACAGAATAAAGACTCTAGAAATAGACCTCCTGAAGTGGAGCCTAATAATTATGACAGATGTGCAAAAGCAATTCAATGGATAATAAAGGGCAATCTTTTCAACAAATGGGGCTGCAGCAATCGGACATCGATATAAAAAAAGGAACTAGGCCAGGCACGGTGGCTCATGCCTGTAATCCCAGCACTTTGGGAGGCTGAGATGGGCGGATCATGAAGTCAGGAGATCAAGACCATCCTGGCTAACACGGTGAAACCCTATCTCTACTAAAAATACAACAAAATTAGCTGGGCATGGTAGTGGGTGCCTGTAGTCCCAGCTACTCGGGAGGCTGAGGCAGGAGAATGGCGTGAATCCGCGAGGCAGAGTTTGCAGTGAGCCAAGATCGTGCCACTGCACTCCAGCCTGGGCGACAGAGCAAGACTCCGTCTCAAAAAAAAAAAAAAAAAAAAAAAAAAAAAAAAAAAGGAACTAAACCTCACATGTTCACACACACAAAAAAAACTCAAAATAGATTGCAGACTTAAATGTGAATGTTAAACTATAAACCTTTTTAAGAAAACATAGGAAAAAATCTTCAGGGTCCTGGGCTTAGTGAAATGTTCTTGGACATGACACTAAAAACATGAGCTGTAGAAGAAAAATAAAATTAGACTGTATGAAAATTAAAAACTTTTTTTTTGCTGGAAAATACCTTGTTAAGAGTATTGGAAACCACTCTTACATTTAGAGTCCACATATCTGACAAAGTACTTTTATCTCTGGAATATATAAAGAACTCTCAAAATTCAACATTTAAAAAATCCAATTAAATAGTGAGCAAAATAATCCATAGTGACAAATCAGATTAGTGGTTGCCTGGAGGTTAGAGGAAGCTGAGGTGTAAGGGAGGAACTGCAGAGGGGCAAAAAACAAAACAAAACAAAACGCAGCCTATTACAAATGATGGAAATGTTCTTTATATTGTCGGAATGGTTTCATGAGTGTACAAACTTGTCTCAACCTATCAACCTGTATACTTAAACTATATAGTTTTTGTATGTCAATTACAGCTTCAATAAAGCTGGCTTATTTTTTAAAAAGGTTTATAATTCTTCTAAATAGACATCTATTAAGAAGCCACAATAAATGCTTCATCAATTGAGATAAATCTAGTGGGCGGGGGGAAAATCAGATAAAAAATAATTATAAAAATAGCATATGTAGTACTTTCAAGTTAAGTGCCCAGAGTGCGTTTCAAGTTCTGGTGTTTCGCTGATTTTCAAAATCTATGTTTGCTAACACAATATTCACAACAGACAATTCAGGAAGCTTTGTTTTAAAAAAAAAGCAACCTAGATCTCTTTTCACACTGAACAATTCAAGATATAAGAAGGTTTGGACACAAGCATTTATACTTAAAAAATGAGCCATAATTAATGTATGATAAAATTATCTTTTTAAAGTACAGAATTCAGTGGAGTTTTCTTAGTTTTTTGTTTTTGTTTTCTGAGATGGGGTTTTGGTCCATCACCCAGGCTGGAGTGCAGTGGTATAATCATAGCTCACTGCAGCCTCGACCTCCTGTGCTCAAGTGATCCTCCTGCCTCAGCCTCCTGAGGAGTTGGGACTACAGCCATTCACTACTGCACCCAGCTAATTTTTAAATTTTTTTGTAGCAATTGGGTCTTGATGGGTTGCCCAGGCTGGTCTCCAACTCCTGGCCTCAAGTGATCCTCCTGCCTCAGCCTCCCAAAATGCTGGGACTACAGGTTTCGGCCATCAGGCCCAGCCTCAGTGGCTTTGACTATTGCACTGAATAAATGTCTACTCATTTAGTATTTCATTGGATAAATATCCTTTGATCTTTCTTAAATTAGGTTGTATTTTTGTTGAGTTGTAAGAGTTTCTTTAACATATGCTGGATACTTGACCCTTAGGAAATATATTATTTCATATATTATCTCACATTCTGTGAGTTGTCTTTTCATTTTCTGTGGAGTGTCCTATAGATGTGTCTATTAGGTCTAATTTAAGCCTAATGGTTATTAACTCTATTATTAAGTCTAATGTCAGTCAGATTTTAATTATTGCTTTATGTAGTTGTTTTAAAATTATACACAAGAAACAAGGGTATCACAAAAAAGGTGTCCATTAGCTAGCAGACGAAAGCCATTCAAGTCTTCCATTTATTTTTTAACTGTCTAGTGTTTCTATCATTATTGAAAGAGGGGTACCGAAGTCTTCAACTATTTTTGTTGAATTGTCTATTACTCCCCTTTAATTCTGTCTCTTTTTGCTTCATGTATTTGAGGGCCCCATTGATACGTCATATGTATTTATAATTGTGATATATTCCTGACCAGTTTACTTTTTATTACAATGAAATGCTCTTTTTAGTCTGTAGTAACACTTTTTTCTTTTTTTTTTTCCCCGAGATGGAGTCTTGCTCTGCCACCCAGGCTGGAGTGCAGTGGTGCGATCTCGGCTCACTGCAACCTCTGCCTCCTGGGTTCAAGCAATTCTCCTGCCTCAGCCTCCCGAATAGCTGGGATTACAGGCGCCCACCACCATGTAGAGATGTAGTAATGCTTTGAAGTCTATTTTGTCTGATATTGGTATAGCCACTGTAGCTCTAGCTTCACTACTGTTTGCATGGTATTATCTTTTTGCATCTATTTATTTTCAACCTATTTGTGCCTTTGAATCTAAAATGTGTCTCTTGCATATACAGCCAAATTATTAATTTATTCTGTCAATCTCTGTATTTTCATTGGAGTGTCTAATCCACCTACTTCCATGTGCAATCTGATAAAGTAGAATTTACAGCTAACAGGTTGCTCCTTCCTTCCTCAGGGTCTCACTCTGTTACCCAGGCTAGAGTGCAGTGTAATCACAGTTCACTGTAGCCTCAAACTCATGCACTCAAGCAATCCTCCCACCTCAACCTCCTGAGTAGCTAGGACTACAGGTGTGAGTCACCATGCCTACCTAATTTTTCTTTTTTTTGTAGAGATAGGGCCTCACTCTGTAACCCAGGCTAGCCTCCAACGATAGGCCTCAAGCAATCCTCCTGTCTCAGCCTCCCAAAGGGCTTAAAATACAGGTGTGAACCACTGTGCCCAGTTTGCTATTTTCTATATGTCTTAGGTGCTTTTTATGATTTTCTACATGCCTTGTGTGCTTCCCCCAATCCTTCCCTACTGCCTTCTAATTTGTTAAGCAGATGTTCTCCACTGTACCATTTTCATTTCCTTGTCACTTCACTTACTTCTTGTAAAGCTGTTTTTCCCGGGAATTACAATTAACATCTTGACTTCTAACAATCTTGTCTGGATTGATACTAACTTAAAGCAATAGTGTACAAAAACTTTCCCCCTGTATAACTTTGCTTTCTCCTCCTCTGTGTTGTTGTTGCATTAAAAATTACATTTATATACACTGTATGCATATCAACACATACTTATAATTATTGCTTTATGCAGTTGCATCTCAAATCAGAGAGGAGAAAAAAAGAGTTATGAACACAAAATATATTTACAGTGTCTTTTATGTTTACCTAGGTAGTTACTTACTGATATTCTTTATCTCTTTATAGATCCCAATTACCCTCCTTTCATTTCACCTAAAGTACTCTTCAGTATTTTCTTGCAGGGAAAATTTTCCAGCAGTGGATTGTCTCAGCTTCTCTAAAATTGGAAAATGCATTAATTGCTCCTTCATTTTGAAAGATATTTTTACTGGGTATAGAATTCTTAAAGTCTTTTCTTCCAGCACTTTGAAAATATCCTTTTCCACTGCTTTCTATCTTCCATGGTTTCTGTTGAGAAATCAGCTGTTCATCTGATTAAGGCTACTTTGCATGTGATGAGTTGGTTCTCTCCTGCTGCTTTCAAGATTCCCTCTTTGTCTTTCAACAGTTTGATTATGATGTATCTAGGTGTGGATCTTTGGTTTTATCCTTCCTGTAGTTTGTTAAGCTTTACGGATGTGTACATCAATGTTTTTCACCCAATTTGGGAAGCTTTTACTCCCTTTGGCTTCAAGTATTCTTTCTGCCCCTTTCTTTCCTCTTTCCTTCTAGGATAACTCTTTTGCGTATGTTGCTATGATTGTTTTCTCACAGGTTTCTGATGCTTAGTTCATTTTTCCCCATTTTTTTTCTCAGTTATTCAGATGGGATAAACTCAGTTGATCCGTCTTTAAGTTCCTTCTTTCTTCCACCTGTTCGAATCCTTTATTGAAACTCATTAGTTAATATTTCATTTTCATTATTGGAATTTTTAACTCCAGAATCAAATTTTTTATGTCTATGCATCTTTACTGGCATTATTTATTTGGTGAGATATTCTTATACTTTCCTTTAGTGTTTTAGACAGTGTTTACTGCATTGAACATATATAAAATAACTGGTTTAAAGTGTTTTGCTAGTAAACTCAACATCTGGGCTTTCTTAGGACAATTCCTATTGACTCTGTTTTGTTTTTCCCTCTGTATATGCCATCTGCTTTTTAAATTTTCACTGCATGTCTCATACATATATTTTTTGAAAATTGGACATTTTAAATACTACAATGTGGCTGGGCATGGTGGCTCATGCCTGTAATCCCAGTACTTTGGGAGGCCGAGGCAGGCATATCATGAGGTCAAGAGATCGAGACCATCCTGGCCAACATGGTGAAACCCTGTCTCTACTAAAAATACAAAAATTAGCTGGGCGTGGTGGCACATGCCTGTAATCCCAGCTACTTGGGAGGCTGAGGCAGAAGAATGGCTTGAACCCAGGAGGTGGAGGTTGCAGTGAGTGGACATCGCGCCACCGCACTCCAGCCTGGGCGACAGAGTGAGACTCCATCTCAAAAAAAAAAAAAAATACTATAATGTGAAAAATCTGGAAAGTATATCCTCCAACCCTAGGTTTGTTGTTGCTGCTATTTGTTTATTCAGTAACTTTTCTCAACTAATTCTGTAAAGTCTGTATCTTTTGTTGTGTATACTCACTAAAGTCTTTCCTTTGTTATATGAGTTGCCAGCTATTTAGGAAACTGAGATTTCCTTCAATGCTTGGCATCCATGAATCCCCAGTGTTGGCAGTGGGCTGCATCTGTGTGCTGGAGCACATCTTCGGCACAGCCAGGCAGCTGACAGCTCTGTCCCCAGTGTTTGCAGTGGGCTATGTTGTGTGCCGGGGCACACCTTCCACACACAGCCAGGCAGCTGACAGCTCTGCCCCCAGTGTTCGCAGTGGGCTGTGTTGTGTGCTGGGGCACACCTTCCACACACAGCCAGGCAACTGACAGCTCTGTCCCCAGTGTTTGCAGTGGGCTATGTCTGTGTGCTGTGACACACCTTCCACACACAGCCAGGCAGCTGACAGCTCTGCCCCCAGTGTTTGCAGTGGGCTGTGTTGTGTGCTGGGGCACACCTTCCGCACACAGCCAGGCAGCTGACAGCCCTGCTTTAGCCTTCACTTCCTGCCTGTGCACAGTCTCAAGGTCAGTCAGAGGTGAGAGTCTAAGGCCTTCTCAGATTTTTCCTGAGCATGTGCACAGCCTTACATGTGTTTTTTGGAGCTTTTCAAAGAACTTGTGGACATCGAATTCCCCAGCCTTTCCTTTTCATCTTTTTATAGCTTATTATCTTCCTCAGTTGATATCCACTGCCTCAGGCAGCCCCAAGGTTAAGCAATTACTTCTAAATTTTCAACCCAACAACCCAGGGAAAAGGCTTTCTAGACTGGGAAAGCTCTGCATTTGGTCAAGTAAAAATAGTCTTGCAAGTGGGGTCTTCTACTGAACCACCAGACAGACCAAATACTGACAATTCTCCAACAGTGAGACTCTGAGGAGCTTTAACTCTGTTCTCTCCACTTTGGTGACAGAAAGGCTGATGGTTTCATCATGATTGCAGCCTGAATTGCAGATTCAAGGCTACCAGGGAGCTGGAGATGGGAGAAGGAAATAGGGCAGGTTAAAATGTCACAAAAGTCACTGTTCTTACCAAGATTCGGCCTATTTTTATAAAAAATAAATGCTCCCCAGATTGCTGCTAGCTTTTGGTCTCCTCTTAGTTTATTTCTAAAGTTTTGAAAAACTTACTTTTGGCAAATGTTGGCAGTTTCCTTCTTCTTTCTGATTTTATGGAGGAAATAATTTTTGAGGCCATTATTCTGCTATTTTCACATACATACCTCAACACTCATATTTTAAAAGTTCTTCATAGGCTCTGTTGCATATTCATTTTAAGAACCACAATGCACAAGTGGCAACTGCCTCTCTTGGCCATGGCATAATATTAGCATTTTATTCTCAGAAGAGGAAATATGAGGAGGACTCTGTATGATGAGCATAGGTAAAGCAAGAGCACAGATGCATACTGACAACAGAGGTGGGTTAAGAATGCATG